>NC_000011.10:9453939-9756969 GCF_000001405.40 Homo sapiens | reverse complement strand
TGACTGGGGAAGTGTGTTGCTGGGCTGTCACCCTCACCTGGGACCTCCTCTGTGCACTCATCCATTCACAGATTTGCCAGCTACCTGCCTTTGCAGGACACCTCAGAAGTTACAGACTTGCCTGTGGAAATGCAGAGAGCACCTGAGGTATTTCCCGGACTCTCCAGTAGTAGCCTTGAATGGCTGACCAACCGCAGTCACCTGCCAGATCTTCTCAGAACCGGCCAGCCCACCAGCGACAGGCCCATTAAGTGGCCTGGCCCAGCCCAGATGGAAAACCCCCTCCACGTGACTTTCTAAAGAACATGCATGAAGACAAAACACCAGGTGCCTCAGGTGTGACACCCTGAGGACACATCACCTGTACAGTATCCTAACCCACCCAAGATGACACAGTAAGGTAAAACCACAGTAGAGCCCAGGCCTGTTTGACTCTGAAGTCCAGGCTCCTTTCCAACTTAGTGCCCTAAAGGCCTGATTGGGGTGGGGGTAGGCAGGAAGATTCAAGCACTGATTGTTTGTAGCCCAGGCTGGGAGGGCAACAGCTCTAGAAAAAAAGTCACTCACTGCTTTAACCATCTTCCAGCTAACTGCAGTGAGGTGTACAGGGCCATGGGGCTCTGGGATGAACTCTTCCACCTCTACACCTTGTAAACAAGGATTCCAGACACACCCTCCAAATGGGAATGGAGACACACGTTTGGCAGAGTTGGACAGTAACGCTGCTCTCCTATCAGCCTGGACTTTGAGGGGAGTGGAAAACATGAGTGTGGAGGTGCAGCAGTCCTGGTATCCCCTGAAACCAGCCTGTGGGGGGAACAGTCTTCCCAGGGGAGCTGCTCAGGATCGTCCTGGTCCCATGCATCAGGAAGAAAAGGGAACCTGAGAGCAGAGGGAAAATGCAGAAAGTGGGGCAGGGAGACTGCTCCCTGAAACCCCCATGGGCTGCTGGTCCAAGCAGAAAGTGTTGTCGGAGGGGGGAGAGGCAGGGTGAAATGGGACAGGAAACGAGGACTTCCGATGAGGAGGAGGAGGGGGCAGTGGGCTGCGGGTCTTGGGGACTGAACAGAATGGGGTTTGCTAGACAGAGCTTTCGTCTACCCACTCCTGAAGTCCTGCTGGACCTCAGCTGGCCCTTGTGAACTGTTGAGGGGGATATAAACACAAAGGCCTGCATTCCTGTGGGTGCACAATCCTAAGAGACCATGGACTGCCTGTGTGTGGTGGGAACAGGAAAAGGAGGCTGAGTGTAGCCCTGCTTGGAATTTAGTGTCCACCACAGATGTATCCACTACCCAGGGCCAAAGACTCGGCAGCCTCAGAAGACTCAATGGAAGCTGAGCACAGGACTAGAAAGGGTCAGGGCCCTCCTCTGTATGTAGGGGTGGCACATGGCCACTAGCTGGGTGATGGGGCACTGAGAAATTAAATGTTTGACATAAAAATGTAATCAGGACCCGAGAGGAGGTGGGTGGTGTAATGAACAGCATCCTAGAAGTCCGGTACAGATTTCACGTGTCACCTTCTAGTTCCTTATCTGAAATTGAAAGGTGAGGTCAGGTGCAGTGGCTCAGGCCTGTAATCCCAGCACTTAGGGAGGCTGAGGAGGGCATATCATTGAGGTCAGGTGTTTGAGACCAGCCTGGCCAACATGGTGAAACCTCTACTAAAAATACGAAAATTAGCCGGCTGTGCTGCACACGCCTGTCGTCCCAGCTACTTGGGAGGCTGAGGCAGGAGAATCCCTTGAACCTGGGAGGCAGAGGCTGCAGTGAGCTGAGATCACACCACTGCACTCAAGCCTGGGCATCACAGCGAGACTTCTTAAAAAAAAAAAAAAAATTTAAAGGTGAGCCAGTTCAGGCTTCTAGAGGCACTGCAGTTACAGACGGTAAACTGCACAAATCCTGGGTGTGAAGCTGTTTTTTCCTGTGTAACCACCACCCATTGACAGCATCCCAGAAAGTTCAAGTGTGTCCCTTCCCAGTTTACAGCCACCCGCCTCCCACCCTCACTTCTAAATCCACCGATTAGCAGTGTGTCTTGGAAATTAATATACAAGGAATCATATAGTATGTGCTCTTTTGTGTTTGGCTTCTTTGCTCAAGATGTCCGTGAGATTCAGCCGGGTTGCCTCTCTCTGTAATATGTTAATTTAGGTGTAGTATCCATTGTCTGGAAATACAATTGTCTATTCTCTACTGGTGGATATTTGAGTGTCTCTGGTTTGGGGCCATTATAATAAAACTGTTGTGAATCTTCTTATACAAGTTTTTTGGTGGACATCAGCCTCATTTCTCTGAAATGAGTGGAAACTGCTGGGCCGGAGGGTAGCTGTTGTTTTTAGCTTTAGTGGATATTGCCAAGTAGGAAGTAGGGAGGTGATTATTACAGTCTCTAATATATAAAAAAGGAGTAGAGGGGGAAAGAGAGGAAAGAAATAGAGATTCCATAAACTATTCCCAAAACTGATCCTTTAACAAATCTGGAGCACCTCCTCTGCACTGTAAAAGCTGAGGAGTGCCTCTTCCCACGCTTTCATATGTCTTGATCTTATTCACCTGATCCTCACCCCACTAGGGCAGCTGTGCCTTGCTGGAACTACCCAGAAGGTTGCAATTAAAGCTTGGCCAGTTAGAACAAGCACAAGCGCTGTGCGGGACACATCACTACCTGAGTGGCAAATCTGAAAATTCATTCCTCACAAGCTGCTAAATGGTGCTGACAGACCCACCCTGTGTTTCACCACCTGGAAAGAAATCAGGGTTAAGGCAGCTTTTACACTTCATGCCTCAGCAACTTGCATCATAGTCTTTTAAAATATATCCAAAGCAACCCCCTCCAGAGGCTCTGGGTGTGTCAGAGGTCCCTGCCCTCTGCTCTCTGCCAGCTCACAGAGAAACAGGCATTCTCCCTTCCAGGTGCTCCTCATTTGCACTGAAGAGGTCAGTCAACTCCTAGGACATCTGAAAGGGAAACCCTGACTCCAAGGGTTATATTGTGTTCTGGATAATAGAACTTGCCTTTCTGTAGAGCAGGTTTTCTCAACCTTGCCACTACTGACATTTTAGTCCACATAATTGTTAATGGGGGCTGTCCTGGGCATTTTAAGATGTTTTGCAGCATCCCTGGCCTCTACCTACTCGATGCCAGCAACACTCCCTCCAGTTGTGACAACAAAAAATGTCTCCAGACGTTGCCAAATGTCCCCTGGAGGGCAAAATTACCACCAGTTGAGAACCACTGTGATAGAGAAAGAACAGTTTTTTGTTTTTGTTTTTTTGAGACGGAGTCTCCCTCTGTCGCCCAGGCTGGAGTGCAGTGGCATGATCTTGGCTCACTGCAAGCTCCGCCTCCCGGGTTCACGCCATTCTCCTGCCTCAGCCTCCCGAGTAGCTGGGACTACAGGCGCCCGCCACCACGCCTGGCTAATTTTTTTGTATTTTTAGTGGAGACGGCGTTTCACCGTGTTAGCCAGGATGGTCTCGATCTCCTGACCTCATGATCTGCCCGCCTCAGAAAGAACAGTTTTTAAACACACCAACCAGTGTCCTCTCCCTCCCTCCAAGAGGGAAAGATCAGCTTTCCAATATACAATCAAGCTGGCCTGAGTGGGCCCACTTAGTCCACAACAGGCATTTTATCTTGGCAACAATGCAAACCACAACAAACAAACAAAAAGCCACACGGTTTACTCTGGTGAAAGAAAAACTGAAAGGCATAAAAAGAAAACTAAGGAAAACAGAGGTAAGAAAATTTGAAGGTAACAGCAACAATGAATGAGAAATCATCTTTGTAAGTTCCCGTTTGTGAGCTGACACATCAGCCATGGCTTCCCCACATTCGTGACTCAAACACCAAACATGAGGCCACAGCTAACTTCTTGGGGTCTAAACTCCAAACCCAGTGTTTTCAGGAAATGTCCCTAAACCAAAGTCCATCTCATTATATGAAAATACACATAGATACACCCAACTTTACCCCCCACTGTTTTATTAAATCAGACAGTTTAAAGTGTATGTTCTGGTATTTTTAATTTTCTTACTGGGTCCATTTTACTTAAAAAAAAATATAAAACATTTTTAATGTATCTTAGAAAAATTAGCAAAAAATTGAGAAAGTTGAGCATATTACATTGTACAATGTTTTCATACGAATGTTTTAAAATCATAAATATTTGGTTTCCCCTCAACATAGCACATCACAAAAATACATTTCAAAAACTTTTTTCATATATAATTCCTGTAAATGATCATATCCCTACTTATTAAGGAAAACACCTGATGACAAGCACTCAAACACTCTTGAAATTTTCTGTACAGTAATTACAAAAGTAAAACCAAGAGTTCTGTTGGCCCTTTAACAGGTGAAACCATTTTAAATAGTATCAAAATATAATTCCAAATGGGATATACTTAGTTCATTTCTGTGCTATCTTTGATTCACAAGTATCTATCTTAGCCAAAGCACTGTTTAAAAGGATATTGCCTCCTAGACATAGTGCCACTGAAAACCAAGATGTAAATCGGTAACACTATGCATTAAACAGAAAGCTTTTGCACAACCACATATGTAACCGCTTAGTCGTATCAAGGTCCACATGTGACCAGAAAGCAGGCAGTCCTTAGGTGGATGGCCAGGGGCCAGGCAGTGTGAGGTCTCCAAGAACCCAGGGCTAGAGCAGCTAAGCCCCAGGTCATGTTATCAGCTACAGCTGTGGAATAAGCCAGGTTTAAAGAAGGACATTCTGCAAAAGTGCAGGACCTATTTCACAACTTCTAGAAGTAGAAATTCACATATTCCATCATGATCCTCCCCACCATGCAGAGACTATTTGACTCCTAAGGCCACACTGTTTCCATCCCATAGATTTCACAGAGGTGATTAGGTTCTTTGTAGAATACTTTTTCCTCATTCTGGAATGAGGGATACTGGAGTCTTCTGGTGTAATGTGCAGTCAAACCACAGGAAAGGTTCCATTCCTTACCTAAGTCTCGTTGGTCTAATACACCTGCCAGCTACTGAATAAAATGATAATACTGATAAATGGCTGGGCAGAAATCCAACACCCAAATCAGCTGTCAAATTTCAAAGGCACATGATACAAAAATATTTTAGACAATACACTTTATAAAGGCAACTATAAGAAACCGTTAAAGTTACATTTTTATTAAACAGCCAAAAATCTTAAGACAAATACCTACAGACCATTTCTTCATTGGCAAATATTTTCCAGTCATAAAAGGTGATAATTTATGGGATTATATTCCAGTTTCCTCTCATGTAAATAAATACATACACTGAATCTCTAATACCACTCTCTCTAGATGTATACATCTATTTGGAATTGCTTTCTTAGTATGCACTCAGCAAGCACTAGCATAAGAACACCTGAGGTTCTCTGTCCTCATTTAATACCTGTAAGAGAAAAGGACTTTATTCTACTGAATTCTGCCCTTTTTTTGCAACAACTGAATTATCCCCATATTTATTTACAATTTTAAGCTTGATTGCTGTCCACGGAGTTACTGTTGCTTCTCAATTATAACTAGTGTTAGAAGGCTTGATTTCATAAATGTTCTTTTTAATCCAAAGATAGATCATATATGAAAACCTTCCTCAATACTCCTTTCAAATCAGATGCATATAAACTATGATCCCAATTTCCCTGTTAGACGTATTTCTGTTGGATATTTCCTCCGTTGTCACCACAGAGGAAGGGAAAAAGCAGAAAAGCTGCCCACCTAACAAAGGCTAACATAATGGCTAGGCTAATATATTGACATGCTATCATCTTTATGATGTTTTGAATCTAACTAGCAGACATACAGTCAACTTCCTGTTGACCATGTGCATCTAATCTGCTTTCTTAATTATACAAATAATTTTTATTTCAAATTAGCTTCTTTCTACTACTCAGTATAATCCTCTCACAGCCTGGCATATACTTGGTAGCACATCATTCACTAGAGAGAGTACGAGAGAAAATTAGGTTGACAATATGGGGCAAAGGGGTAGTCTCCTTTAAGGTGAGGGGAAAGGAGATGGGAATGAAACATGCCAAGTGTATGATGGTTAGGGAAAGAAATATCTTAGTAGAAGCTAGAAAACCTCTACTAACAGGATCACATTCCAAAAGGGCAACCAGGAAATGGCAATGACTCCATGACTTCTCTGTCAGAGCACCAATGGTCAAAGGCATTCCATGTCAAGTGTCAGGAAATGGAAAGCGAACCGGCCAATCTAGTTTAACAGCACATACTCGGAAAAGGAAACACGCTGCCAAAGGAAAGAGCTGACATCCAGTCCACAGAGGTTCTGAGTACCCAGTGGCAGTGAGCCCCTCCAAACTCTGCAGAGCTGACTGTGCTGTCTGCACCCTGCCTCATTTGGGGAAGAATCTGAGAGAGCTAAAAGACAAATTTCAGAAGGTGATGTTTTCAAAGAAAGAGTAAACAAACAGCTTGACAATGTTGACTTTTTTTTTCTTTTCAGGTAACCCTTGTTTGCAGGAAGATAAATAAGAAGGCTTCCTTAGGATACTGACCCACTTAGAGAGGCACAGAAGGAAGAAGAGTTAAAAGCAGCAAAGCCGGGTTTTTTTGTTTTGTTTTGTTTTGTTTTGTTTTGAGATGGAGTCTCACTCTGTTGCCCAAGCTGGAGTACAACGGCATGATCTCAGCTCGCTGCAACCTCCGCCTCCCACGTTCAAGTGATTCTCCTGCCTCAGCCTCCCAAGTAGCTGGGATTACAGGCGCCCGCCACCACGCTCAGCTAATTTTTTTTGTATTTTTAGTAGAGACAGGGTTTCACCAGGTTGGCCAGGCTGCTCTTGAACTCCTGACCTCAGGTGATCCACCCGCCTCGGCCTCCCAAAGTGCTGGGATTACAGGCGTGAGCCACCACGCCCGGCCCCCAAAGCTGTTTCTTTTGTCTTTAGCGTAAAGCTCTCCTGCCATGCAGTATCTACATAACTGACGTGACTGCCAGCAAGCTCAGTCACTCCGTGGTCTTTTTCTCTTTCCAGTTCTTCTCTCTCTCTTCAAGTTCTGCCTCAGTGAAAGCTGCAGGTCCCCAGTTAGTGATCAGGTGAGGGTTCTTTGAACCTAAGAGGCAAACATGCTTTAAATACAGGAAGTATTATATTCTTCAGGATACCCCATCATTTTTCTACAGACAAAATAGTAACTTCCCTACTTTATTTCTTCTTTGAGGAACATGCATAAATGTCATACCAGCTAAAACAATTAGAAGATGTATACCAAGGGGATTAACTGGGCCCTCTTACCTATTAGGGGATAAGATTTTCAAGAGAAATTTATCCTGAACAGCTTGGTTTTTTTACATTTGGGCTAAAAAAGTTTCTTTAGTACAATTCAAATACACAAGTGAAACAGAAAAATAAATTTAAAAATAAATATATGGGCAGGGCGTGGTGGCTCACGCCTGTAATTCCAGGACTTTGGGAGGCTGAGGCGGGCGGATCACGAGGTCAGGAGATCAAGACCATCCTGGTTAACACGGTGAAACCCCGTCTCTACTAAAAATACAAAAAATTAGCCGGTCGTGGTGGCGGGCACCTGTAGTCCCAGCTACTTGGGAGGTTAAGGCAGGAGAATGGCATGAACCCAGGAGGCGGAGCTTGCAGTGAGCCAAGATCGCACCACTGCACTCCATCCAGCCTGGGCGACAGAGCGAGACTCCATCTCAAAATAAATAAATTAATTAAATAAAATAAAAATGAAAAATAAAAATAAATATATGATTACTTCATAGAGTCTGTTACCTGGTTCTATCAGTCGAATTAATCCTTCATGATGGGCCACTTTGTCCTTCCAGCTCTTGGTCTTATTAGTTGCCATCTCCAGCTTCTTTTTAACTTCCTGAAACAAAAGTGGATTTTGGACTATGCAGACACACGGGTAGTTTAAGAACCAAATCACAACTATTGGGCCCTTACTATGTATTTGTGAATTATCTCATTAAATCCTCTCATAGCCCATTCTAAGAAGTGGGAACTACTATTACCCCATTGTACAGAGTGAAAACGGGTTCAGAGAAGGTCAGTAACCTGCCGAGAGTCACACAGCAGGAAATGGTAGAGCCAGAATTGGAACCCAGGCTGTCTGATTCCAAAGCCTATTCTTCCACCATCTGCATACGAATTACAATGGGTGTATGGCCCTGTGTGCCAGTTACAGTTTACTGCCTCTCCACTCCAAATCCACCCTGAACTGTCCTGCTGGTGAAACTAAAATAATTCTCCTCACTAGCTGGCAGCATAAAGCTTTGTCAGTAGAGGGTGCTGAAGGGACACGAGGAGGGAGGGACTTTTCTTCTAGGTTCCACTCAGCGGCTCCTGTGGCACTCAGAACACCCACAGTGCTCACCACCAGTGAGTTTCTGTAGCACCTCCCTGTGGGCAGCTTTTGCCGGTGGCCTCCCAGTGAGCTTTGCTGGCACAGCACCTCAACAAACTTTTCTGCCATCTGTGCACCCTCTCCATGGAGGTATGGATCACAACACTGGGGTTAAGGGGCAAGAAGCAAAGAATGCTCTTCCAGATCCACTCCCTCCCTGGTGCTCTGCCTCAGTTTTCGAGGCAGTGGCTGCTCCCTACGTCTGCTGTTCCTGCATTCTCAAAGCCTTCTTTACAACACAGTAGGTAATCTCCTATGACAGTTAATAATGTTTTATATTAAACTTTCCCTGTTCAAATTACTGTGCAGTTTCTGTCTCTGATGGATGTATAATATATCTTATCTCCTGTAAAAACTCCCTCTTTTTTCTTTCTTACAGCTAAGCAAGATTCTTACTACAGCTTCATATTGGCAGCTAAGCAAATAATTCTATTATTGAGAAATGTTTTTCAAAAATTTAAATATACAAGTTTGCAGGGCCAAGTCTCATTACCTCGTACTGCTCAAGTGCTTGCTTCCGTTCTAACTCAAGCTGCTCCAGCTGCTCCATGGCCTCCTGCAGGGCCTGTTCCTTCAGGACACGCTGATTCTCCAACTCCTGCTTCTCCGCCTCGGTTGTCTGAATGGCCTGCTGCTGCTCCAAGTGCCACTTTTCTAGTTCAGCCCTCTTGGAAGACTCTTCCTCCAACAACCTACAATGTGGAGGAAAGCTCCAGATCAAATCCTGCCCAGGTCACCACCCTGACCCAGCAGACGAGGGAAGCATTTTAGACAAGAGAATATTTGAGGTCGTCTAATCCCCCTTTCATTCCACCAGGAGGAAAGCAGGAGCCAGAGAAGCTCATATTCACAAAGCTGGTAAAGCAGCCTATATGTCCTGCTCTAAGCTCTCTCAGTTTCACCCGTTTGTGAAATAAAAAATAACATTTATCCAGAGTTTAATGTGTGCCAGGAACTGGCCTAAGAGTCAAGTGTATTTTCTCAATTAATCCTCACAGTAAATTTAGGTGCTGCTACTCATATTTTAGAGATGGTGCAAGTGAGACACAAAGGTTCAGTGGCCTGTACTAGGATCATCCACCTGCCAGGTGGCAGGGCCAAGATTTGAAGTTTGCCTGGTTGCTACAACATGAAAACATTTTCATCTAGTAAAAACCTGTTACCATGGAAAAAGCTGATAATGAAGATGAAGAAAGGAGTGAACGCAGACAGAATAGAGATACTATTTATTGAACAATTGCTACATGCCAGGCCCTTGCCTCCATTATTGCTAATCCCCTGACAATCCTGAAAGGTATTGTCCCTACATTACAGATGAAGCAATGAAAAACCAAAGGGTTTAAAAGTATGTTGCACAGGTTATAATGGATTTTAACCCAGGTCTGTGTGACTCCAAAATAACAGGAATACCTATCTGGGAATACCCAGCTATGTAGTTGTTTAAATAAACTAACAAACAGCCAAAACCTGCATTAAAGTGTATATAGTGTCGTTCGATGCCAGCCAAGGACAGGATACATATCTAGTGGCTTGAGCAACAATATTATGGTAACAAAGTCAAGTCACATGACTGGTCAGTTACTACTACCTGCCAGCATCTGCTCTTATAAAACTAACAACAAAGGAATAAAGTAACAGACTATACCAACACCAATTTCCAAATTCCCTCTACAACTTCCTGCAAGGTTGTTATTCAACTCAGCTCCAATACTCTAGGTGATGGGCTACCACTCGTTGCCTCACAAATTGGGCCAGTTTATTTATGGGCAGCTTCAATTCTTACGAAGTTTTTTCTTATACTAAGATGAGTTCTCCCATCCACTACCCTAGTTCCACAAAGGAAGTATCTACTCCCTCTTCCCTGTGATAGCCCTTTCGCAACTGGAAGGCAGCTTTGTTGCCTGTTGAGAACATCCTTCTCCAAGAAGACCACCTCCAGCCTTAACTAATGGGACCCAGCTTCCAGACTCAATATCCTTCTTTGGAGACACTGAGGTCTCCTCAGATGTCTCTTGGAGTTTGATGTACACAACAGAACACGACACTACAGATGTGGTCTGACCAGTGCAGAGTTTATTCACTCAGTTGATGTGTATTTTTTATGTGCCTTCTACGTGCTTTTCTAGGCACTGGGGATATAAGAATGAACAAGACTGGATGGGTCTGTTTTTTCATTCTAGTGGTAAAAGTATGGAGGGGGAATGGACATTTCCAGGTGCTTAGGCTGCCCAGCCTCTGAACTCCTTCATGTGTCTAGGGGAACTGCCATAGTAGAAGACTTGATGGAAGGTAGGGCTCATTTCCCGCTATAGAATCCACAGGCCAGACACCTGCCCTCCCACCCCTTGGCAGCTAGGGTATGGTGGAGGCACAAGCTGGGCTTGGCTATGTAGATGCTCCTTCTGGAACTTTGACTCTGAAGCACCTGGCACAAAGAAGCAGAGCCAGTAGAGAATTCATCTTGCCGGTGGCAGTAATATGCAGTGTTGAGTGACAGCAGGAGCGATGGCACTGCTGATGCCTGGTACCAACATGGGCGCCAGCGGCATCCTCACTGGACTCTTCCCATGGCCTGGCTTGGGCTGTAGTTGGGGCTGCTCATCCCCCTGTGATTCCTGCCTGTGTTCAAGGCCTGGTCACCTGCCTTTCTGTGGAACTGGCAAACTATTTAAGAAACTTTCAACAAATTGTTTTATTGCTTTAGCTAATACAAGGTGGTTTCTGTGGTTCGCAAGTAAGACTCCTGACTAAAGACTTCAGTGCCTCACTCTTTTTCTGTGTATCGGCTTCCTCATTTATCAAAAAAGGAATAGAAACTACACCTACCATCAAAGGTTTATTAGTGTATTAAATGCGATAATGCACATAAGGTGTTTACATGCCTACCACACAGCAAGTACTGGTAGGTAACAGCTCATATTATAGAGGGACAATTATCTCATTTGCTCTGGACACTTCACATTCATTAAGGCTGCCTAAGAGTGTATAGGGTTTTGGCAACCACATTTCAGGGAAATGAAACTGTAGAACTTTTCAAATGAATTTCTATAAAGCCAAGTCTCCTGGATCCTGTACTTGTTCTTTTGATATGTTAAATTAGCTTCTTGGTCTAAAATCATCATTCTAGCCTGTCAACATCTTTTTTCTGAATGCTTATTTTTACATTCCACACATTATATATCTTCCCCGTCTGCAAATGAGATAAAGGAACAGAAAGCAACACACTCGGAGTGACTCCCAAATGCTAGGCATTACTCTAAAACACTCTGCATGCATCATTTCATTTCATCCTCACAACAACTGTATAAAGTTGGCCATTCTCTCAAGTTACACAGCTAAAAGTACCAGAGCCAGGAATCAAACCGTGGCCTCATTCCAGAGCCCAGTCTCTAACCTTCAAATATATGAAAAGTATTATATCAAATGTAAGAGGGACTGTTGTTCCATGTGGTCCCATTGGATCCATTCATTCATTCAAAAAAATTTCCCTGGGTACTTACTGTGTGCCAGGTACGAGTTGCTGGGAATACAGACACGACTAAGGTGTACTCCAGGGTGTTACAGATCCAAAGTGGGTAAGAGTTACAACAGGACAGATTATGGCTCAGCCTCAAGAACTTTCCAATAACTCGATTTTTCTTAATTTTTTCTTTTTTGTTTTTTTCTTTTTTGAGACAGGCTGGAGTACAGTGGTGCAATCTCAGCTCACTGCAACCTCTACCTCCTGGATTCAAGTGTCTCAGCCTCCCGAGTAGCTGGGATTATAGGCATGCACCACCACGCCCAGCTAATTTTTGTATTTTTAGTAGAGACAGGGTTTCACCATGCTGGCCAGGCTGGTCTCAAACTCCGAGCCTCAAGGGATCCGCCCGCCTCAGCCTCCCAAAGTGCTGGGATTAGAGCGTGAGCCACCATGTCCGGCCAATAACTTGAGTATTCTACATTTTAAATGAACAGTTTTCTTCTGAGTTCTCATTCAGAAGTGGCTAGATCACCTTCAGGATTACACATAAAAAAATAAACTTCATAGCAGAAAGGGTGACTATAGTCAATCATAATTTAATTGTACATTTAAAACTAACTAAAACAGTATAGTGGACTGTTTGTAAGACTAAGGATAAATGCTTGAGGTGATGGATACCCCATTTACCCTGATGTGATTATTACACATTGTATGCCTGTATCAAAATATCTCATGTACCTCACAAATATAAACACCTACTGTGTACCCACAAAAATTAAAAGTTAATAAAAAACTTCAATCGTAATTTTTAAAATTACAAGATCTGGCCAGGTGCAGTGGCTCAAGCCTGTAATCCCAGCACTTTGGGAGGCCGAGGCGGGTGGATCACGAGGTCAGGAGATCAAGACCATCCCGGCTAACACGGTTAAACCCCGTCTCTACTAAAAATACAAAAAATTAGCTGGGCGTGGTGGCAGGCGCCTGTAGTCCCAGCTGCTCAGGAGGCTGAGGCAGGAGAATGGCTTGAACCTGGGAGGCAGAGCTTGCAGTGAGCCGAGATCACGCCACTACACTCCAGTCTGGGTGACAGAGCGAGACTCCGTCTCAAAAAAAAAAAAAAAATTACAAGATCTACGTGTTTCAAGCTAAAGTTCTTGTCTTTCATTTAAACAATTTACTATAAAAAGTTTCTCTTTTTTTTTAAGACACTGTCTTTTTAAGAGACTGACAGAGAAAGAACTATCCATTAAAAGAATAATGAGATTCCAAATATTCCACGAATGATCGGCTGTTGCTTTAAGAAAGGAGTGAGCAAACAAATTTACAAGAAAAAAAGAAACAACCCCATCAAAAAGTGGGCGAAGGACATGAACAGACACTTCTCAAAAGAAGACATTTATGCAGCCAAAAAACACATGAAAAAATGCTCACCATCACTGGCCATCAGAGAAATGCAAATCAAAACCACAATGAGATACCATCTCACACCAGTTAGAATGGCAATCATTAAAAAGTCAGGAAACAACAGGTGCTAGAGAGGATGTGGAGAAATAGGAACACTTTTACACTGTTGGTGGGACTGTAAACTAGTTCAACCTTTGTGGAAGTCAGTGTGGCGATTCCTCAGGGATCTAGAATTAGAAATACCATTTGACCCAGCCATCCCATTACTGGGTATATACCCAAAGGATTATAAATCATGCTGCTATAAAGACACATGCACAAGTATGTTTATTGCGGCATTATTCACAATAGCAAAGACTTGGAATCAACCCAAATGTCCAACAATGATAGACTGGATGAAGAAAATGTGGCACATATACACCATGGAATACTATGCAGCCATAAAAAAGGATGAGTTCATGTCCTTTGTAGGGACATGGATGAAATTGGAAATCATCATTCTCAGTAAACTATCGCAAGAACAAAAAACCAAACACCGCATATTCTCACTCATAGGTGGGAACTGAACAATGAGAACACTTGGACACAGGAAGGGGAACATCACACACCGGGGCCTGTTGTGGGGTGGGGGGAGGGGGGAGGGATAGCATTAGGAGATATACCTAATGCTAAATGACGAGTTAATGGGTGTAGCACACCAGCATGGCACATGTATACATATGTAACAAACCTGCACATTGTGCACATGTACCCTAAAACTTAAAGTATAATAATAATAAAATTAAAAAAAAAAAAAAAGGAGTGAGAAGAGTTAACTGAGCAGCCTTTTACACAGGCCCTTGGCGTAAGATTATGTGCATTTCATTAGTGCCAGTTTTCCAACCCAACTCCAGGATGACTTCCCTTGATTTTTCTATCCAGAAAGGCCTATCCTGAGGAGCAAAGAACAAACCCTCTCTGCCAATCTGACAGAAAGTCCCTCTGAATCAGCCACAGCCTTCAGTGACTTCAGGAAAGAGGAACACATTTCACTTAAAAATGACCACTAGGCCGGGCGTGGTGGCTCATGCCTGTAATCCCAGCACTTTGGGAGACCGAGACAGGCGGATCACAAGGTCAGGAGATGGAGTCCATCCTGGCCAACATGGCAAAACCCCATCTCTACTAAAAATACAAAAATTAGCCAGGTGTGGTGGTGCGCGCCTGTACTCCCAGCTACTCGGGAGGCTGAGGCAGGAGAGTCGCTTGAACCCAGGAGGCGGAGATTGCAGTGAGCCGAGATCACGCCACTGCACTCCAGCCTGATAACAGAGCAAGACTCCATCTCAGAAAAAAAAAGGGAGCAGGGGGGCAAATTTGTCCATTTCAGGTTCCAAAAACTAAGAGAAAAAAAAATTTAGAATAATAAAATAATTATATTCATAAAATGCCCTTTGCACATTAAGAAAAAGTTAAATTTGTGTGCAGTACTTTCAGCATATTGGATCAGAGCTGTATGTAGAAGTTACATCTGGATTCAAAAGGTTGAAACCATTTTGCTATTGCTTAAATCAGAGTGTGCAAAATAATTAGCTGGAGTTTTTTGCCGTTGTTGTTTTGTGTTTTTTTTGAGACAGGGTCTCATTCTGTCCCCCAGGCTGTAGTACAGTGGTGCAAATGCAGCTCACTGCAGCCTCAACCTCCTGGACTCAAGTGATCCTCCTGCCTCAGCCTCCCAAGTAGACTTTTTTTTTTTTTTTTTTTTAAAGATGAGGTTTCACCATGTTGCTCAGGCTGGTCATAAACTCCTGGGTTCAAGTGATCCTCCAGCCTCGGCCTCCCAAAGTGTGGTGGGTGAGCCACACTTTGTGGTGTATTTTTCAGAAGCTTTGTGAGGTGATTCTGATACATAACATTGGTTAAAAAACCACTGGCTTCAATTATCCAAAATTATCCCTTATTCAAAATATCACTCATTCTATAAACACTAAATAACTAAGACTAGTATTTCTAGAATTATCTGGTTCCCTCTGTGATCTAGTCTCTGCTGTGTCATAATCAACTTCCCACAAAACTGCAGTAATACATATAGCATATTTCACCTGCGAATTCTTTGCACAAAAACAATCTATTAACTCTCAACACGGCTCAAATTATGAGGTGGCTCAAAAAATGTTGAGTGTCATGTAGAACGTCACTCTGGACGTCACATGGCACTCAAACATTCCCGTAGAGTGACTCTTCTGCTAAAATCACTGCCGAGTGGCACTGGAGGGGAGTTCCAAGAACCTGATTAACCTCACAGTGCAGTGAATGTGCACCTGTGGGGCCTATATATGCCTGGCAATATGCTACATGCTTAATTTTCTATTTAGAAAATAATTTTTCCTTAAAAAAATTTAAATTTAAAATCTAAATGTCCAAAACAATTTATTTATTTTTGAAGTCACTTTTGGCAAAATATACAACTAAAGATGGCTTCTTCTTTCTCTTCCTATCTAAAGATTAAAGAAACATCTTTTGCTGCTCCACATGTAAAATGGCAGCCATGGAAAATCTACCCTAGCTCATCTCATAACTGCTCCCCAAAACAGGGGGTCAGAGATCAAAGACTGGACCCTGTGCTGCTACTGTAGTGAATACTTTTTAGTGTTGTCTCCCATCCCAGACACCTTAAATAATGTAAATGGGGCAGCAAAGTAGAAACTGGCAGAGGATAGGCTCAATTTTTCCCTTTGGGAGTCTTCATTTTATTTTGTCCTCCCTGCTGCCATGAAGGCCCAAAATTGAGAATTTTCATCTGCGAACATGACTATCATAAAGTTCTAAGGGGAAAAAAAATCTAGGTTTCAAATACTTTTAAAATTAGGATTTCAAGTAGTAATTACTGAAGGAATGTTACCAATCCTGAATGACCAAATAGAAACTGCATATTTCTTCCTTATTCCTCAAAACCTGACGGCAACGTTGGCCTGAACAGGCCTCTGCCTGCATACCAATGGCCCTCTCTGGTCTGGAGCGTGTTGAAGATGCCAAGCTCTTATCAGAGGTAATTCTGGGTTTGTGGATTTTCTCGAATAAGACTAAGGGTACCTCATCAAACATACCTACCAGACTGCTCTAAAATAGGCCCTTATTTAGCCCCAGAAGCAAGGGTTTCCCAGCGCCTCAGAATGAAAAGAAACACTCCAGCCGGTCGAGTCTCCACAGTCTTTCTAATCTGGACAGCACCTCGAGCTCAGTCACAGCCAGAGCAGAGACACTTCTCCCTCTCCACCAGAGTGTTAGTCATTCCAAGAAACTGTATTAGCCCAGGCAAAGTACATAAAGGCAAAGTCTGCAAACAAATCTGGCACCTGGCCTGAAGCTTCCGCACTGTCTCTTCATCTTGCCGGGCCTGTCTCTCATCTTCAAGAGCCTCCTGCAGCTTTAGGTACATGTCTTCCAGCTCCCGTACTCGCTGTAAATACTGTTCCAGTTCAGAGGACTTTTGAGCAACCTGTTCTTCCATCTGCTGTCTGATCTGTTGGTATAAAAGGGTCTTGTTTAAATGCAGGTTGACTTCTTTCTCAGGGAAAGCCTCACCTCCACCTGAGGGGTTGCCCACAGCTGCAGCCTCAGCCCATCAGGGTGGCAGGACCCTGTCCTTCAATCCTTGAACTTAAAGATGGAGGAGATGAGGGTACCACACCCAATCGCAATAGTGAAAGAGTCTGGGAAGAGCAAATTATAACCCAAATTATGTTCTGCCCTGCTGTATTTTCCATCCCTTCCACTCCACATTTTAAGACTCAAGTCAAGAAAAAAATGTTTCCTTGTGTAATTTCTCTCTAAATTCCTTTCTGTCTTAAAGTCACAATCTTTTTACCAATAGGGTCTTCTCTAAAAGGAACGAACCTTTTCCCAGTCAGAGCAAACGAACCTTTTCCCAGTCTTCTTTAGTGTTACACTAAAGAAGAAGGAAAGGTCATCCAGCATGGGATTCCTCCCACACTTCCCTGGCTGTCTCCACTCCCTGGGGCACCTCCAGCCCTAGAGGAACTCAAGCATTTCAGTTAATCTGTATACGTTAATGGTTTTTCCCTTCTGGATTACAGAGTTTTGAATCCCTGCCTTAAAAATTACAAGACAAGAACATCCTAAATATAACAAACACATTAGCCTATTTCTCTGCAGTTGATAAAATATTTTCACTTGCATTAGCTCACTCTGTCTTCAGAAGAGTCATGAGAGAGCATGTGATAATCCTGAACTTAAAGAAGAAAAAGCCAATGTTCAGTAAGAAGGACCAGAGAGGAAACAAGACCAGACATTCTGGCTGTTTCTCTACATCACATTTGCCTTCCTCTTTTCTCTGAACCACAAACACATCTCTTTCAACTCTAAATAACAAAAAGTGACTAGAGGAAATGTCACATGCATCTATTTAGGCACTGGGCTTAGCACTCTCTGACAGAGTATCACTCAATGTGAGAAGACCTGTGTTCCAGCTAACCAGCTAACTACCTAAGACAACCTGGATCTTGGGTCTCTTGAAGATGGAAGCCTCTAGGATGAACCGGAGCTGCCAAGAGCAACAAATCAGACTCTAGATGTTCTCACAATTTCAGGATCTCACCCCCGCCATCCTTGCTTATTACAGAGGAGATATACCATGGAACCTATGCTTACTTTTTCCATAACTATTTATTTTCCAAATCAGAACTGTTTTGAGAATGAAAAGGAATGTTATTAATAATTATACCAGAATGGCAGGGACTCTCCCAGGCAAACCAGGAAATATAGTCACCCTAACCAAGCATTTATCACATCATTCCACAAATTTCTTTTTTTTTCTTTTTTGGAGACAGGGCCTTGCTCTGTCACCCAGGCTGGAGTGCAGTGGCAAAATCACAGCTCACAGTAGCCTTGAACTCCTGGGCTCAAGCAATCCTCCCACCTCAGCCTCCTAAGTAGCTGGAACTACAGGCATGTACCAACAGGCCTGGCTAATTCTTTTTTTTTTTTTTTTTTTTGTAGATATTGCCCAGGCTGGTCTTGAACTCCTGGGCTCAAGCAATTCTCATGCCTTGGCCTCCCAAAGTGCTGGGATTACAGGAGTGGGCCACCATGCCTGGCTCCATAAATTTCCACTTAGGAGTCTTGAAAACAAGGTTTATGTCTTTTGCCATTACATCTTTGGCACACTGCCTGGCACATAGAAGGTGTTCAATAAACAGATAATTAATGAATGAACAAACATGCAACTTCCCCTACAGCCCATTCCAGGTCAGTAGCAAAGCCAAGCTGATGACATGCCTCACTGTAGCCTCCAGCCCTTCCCTGTTCCCACCGACCCAGGCTGAGCTACTGCAGCTGCTTTCTCCAGCCATGTGATACTCACAAGCTTCTCTCTTTCCAGCTCTGTGCTGAACCTGGCCTGAAGTTCCACTTGAGTCTGAAGGCGTTTCTTTTCCTCTTCTGCTGCACGAGATGCTGCTTCCTCCAGTTTCTAGCCAATCAAAAACCCATCCACAGAAAAGCAGGTGTTAGAGTAGAAGTACATTAAAGAGAGAGAGACAGTCATACTTAAGTACAGGAAAAGCCAAACATTCTTAACATTCAATAAAGATAATAGAATAAAAACTTTTAGCTCCATTAGAATTCCAGTCTAACGATCTGCTGAATCAACATACAAAATAAATTAGGTAAATGAAAGACTATTGATAAGCCTGAACAACATTTTGCAAAGAAAGTTTTAGTACAGTCATTGAATTAAATTCACTTGGGATTGCATTCATGAGATTTTTATTTATTTATTTATTTATTTGAGACTGAGTCTTGCTCTGTCGCCAGGCTGGAGTGCAGTGGCACGATCTCGGCTCACTGCAACCTCCACCTCCCAGGTTCAAGTGATTCTCCTGCCTCAGCCTCCCGAGTAGCCGGGACTACAGGCACACACCACCACATCCAGCTAATTTTTGTATTTTTAGTAGACACGGGGTTTCATCATGTTGGCCAGGATAGTGTCGATCTCTTGACCTCGTGATCCGCCCACCTCAGCCTCCCGAAGTGCTGGGATTACAGGTGTAAGCCACCATGCCCAGCCACATTCATGAGATTTGAGAGCTATTTCTTGAGCTCTTTCTGTACAGTTTTTTCATCTTATACATTATTCATTATAACTTTTACCAGAACCAATTTCTAGAAGGGTGGCATAAGGAGCTCCACAGACCCTTTCCCCAACAAAACAACCATAACTGGTGAAAATTATTGTTAAAAAAACAAAACCTTTAAAAGTCTCTAGAAATTATGCTAAGGACATTCTAAAATGGAGAACATTTATCTAAGAAAATCTAACTCTCAGTAAGAATCGTGAGGGTCTGTGGCATATGATGCACTCCCTCCCCACCCCCACAGTGTCAGTGAGAAGAAAGCTCTTCTCCTGGCAGATGGAACCCCAAACAAGGGTTCCCCTCCCCTCAGCTCAAGCCTAGGGCTATGATACCTTCCTGGGAGGGGCAGGCTGGCTGCCAGAATTTCTCTTTGTCCCCAGCTGCATGTTGCAGAAACTTTATTCCAGGCAAGAGTGGCTGAGAATTAAGAGGAGGCCAGAAGCTCCATGAGAACAACACACTAACACACGGACCAGCTAAAAGTGTTGTTGGTTTGTTGGTTGACTGCTATGAGGTCTCGCTATGTTGCCCAGGCTGGTCTCAAATTCCTGGCCTCAAGTGATCCTCCCACCCTGTCCTCCCAAAGTGATTAACAGGTGTGAGCCACTGCTCTTCCAGACCAGCCAAACGTCTGACAGACAGAACCAGAGAAAGAGACAGCTAAGAAGAGTTCTCATGTAGTAGGAACAAGTCTCAAAGACTGACCTTAAAGACTACATGTAGGCCTGAATTTAAATGATCTCAGACTGTGAGGCAATTCAGGTTCCAGGGCATTATGGAGAACAACAGAACAAAATTAGTGAACTCTAACAGCTGTTGGTGTGGTACCAACAGAGGTGGAAAGCTTAAATGAGAGATCAGAGAAAGACACTCAAAGAGAGCCCTGCAAAAATCAGGGTCTTCGCAGGGTGACTGTGTTCCTGTCCAAGCCTGTGCCTCTGAGGAGCAACAGTCAGAAGCTTCACACTGTGAGGAAAACAAACTTCACTGAAATAGTCCAGCCAAGTCACTAAACAAATAAAGGAGCAAACAACAGCAGGCCTCTGGGGAGAGGGGTGGAATCAGAATCCAGAGTTGCTACCACACATTATCTAAAATGTCTAGTTTTCTACAAGAAATTATGAGACATGCAAAGAAAAAGGAAAGTATGGCCCATATACAGGGAAAAAGCAGGCAACGGAAACTGCCTTTGAAGAGGCCCAGATGGTGGATTTAGCATATGAAGACTTCAAAGCAGTTATAAATATTTTATGCTCAAATAACTAAAGGAAACCATACTTAGAGAAGTAATGGAAGGAATGACAATATACCATAAAATAGAGAATAATAAAGAGATATAAATCACAGAAAAAACCAAATGGAAATTCTGGAAGTAAAAAGTCCCATAACTGAAACGAAAAATTCACTAGAGGGACTCAACAGTATATTTGGGCTACAAGAAAAATCTACTAAAGACAGATCTATAGAAATTATGCAACTGGAAAACAGAAAATAAAAAAGAAGAAAAATGAACACAGCCTTAGAGAAATGTGGGACACCATTATGTGCACCAACATTTGCATAACGAAAGTATCAGAAGAGGGAAAAAAAAGTAGAAAAAATATTTGTGGCTGAAAACTTATCCAGCTTAAGGCAAAACATTAATCTACATATTCAAGTTCAATACACTCTAAACAGGATAAACACAAAGAGATCTACACCCACATACACCACAGTAAAACTGTTGAAAGACAAAGACCAAAAAATAATCTTAAAAGCAGAAAAAGAAAAATGATTTACCACACACAAGGGAACTCCTGCAAGCTTGACAGCTGACTACTCATCAGAAAGTTCTGACTAGTTCTCACCAAGATATTATCAATAGAAGTACAGTGTGACATTTCTAGGCTGGAGCACCGCATTGCCAAACCCTAGAACACTTTTTCTTCCGGCACAGTGAATAGCAACACTCAAGATGGCGGCTGGTCCATCAGCCCGGATTTCATAATTACACACTTTGACCCAGCATTCCCACTTCTGAGAATTCATTCCCTAGAGATATCAGAACATGTATGAACACATATACAATGACACAGGTACAAGATTATTCCCTACAGCATTACCTATTAAAACAAAAGATTAACACAACCCAAATGTTCACTAACAGGGAATGACTAAGTAATGACACAGTTGTATAACAGAATATTCTACAGCCATAAAAAAGAATGAGGTAACTCTCTTTATACTGATATGAAAAGATCTAAAAAATATATTAAGTGAAATAAACTGGAGGCAGAACAGTGACACTAGTATATACTTTTGTGTGTTTAACAAATGGGAAAATAAGAATGTATATTCATATTTCCTTACCTTGGGCAAGGGGTGGAAATTCATAAGTGGGGGAGGGGGAGAAAATCTTTCACAGCTGCCTTTTTATATTTGTATATTTTTGAACCTACCCAAATGATTATATTTTTTAAAAGAAACAAAAGTAGAAATAAAAATTTAAGTAAATTCTTTAAGTAAATCTATTAATTTATAAAAACTACCATGATTTCTTATTCCTTCTTCTAATTAAAATGAGGCCTGTCAAATTTTAAGAAACCCACAGATATGTAACCTAATTCCAGATGATTAAAAGATTCAGCTGGGCATGGTGCCTCATTCCTGTAATCCCAGCACTTTGGGAGGCTGAAGTGGGTGGATTGCTTGAACCCAGGAGTTTGAGACTAGCCTGGGCAACATGGCAAAACCTCATCTCTATTAAAAATACAAAAAAATTAGCCAGGTATGGTGGTGCACACCTGTAGTCCCAGCTACTTGAGATATTGAGGCAAGAAGATGTCTTGAGCAGGGGAGTGAGCATGGCACCACTGCACTCCAGCCTGAACAACAGAGCGGGACCCTGTCTCAAAATAAATAAATTTAATTAAATATTCATCTAAGCTGTTTTTTTCTAAGAATGCCTCCATGAAAAAATTGGAGAACTGTGTTTATTGACAAGAAAATCAAAGATTACTAAGCGATCTATAAGAATTTTTCAGCACTTATCCAAGAATCCTAAATCAGTCTTTTAAATAATTCTATAAACCTAGGTAGTGGGAAAGCTGTCTACATAGGTCTACAGCTTGCTAACACCAGGCATGCCTTCTTCACATTATACAGAGCAGAACACTACATGCTCCTGGAAGGCAGAGTTTAAAAGTTAAAAAGGGCATCAATGTATGAATCTCAAATGTACAATGCTAAGTCAAAGAATGCGGTCTTAAAATGTACATTCTGTATGATTCCATTTATATGACAATTTGGAAAAGGCAAAAATACAGGAACAGAGAATTGATCAGTGGTTTCCAGGGGTTAGGGATGAGGGAAAGACCTGAATAAAGAATATAAAATGCTCCAAAATCCAAAACTTTTTGAGCTCTGACATAATGCTCAAAGGAAATGCTCATTGAAGCATTTCCAATTTCAGACTTTTGGATTTGGGAGGCTAAGGCAAGAGGATCTCAACTGGTAAATACAGTATATAATGTAAACATTCCAAAATCCAAAAAAATCCCAAATCTGAAACACTTTGGGTCATAAGCATTTCGGATAAGGGATACTCAACCTGTATTGGCAATAATCTATCTTAACCTGGGTAGTATTTTCATGGGTATTCACTGTATGATTATTTGTATATACATATTTCATATTCTCCTCTACAGGTACGAGCTATTTTATAATTTTAAAATTATAAAAAAGGACACCAAGTTCTAGCTCCCCACCATTCCCTCATAACACCCACTTTTGATGTGTGCACAGTGGAAGGAAGCAGCAGCAATCACATACGGCAGGTGCTCAGCGTAACCTTTAAAGGGAATTTTTACAGAAAATATATTGCAGCAGAAAGAGGCAAGATGCAAGACTGTTTCAAGGGTGGGAGGCAGTAAGAAATGAGGAGCTGCTTTTAGAAAGTAAGTGTGTGATAGTAATAACTTTTTCTAAGATTATATATATGCCCATGCAGTTCCTAAGATTATAAAAGCATTCTTAAAAATCTTCATGAGTCTACTCTACTCAGAGGAAGTTCAGCACACAATGTGGCATTTCTACGGGTTACCAAGGGAGAACCCCACTAGGTATGTAGAGTCACAGATTATGAGCCACCCCCATATCCCAGAGCAAAGTTTTTGCACAGATGTGCATGAAAGAGTCCTTGAGCTTGTGGTTAGCAAGTGCTCATTGATTCAAGGCAGACAGACTCAGCCCAAAAGTGTCTCAAATAAAGACCATATCCATATACTGGGGACTCACTACCACCCCTGGGATCACGACATAACCGAGGAAGTGTTCCCAGTGAACATCAACTATCTCATATAGCATATGGTACTTGACCTCCTAATCTTGAGATGGAAGGAAAAGCTGACCCAGACTGTATCTTTAACTCCAAACAGTAGGTAAAACTAACAGTTCTAAAGTAAGGGTCTTCCAAGGTACTCATGAGTGAAGATGGGAGCTAAGGAGAAAACTAAAAAGCAACACACCTTGTCCAGGCCAGTAAGAACAGCCTTGACACCCTCAAGGGAATGAAATTTCCCATCTTCTTCTGACGAAATTCAACTGTGCTCATTATTATTTAAAATATTCCTTCCTAGCCAATGAAATGTTTTTGCTGCCGAGATCAACATAGTTTCAGGGCTAGGAAAACCAGTATGTCTCACTTGATGGTCTGGAAACACTTCTGAGAACAGTTCACCACAAGTATCTCCCTAAAACTGCACTACATTCATCTTGGTAGAACCAACACCCCTAAGCAAGGCACGATGGCTTCTGCAGGGGAATGAAGGGCCCTCTCCCAGCCCAGCGCCCATTCCCACCTTCCGCACGGCCTCCAGCTCCTGCTGCTTGCTTTCGTTGGCGGCCTGGAGTTCCTTCATTTGTCGCTCCAGTTCCTCTTGTTCAGCCAGCTGCTTCTTCCGGAGTTCTTTCCGACGCTGGCGGGCTTCTTTGTGTGGTGGAGGGCTGCCCAGCTTCAACAGATGAATAGTAGAATGAATGGCTGTAAAAGGTGTAGGAGGAAAAAAAAAATGGGGAGATATTATTTATTCTTTGTAAGCCTACTATGCAAATGGCACAGTGGGAAGAAAATGAGACAGGGAGCCAGAAGGCCCAGTGTAGATTCTGATTTTGTCACTCCATAGTGGTGTGACCCTGAGCAGTCACATAACCTCTTGGTTTTTTTTCAGAGCTCCCCTCAAGAAATAACCTCTTGCAGCATCAGTTTCCACATCTTTAAAATGAGAGAGATGATCTATAAAGTCCTTTCTCGCTCCAAAATTCTGTTAACTGTATCTGTGCTCAGAAACACTCGATCTGGGAATATTGCACACATTTTTAAGAACTAATGACAATACTTTCGACTCCTTTCTCTATACTTTTCAAAAAGCCAAACAAGATTAAGACACAGTAAGGACAGAGATTCAAATTTCTGATATCTAATTTGCAACCTACTGTGTTTAGTTGGCCTATCATCCATGCCTTATGCAACCCCTTCCTGAGATAACAGGTAACAGCAGCTGTCATTTATTTTAAAAATAAAATAAATACATCCTTTACATGCATTATCTAACTGTTATACAACATCTGATTTTTCTTTTGATATTTTAAATTACTTAAATGTAATTTCTTGAATAGCTAACACTTTCACATTATTCAAATTCAAAAGACACACAGGAAAGTCTCCCTCCTACTCCTGTCCCTCAAGTACTAGATTCCCCTCCCCACTAGCAACTAATGCTAACAGTTTTTATGCATCTTTCCTGAGATAGTATAAGCCTATACAAATAAGTATGTATATATGTCTTCCACCTTCTTTTCACACAAACAGTGGCACAACACACTCTTCTGACCCTCAGTTTTTTTTATTTAATCTATCTCACAGTTCCCAGTAGCAATACATAAAGTACTATACATAAAGTACTGCATGGCACACCAAAAGTACTATACATGAAGTACTGCATGGTACACCACTGTGCAGCTAAACCATAACTTATTCAACCATTTCCCTATTAATAGATAGCTAGATTGTTTGCAATCTATGTCATTTTGAAAAATGTGTGAGTATATCTGTCATTATCTATTTTCTAATCCTCACCACAACCCTGGGAAGAATGCACTATTATTATCCCCACTCCACAGAAGAGAAAAGCAGTTACAGAATTTATAACTCAACCCAAGAGACCCAGGAAAGAGCATTCAAACCAGGTGCATTTGCCTCGAACTCTTAAACCACATCAAAAATGACTACATTCTCCAATATAACATAATTTTATCTACGTCTAAGAATATAATATTCAGAATCTCCTTTCAGGATTTTTTTTAAAAAGCCCTCTTGTATTGCATTTTATTCTTTACCAATTTTGGAATAATGGAACACTTTAAAGTTATTCATTCACTACGGAGCCATAAAAAAGAACAAAATCATGTCTTCTGCAGCAACATGGATGCAGCTAGAGGCCACTATGCTAAGCAAATTAACGCAGAACAGAAAACCAAATAATGAATGTTCTCACTAATAAGTGGGAGCTAAAAACTGGGTACTCATGGACATAAAAGTGGCAACAGCAGACACTAGGGACTACTGGGACGGGAGGTAGAGACGGGGGAAGAGGTTGGAAAACTCTAGCTGTTGGGTACAATGCTCACTTCCTGGGTGATAGATTCAATCATACCCCAAACTTCGGCATTACACATATACCCATGTAACAGACCTGCACATGTACCCCTGAATCTAAAATAAAAGTTGAAATTTTTTTTAAAGGTTATTAATTCAAAAGTTTGTGTTCCTGAGTTACCCAAAACTAGTGATTTCTTGTGGAAGTAATGGATCTTGAAAATCACTTGAAGTATTAAAAAACTATTGCATAATTCCTCTTTTCTTTTACATATTACCTCAAGCTCAAGATGGCCACTTTAAAATTCTTCACAGTCCTTAAAAGGGAAAATTCTATATTCTTCAAATAATAAGAATAAGTAAAACCTAAAATCTCTAAGATATGGAATCAACCCAGGTGTCCACCAACAGTTGTAGTGTGTGCATACACACATATACCTTGGAATACTATTCAGTCATAAAAAAAGAATGAAATAATGTCTTTTGCAGCAATATGGATAGAACTGGAGGCTATTATCTTGAAGTATTTCTTGAAATAACCCATAAACAGAACATAAAATACATGTTCTTTTTTTTTTTTTTTTTTTAAGTAGAGACGGGGTTTCACCGTGTTAGCCAGGATGGTCTCGATCTCCCAACTTCATGATCCACCCGCCTCTGCCTCCCAAAGTGCTGGGATTATAGGCATGAGCCACCGCACTCGGCCTACATGTTCTTATTTATAAGTGGGAACTAAAATATGTGTACACATGGACATACAGCAAGGAATAATAGACATTGGAGACTCAGAAATGTGGGAAGGCAGGAGGCCGGCAAGGGATGAGAAATTACCTAACAGCAACTATGCGAGTGATGATTACACTAAAAGCCCAGATTTCATCACTACACAATATATCACTGTAGCAGAACTATACTTGCAACCCCAAAATCTATTTAAAAAGTAAATCTCCCATTTATAATTTACCCAAAGTTCATTATGCAAATAAAACTAATGAAAACTTTGAGAGCGCATCTTAATTTGTTTTTCTCTCAGCTACTGTATCACATGCAGAAAATAACTACAATGAGGAAGTAACGCCTTAGCATCCTTCATGAGATTCAAAACTAGAAAGTCAGAGCTCTCGGCCAGGCGTAGTGGCTCACGCCTGTAATCCCAGCACTTTGGGAGGCCAAGGCAGGTGGATCACAAGGTCAGGAGATTGAGACCAGCGTGACCAACATGGTGAAACCCCGTCTCTACTAAAATTACAAAAACATTAGCTGGGCGTGGTGGCTATAGTCCCAGCTACTCTGGAGGCTGAGACAGGATAATTGCTTGAACCCAGGAGGTGGAGGTTGCAGTAAGCCAAGATAGCACCACTGCACTACAGCCCGGGCAACAGAGCAAGACTCCGTCTCAGAAAAAAAAAAGAAAGTCAGAGCTTTCAAGTTATATCATGGCAAATAATAAAAAATCACCTTACCTTGAATCCACTCCTGTTTCTTCTTCTTATCTGAAGCACTGATTTCAAAAGTCTTATCAAAACATTTTACGAGAAAAAGGCATTTCTTTCCATCTTTGTCAGGCAAGGACTAAAACAGAAAGCAAAATTAGTTCCTCAAAATTTTAAGTATTTAAATGAAATTCAATTTGAATTATTTATAAAAATGAGCTGAAACTTAATGTCAATGAAAAATACCTATAAATTCATATTACTGATTTACTAATGCTGTTTCCTAAGCACATTACTTATGGTAAAAATGACCCCAGTTGGTATACTACATCTAGACTGGTAAAACTATAAACACCTGATAGGATGCCATGCATTGGGATTTCCTGAGTATAGCAGCTCTTATCCTGAGCACCTCCCTTGCAGGAATCCTGGAAGGTACATCTGTGATGATGTTACAAGAGGTATTAACTCCTATGGGATATGAAGCACCTAAGCCAGGGTGATTCCTACATCTGCTTAATGTGGCTTTCTCTTCTTGCACTTGGAATGTTGTGGCTGGCAACCCGTGGTTTCTGTCCTATATGTTTATGAGTAAACTGGCCTTTGGTAACCTTGTAGATCTCCATGTTTAGTTAAATCTAAGCAGACTCCTTCATGGGCATCACACATCTCAAGACATTATTATTCACTAAAATACATTATAGTTTATGTGTGAGATTTCAGGTATTTAAATGTTCTTCAACACATACAGACACGGGGACAGTTCATATAAAAATTAAAAACTCAAAAATTTATGTTCTTGAGAATTTCACTTCTTTAAAGAATTAGTACCTATGAATAAAGTGTCCTGAAAGTCACCCAAAGTATTCAAAGACAATGCTTACATCTTCTTTTATTTCTTGCACTCAAAATGTCCCAGATTTTCTGGCATATTCTTTATTCCAAATATTGTCTTACTGAACTTTTTTTTACTTTATTATCTCTTTTATGACTCCATTTTATTCAATAAATGATTCCTTAAATGTTCCAATAAATGATTTAATCCTTATACTTTATTCACGAGTAGAAGGTTGAAAATAAATTCACATTAGAAAAAAATTTTGTCAGCTATGTTTAATTTTTGGTTCAGAAACCATGGCAACTGCATGCCTATATTATTTTGGAAATGTAAATTTGGGGATTATTTTAAGGTTCTAGAGTCTAGGTGGAAGAAGGTGAGAAGCTACTTCAGCATCAGGGGGCAGCACGGGGTAATCATGCAAAGAAGTAAGAGTAGACTCACCTCTACACAGCAATTTTCATCCAAGAGAATGTCTCCTTTCTTATCCTTCAGATCCTCACTCACATAGTAAGAAATTATGTTGGGTTTTAGTACAAACCATCTTTCAGTCCAGTTTTTCCGTCTGTGGCCCTTTTTCATCATGTAACCCTGTGAAAGATTAAATGTGATATAAATTATTGTCTTTTTATTTGTAAGAGCTGACATCTCTTCCTTGATATACTTGCCTACTCCATTATTTGATATATGATCCTGAAAACATGAACACCAATTGTTCTTGGATCCTCTGAGAATCTATGGAGGGGCATTACACCTAGTCATGCAAGCATAACCAGACAAAAATTTGCATATAATTTCAGACACTTCAGAGACAACCCCTCCCCAAAGTGATATGCAGACAATAGAATCCCCTTGACATTAAGTAGCATTTGAGATTTCTAAAAAATCATTATCTTTTAGAGATACCTATTGAAATATTTATAAACAAAATAAAATACCTGAGATTTGCTTCAAAATAATACAGGAGAGGTAAAAGTAGGTGGGGTAGGATTAGCCACATGGTGGTGGTTACTGGAGCTGGTTGATGCATATGTGGGAGTTCATTATACTGGTCTATTCCACTTAAAAAGAAAGAATGAACCCCTAACAATGATTCTCTGTAAATTAAAACCTCGATCAGGCCTGATGCAGTGGCTCATGCCTGTAATCCCAGCACTTTGGGAGGCCAAGGCAGGAGGATCGCTTGAGGCCAGGAGTTCAAGATCAGTGTGGGCAACATAGTGAGACTTCATTTCTACAAAAAAAAAATTTTTTTTTAGGAGTGTCGCTCTGTCGCCCAGGCTGGAGTGCAGTGGGTGCAATCTCGGCTCACTGCAACCTCTCTGCCTCCTAGGTTCAAATGATTCTCCTGCCTCAGCCTCCTGAGTAGCTGGGACTACAAGCGCATGCCACCATGCCTGGCTAATTTTTGAATTTTTAATAGAGATGGGGTTTCAACATGTTGGCCAGATGGTCTCAAGCTCCTGACCTCGTGATCCGCCCACCTCAGCCTCCCAAAGTGCTGGGATTATAGGCGTGAGCCACCACGTCCAGCCAAAATTTTTAAATAAAATAAGTAAAACCTCAGTCACTGAAAATGTTAAATGACTGAGGTAAGTAAAACCTCAATCAATGAAAATGCTAAAGCTTGGCCACATATATCTTCTAAACCAAATATTCAAGGACTTCCACCTCTGGTACCAACCTACCTTTCTGCCTGACCTCTCAATATTCTGAAGGAGGAACTCTGCCCCAGACCAACAGGAAAATACTGCACCAGGAGTTCAAATACTGGCTTCTAAATGTGGCTTCTAAGCTCACACTCACTAGTTCTGTATTTCCTTCCCACAGACTGGCCTCAAAGGTGTGTGACTCAAATGTTTACTTAAGCAAAATTATACATTATTATAGGCCAAAGCCCTTCAGGCTTGTTTAAGAATAGCTGCTATTTTTAGTATTAAATCTACAGGTGCTGATAGCGCATGATAGAATATACATATCATTAAATATATATGATATTGATTGTAAGTTTCAGTTGGTTATTATATTAAGTTCTAATCATATTACATATTCAGTTTCCTAATCTTTGGACATTTAAGCAAAAGCTATCTCATACGGCAATTCTACTACAGTCATATCCTGCCATCCTAAGAGGCTGAGAATTCCACTTCAGATGGAGACCACGTCTCATACCTCTTTGTAGCACCAAAAACCTATACAAATTCAGCCTCAACATTTATGATGTGCTCCATTAGGAAAAAAAAGAACAAAGACAACACTATTACCTATGGAAGAAAGAAAGGATCAAAGTAAGGAAATCCCAAATCAGTTATTATTCAATATAATAATGTAAGAAGTTTCAAAGAATCACCAAAAAAATATAAATTGTATTTAACAAGCATCGAGCTTCATCTGCTATGCTGGGTGCTGAGAAAAAGAGGACAGTCTAAATAAGACAAAAGCAACTTTGCTACATAAAGGTATTTTTTTTTCCACAAGTAGAGGTATTTTTCTGATTTTATAAAAATAATATAAAATCATATAGAAAGTCCAATAATACAGAAAGGAATAAAGAAGAAAAAAATTCACCAAAATCCCACAATCTAGAGGTGATCACTGTAAACATTTTAGCAAGCACCTTCCTGACAGCTCTACACACATGCATAACATTACCTGAAGGGGATTACAAGATATCTCCTGTTCAGCAATGTGGTTTTTTTTCACTCAACGTTATGCCATGGAGATCTTTCTGGATCAGTGGTTATGAATTTCCAAAATAAAATATTTTGGAAATGGCCTGGGCGCGGCGGTTCACGCCTGTAATGCCAACACTTTGGGAGGCCAAGGCTGGTGGATCACAAGGTCAAAAGATCGAGACCGTCCTGGCCAACCTGGTGAAATCCCATCTCTACTAAAAATACAAAAGCTAGCTGGACGTGGTGGCGCACACCTGTAGTCCCAGCTACTCAAAAGGCTGAGGCGGGAGAATTGTTTGAACCCGGGAGGCGGAGGTTGCAGTGAGCCAAGATCATGCCACTGCACTCCAGCCTGGTGACAGCGTGAAATTCCGTCTTGGAAAAAAAAAAAAAAAAAAATATATATATATATATATATATATATATATATATATATATTTTGTATTTTTAATACAGACAGGGTTTCAACATGCTGGCCAGGATGGTCTTGAGCTCCTGACCTGGTGATCCACCCGCCTCAGCCTCCCAAAGTGCTGGGATTACAGGCATGAGCCACCACGTCCAGCCAAAATATATATATATATTTTAACTGTATTCTTAACTGTACTTTAAAATCGCACAAATAATTTTTTTTAATGAAAGCCTAATACAAGACTGGAAAAATAAGAAATTTTATTCCTATTCAAAATCAGGCCAGGCCCAGTGGGTCACACCTGTAATCCCAGCACTTTGGGAGGCCGACGTGGGTGGATCACTTGAGGTCAGGCATTCGAGACCAGCCTGGCCAACATGGTAAAACCCCATCTCTACTAAATATACAAAAATTAGCTGGGCATGGGGGTGCATGCCTTCAAGGCAAGAGAATCCCTTGAACCCAGGAGATGGAGGTTGCAGTAAGCCAAGATCACGTCACTGCACTCCAGACTGGGCGACAGAGCAAGACTGTCTCAAAAAAACAAAAAATAAAAAAACGAAATCAGTGTAAGAAAATAAGTGACTTATACTCATCTTTGTGACAAAAATATTAATTTTAAAATGTCAAATTCTAAAGATGAGAAAAAAAAACAGTAACAGAATTCTTACCTGCTTTAACACATCTAATATAAGTTCATTAAAGACTTCATTAATTGCCATAGACACAGTCTGCCGGTCCATGCCTTTGCTAAACTGTCCATTTCCAATAAGCTCAATAAGTTCCCATGCAGAAAGGCCATTTTTACTGTCATCAAAGTTGATTTTATAATGTTCAAATTGTTCTTGCTGCCAACCTCCTCCCATAGCTTCTGTAAGCTTCTTAAGCAGGTATTCAATCTACATAAAGAATGTGAAATAATTATTTCCTAGTTAAAAAAAACTTTAACATAGTTATGTATTTATGTTATAAACACTGATAAGTTCAACTTAGGAAATACTCTTTACAGTTCCAAAAATGCCTACCTTTAGAGTCTCCTAAAATACAGGGAGAGAAGTATAAATAAAATGCCACTGGTCTGTATTAGTGCAGAATAAGTAAAGGAATCAAAAACTGATAACCCTCTAATAGTGTAGTATATTTGTCTGCAGAACTAAAACAAACTGCAGATATATGACAGCATACAAACTAATTAATGTGATCTGATTACTCGCTGTTAAATATTTCAATATATCAGAACATTAGTCTTACTCAACAAACAAGCGCTAAATTAAACATCTCAAAGTAATATGTACAAGTTATTGATCAATTTACAAACTTTCCACATAAGCCAATTATTTAAAATTCATGCTGCTTCCTCCCACTGGAACACTACAATGTTGTAAATAATGGTGGAATACCTAGCATGAGCAGGAAAAGCTTACTAAATCCTAAAACATCATACTTTGTGTAGAAAATACTGCTATTGAAATAATAGCAGTTAGGCCAGGAGCAGTGGCTCATGCCTATAATCCCAACACTTTGGGAGGCCAAGGCAGGAGGATCACTTGAGGCATGGAGTTCAAGACCAGCCTGGCCAACATGGCGAAACCCTGTCTCTACTAAAAATACAAAAAAGTTAGCCAGGCATGTGGCGCACACCTGTAATCCCAGCTACTCAGGTGGCTGAGGCATGAGAATCGTTTGAACCTTGAAGACAGAGGTTGCAGTGAGCGGCGATTGTGCCACTGCACTCCAGCCTGGGCAAGAGCAAGACTCTTGTTTCAAAAAAAAAAAAAAAAAAAAGTAAAGAAGGAAAGAAATAACAGCAGTTAAACAAAACAATAAGGCAGTAAAACTGAATGAGAATTGATACCTCTTATTTTCTGGAAAGCCCAAATATCCTATACAGTGCTCTCAAACTCAACATATGTCCAAAAATGAATGAATCCTCTCTACTTTCCAAATGGCTTCCCCGCTGTATTATTGATTTCCATTAGGAATAACACCATTCACACATCCATGTCAGGATTCTTGCTCCCCAACCCCCACATCAAACCAAGGATATAATCCTGCTGTTTTATTTCCCTAAATGAGCTCCCTAATAAGTTTGAAAACTGTGGGTTATGGCCCACTATGAAGTCAACTTAGTGGGCAGCAACCAGCATTTTTTTTTAATGGAATGAAAAACATGTGAGTTCATCCACAATAAAGAAATAGTGTTTTGTGATAAGTTTTGCTTTGAGTGTGTGTGTGTGCTGGGTCATGATATAAAATGTTTATCTTCCTATGGGTTGCAGTGAAAATAAAATTTAAAACTTTGTCCCAGGCAGCTCTGAACTCTGTCACTCCTATTTGATCTGCTTTTGGTCGGGCCTCCTGGTTGGTATCTGTACCTCCAGGTCGCCACCTTTTATACATATTCTGCCAGAGGGATTTTTCTAAAACAAAAGCCAGAGCCTGACCCTCCCCTCTTTAAGCCCTGCCCTGGCTCCCTATCACCTCAAAGACAGAGGCCAAGCTCCTCTGCATCCCTTGGTGATCATCCCCCAGCCTACTTTCTCAAACATGTCCCACCTCAGACTTTACACTCCACCAATACCACCAATACCATAGATCAGGGGATGCAAACTTTTACTGTAAAGGGTTGAACAGTAAATATTTAAGCTTTGTGCCTCCCTATCATGTGTTCTTCCTTGATTTTGTTTTTTTACAACCCTTTAGAAATATAAAAACTATTCCTTAGCACATGTGCCACGCAAATATAGGCTGTGGGCTGGATTTAGCCAGCAAGCTGTAGTTTGCCACCACTTGCCATAGATTATAAGTAGTTTACCCTCTTACCATATTTTCCTTATGCTTTATGTCATTCCCCACTCTGTCTTCTCTGTCTAGAATACCTTTTCCCACCTCTCGACCCAGTTAATTGGTATTTATTCAAGTCCTACATCCTCTAGAATATTCCTACTCAAAACGAAGCATGCGGACCAGTGACGTCGGCACCACCTGGAAGCTTGTTAGAAATGAAGACTGTCAGACCAACCAAAGGACCAAAAATCAGAATCTGTATTTTAATTAAAACCCCTAGTACTTCCATTTGCACACTAAAGTTTTGAGAAGCACTGCTGCTTTAGCAAACCTGCTCTGACCAACCCTAACCCAGGTCACGTGTTCCTTTTCTAGGTCACTGCACTTAACGTATTTTCACTCATTCGCTTTTCTACCATTTTCTGCATTCCTTGTAGGAGGAACCATGTCCCACTCATCTTTAATCCCCAAAGCTCAGCGTGGTACCTCAGAGCTCAACTAATGTTTGCTAAACTGAAATTAACTAAGTAAGCCTTAATTTTCTCATCTATGAAATGGGCATAATAATACTTACAGAAATGCTGTGGGGTGAAATGAGACAAATACAGAGCAATTTGCACAATGCCCATCACATAGTAGGTACTCCACTAATGTTGCTTCCCTTCTGCACTGAGTGAAATACTATTCAACCATTCAAAATTACATTTAAAGAAAGCATTTATGAAACAAAAGAAAGTGAAGAATACAAAACTAAATTTACCTATTATTTCTACTGCACGAAGATTATGTAATTATTTTGACAACTATTTGTCAGAAACAGTAGGTTTAATTTGTTACAATAGGATCATGAGTTAATTTTTTTCCTTTTTCTTCTTTGCATTTCCAATAATTTGGTTATAATGTTTTTTGTAAAATAACATATTTTAACAGAAAAATAGACATGCATGTTTGCAAAGGCATATATATTCACAAAATATCACAAGTTCAAAAAATATCAAGAGAAGCCAGGTGTGATGGCTCAAGCCTGTAATCCCTTTGGGAAGCTGAGACAGGAGCATCACTTGGGGCCAGGAATTCAAGATCAGCCTAGGCAACATGGCAAGATCTCATCTTTACAGAAAAATTAAAAAGTTAGCCAGGTGTGGTGGTACATGCCTGTAGTCCCAGCTACTCAGGAGGCTAAACAGGGAAGACTGCTTGAGCCAAGGAGTTTGAGGTTACAGTGAGCTATGACCACAACACTGCACTTGAGCTTGGGCAACAGAACAAGGCCCTATCTCATTAAAAAAAAAAAAAAAGAAAGAAAGAAAAAATATATTAAAAGGTCTATTGATTTAATTTGATGAGATGCTATAAGCTCTTTTAGGACAAAGATTTATCTTATACCCTAAAAACAGCACATGGTAAGTGTTTACCAAAATTTACTTGTTGGAGAAAAACACGCTTAGATCTTTTCTTTCTCTTGTTGGAGATATGTCATCTACTGTTAAACTTATCAGATATTATCAGGTATTTCCTTGGCTCTTTAAAGAGAAGTAACAGGGATAGGCAGAGGAAGAGAAAAAAAGAAAATGTTAAGAAAAAGGGAAAAGGGAAGAGGGAAGGAGAAAATGGGACAGAAAAGAGAAAGATATAAAAAGATTAAGAGATTGAACGCCAGGCGTGGTGGCTCACGCCTGTCATCCCAGCAATTTGGGAGGCCAAGGCGGGCAGATCACCTGAAGCCAGGAGTTCCAGACCAGCCTGGCCAACATGGCAAAACTCCATCTCTACTAAAAATACAAAAATTAGCTGGGTGTGGTGGTGCGCACCTGTAATCCTAGCTACTCGGGAGGCTGAGGTAGGAGAACCGTTTGAAGCCAGGAGGCAGAGATTGCAGTGAGCCAAGATCGCGCCACTGTGCTCCAGCCTGGGAGACAGAGCTAGACTCCATCTTTAAAAAAATAAAAAATAAGAAGAGATTGAAGAGATAAAAGCAAGAAAAAGAGAGTCAAAAAGGACATTAAGATAAACAATTGCTCAAGGTACAATAAGCAGTAGCATTAACAGGTACAGAAATTCAATCTCCCTAAGGCAGCAAAAAGAAGGGCCCAGGCTGGCAGATTACAACTTGGGGTACAGGGAATACAGGCACAAGTCGAAGTTTTAGTAGCAAGGCAAAGGAAGCACATGTGTATAGCCACATGTGTGTGCAGTATGACTACACGTGGGTGAGACAAGATGGTAGAGCCGAATGACCATGTCCTGGCACAAGTCAAGAATCAGCCTTAGCTCTTCCTCACCTACCTCTTACTGAACCCACGTCATTCACACTCCAAGCTTCAGTTTCTTCAAAATCAGATGACTTGTTATGTTTGTAACTCAGAAAGCGCCTATTAGTAGCAAACTCAGCTCTAGAAGTAGCTTGCCAGGTTCATCCTGAACCTTTCTGAAGGTGCCCTCCCAAGCCTTATGAAGTTGTCATTAGCACCCAGCTTCGATCTGCTCAGCATTCCCAGTGACTGTGCCAGACAACTAATCTAGATTCATTTCCTGCTGACTTTCAACACAATCATATACGTATCATAACCAAATAACTTAAGGGCCTTTTGATTCATTATATTGGGCCAAGGAGAGACAAACATTACCATTCTCCACTATTCAATTATACTAAATAATAAATCATGTGTTGCCGTTTTAGTCTCTAGTGGCCTGCATCAATTCTAAGAGCTCATTCAGTTTCAGGAAGCAGCTTACTTCCTCCTTCCAAGCAAGTTTCACCAAAAATAACAAAGAAAAAACTTTCAAGATGCATGTGATTTTCGAGGCCTTCAGTTCCAAAATTTATTTTATTAAAAATGCTTTCTCTATCATCATTAATAAGGGGCATTTTATTGGCTTAATAGGTTTTATTTATTTAGGGTCTCTTAAAACTATTTCAGGTTCAATTTTTAACTGCATCAAGGCAATTCTTCCAAATAGGTACACAAGAGACACATCCTGTTTTGTTCCTGGTTCTGTGAGAAACAAATACTAAATAAAAACTGTACTTGGCAGGCACATATTTCCAGGAATATATTCTAACAAAAATTATGGAACGAACTCAAATGGGGACACACTATTTCTTACAACTATGTGACAGAAACATCTTAACTTCACTATGTAAGTCACTTAAATATTTATTTAACATACTTGACACTACTTTCTGGGTAACAGAAAACTGAATCAGAAGCAAACATTAACTTTTTTTTTTTTTAGATGGAGTCTCGCTTTGTTGCCCAGTGGCACGATCTCGGCTCACTGCAACCTCCACCTCCTGGGTTCAAGCGATTCTCTTGCCTCAACCTCCCATATAGCTGGGATTACAGGCATGCACCACCACACCTGGCTAACTGCCATGGTTATATCTTTTTTTTTGAGACAGGATCTCATTCTGTCACCCAGGCTGGAGGCAGTGGAGTGATCTTGGCTCACAGCAGCCTTGACCTCCCAGGCTAAAGCGATTCTCCCACTTCAGCACCCCTGCCTGGCTAATTTTTTATATTTTTTGCAGAGATGGGGTTTCACCATGTTGCCCAGGCTGGTCTCGAATTCCTGAGCTCAAGTGATCAGCCTGCCTCAGCCTCCCAAAGTTCTGGGATTACAGGTGTGTGCCACTGCACCCAGCTGACAATTATATCTTTTTTTTTTTTTTTTTGATTCAGTGTCTCGCTCTGTCCCCCAGGCTGGAGTGCAGTGGCATGATCACAGCTCACTACAATGTCTGCCTCCTGGGTGATCCTCCCACTTCAGCCTCCCGAGTAGCTGAGACTTCAGGCATGTGCCACTGTGCCCAGCTAATTTTTGTATTTTTTGTAGAGACGAGGTTTCACCATGTTGCCCAGGCTGGTCTCAAACTCCCCAGCTCAAGCAATCCTCCCACCTCAGCCTCCCAAAGATTGCAGGCATGAACCACCAAGCCAGGCTGGTTATATTTTACATTGTATTAATTAAGGCTTAAAAAAAAATCTTTCTTAAAAAACACTCTAAACAAAATGCAAATGATCATTACGGTAAGTGGATTATTGGAAAGAAGTATTACTTCAAATTTATAAATCCTAAAAACTACTGATAACAAGTTAAACCCACCTATATGTTCATGAAAAATTATGACATTATACTTCAAAATTTATTTTTTAAATATATCTGTTTTCACATTAAATTTTATTAAAATCTGTAAGTCTACAATCAGTCCAAATATAGTTTTTGAAGTGTTATTATTCAGAAAGGAAGCAAAAGCTAACAGAGAATGTATTTTTCATAATATAGCATAACCTTGAGTTTGCAGTGCTTGGTCAAAGGCCAGGTGATAGGCTAAGAGCTTCATAAATACAAATCCATGTGATTAACCTCAGGAGGGTAATTCAGCAGCTAGACAAAGCAATCTCACATAAATCTACTCCAATGATCCCTTCTTTCCCCACACAAGCACTCCTGGCCCCAGAGGAAAATCTATAAAACTAACTCAAATTCTACTTCTAACCAGAAGAAATGATGAGAGAGTAAAAGCTGTCAAAGCACAGAGTGAGTCCAAACAGTAACATGACAAGGTATGCTGCCTGGCTATTCTAACAAATCAAAGAAAGGCTGTTCACTTCTCAAATGAGATTAACTTGATTTGAAAGAGAATCAAGACATTTCTGTTAGCCTGCAAAGGTGAAGAAAAACATGCCAGGAGCCTTGGCTGGGCTCTGGCCTACAGAAACGCACATCAAGGCCCATGTGGGTCCCAATCCTTCGGGATGCCTGCAGCACAAATCTTTTGAGTTTCTTAGGCACAATAGTCAGAAAACTGATGCTGACTGGCTCCCTTCACAGCCTGTGGCTCAATGGTGATTTAATGCCATTGACATGTCATCCACATTAAGCAAGTGCTGCCTAAGGCAATAAAAACACTCACTAATTTCTAATTCTGAAATCAGGACAAGGTCACTTTCAAGTCCACCAAATATTTTAGTGATGGAAAAAAACAAAACATCAAGGGTAAGAGACCCACCCCACATCCAGTTTTTCAAAGAAAACACAATTAATTGTGGAACACAGTATAACTACAAAATGTTTTAAAATACTGTAATTTTTTTTTTTTTTTTTTGAGACAAGGTCTGGCTCTATCTCCCAGGCTACAATGCAGTGGCATGATGCCACTCTCTGCTCACTGCAAGCTCCACCTCCCAGGCTCAAACCACCCTTTCAGACTCAAGCCATCCTCCCACCTAAGCCTCCCAAGTGGCTGGGACAACAGGTGCACACCACCATGCCCAGCTAATTTTTGTATTTTTTTGTAGACACAGGGTTTCACCATGTTGCCCAGGCTAGTCTTGAACTCATGAGCTCAAGCGATCTGCCCGCCTCAGCCTCCCAAAGTGCTGGGATTATAGGCTTGAGCCAGCACACTTAGCCTAAAATACTGTAAATTTTATTTGCACAATTCTTTCAAGCAGCAGCTAGGTTTTAAAACCACCACTGGGATATTCTTTTCTACAGACATTCCCTTCTATACACCTCTGTATTAAGCTAGACAATTTCCTTGGACAAAAATTTCATAGCATGTTTTATTTTTCATTTCCTTTTTAACATACATACACGATTACATCATTGTTATTAAGCACTAAGAAACTGTTCCCACCACTACAGCGAAACTGCCTTCTCCTTGATCACCAGCGAGCACCTAATTGTTAAATCCAAGGGCAACTTCTCACTTACCATTGTCTAATTTTTCCATAGCATCTAATGCCAGTAACTACTTCTGTGCTTCTTAAAACTTTGTGTTTCTTAGACATCTATGACTCAGCACTCTCTCAGTTCTCCTACCTCATAGCGTGTTCAATTCAGCTTCCTTTGCCAAATCGACTTCCTCTTTCTGCTACAGAAATGGTCCCAAGGTTCCGTCCTTGGCACTCATGTCTCCAACTACAGTCTTCCTCCCTGATCTAACCTACTCTTGTGGTTTCCCCACCTCTGTCTCCAGCCCTGGCCTCTCACAAGCTGTAGATAAACACTTCTAGTGCACAGCTCCACAAGGATGTTCCACCTAAAATCCCAAATGTACCAAACCCACCACCATGCAATATGTCCCAGATTTGTTCATCATCCTACCATTCATTCACACACACCCCTTTTAGTGAGCAGCTACCATGGGTCCAGGCACTTTAATAAATGTTTCACATACATCAACTTTTTCAATCCTCACAGAGTCCAATGAAGAAAGTAGTTATCCCCATTTTACAGATGGGGAACCCCAAACAGAGAGAGTGAGTAATTTGTCACAAAGCTAATAAGTGGTAGAGGTGGGTTTCAAACCAGTCAGTCTGATTTCAGAGACTATGCTTTAAACAAATATACTATATTATTCCCCAGTTGCCCAGGCCTGAAACTTGTCTCTGCTTCCCCACAGCCAGGCACTATATGCTTGGTCCTGTGACCTCTAGGTTCTTCCCATCTGGCCTTCTTTTCCATTCTCGCTGTATTTTAGTCCTCAATGCCACTTAGCTTCTCTCAACTTCTCACCTCCCATGTCTCCATATTTCATCTATTCACCTATCACTCTCTTCCTCAAAAATCATCAGTGGCTCATCTTTCCACACTGCCTACAGGATAAAGTCAAAACTCTCCAGCTTCATCTACCGCCTATCTTCTTCACAGCCATCATGTTCCAGTAAGAAAGGACATGTATCATTCTTTTTTGACTGCCCAGCATTTAACCCTTTTCTTATGTCTGGGGAAATCCCTACCTGCCAATGTAGAAGCTGAAAATGCAAATGTATCCTTTCCAAGACTCCGTTGCAGCTAGTGCACAGTGCCTGACCTAGGCCATGCCAATTAGATACATCATGCCCTGATGATAATTGGGAAGTGGGCACTATGGAGAACTCTCCCTCATAGGAAGAACAGTTCCAGGAAAAGTTGAGTTCTGGGGCAGTGATATGGTTTGGCTGTGTCCCTACCCAAATCTCACCTTGAATTCCCAGGTGTTGTGAGAGGGACCTGGTGGGAGGTAACTGAATCATGGGGGCAGGTCTTTCCCGTGCTGTTCTCGTAATAGCGAATAAGTCTCATGAGATCTGATGGCTTTATAAAGGAGAGTTTCCCTGCACAAGCTCTCTTCTCTTGTCTGCCACCATGTGAGACATGCTTTCACCTTCTGCCATGATTGTAAGCCCTCCCCAGCCATGTGGAACTGTAAGTTCATTAAACCTCTTTCTTATATAAATTGCCCAGTCTTGGGTATGTCTTTATCAGCAGCATGAAAATGGACTAATACAGGCAGCAATCAGTGTCCAGGACCAGATGTGTTCCATGGTATAAGTGCAACACCCATCCTCTGGTGGGAGCAGCATTTTCCTTGTTGTTCCTCATGGAGTGGCCAGTACAGTAAATAGGACAGACCAAATTGCATAGCCTCCACACCTGTTTTTTAAGCCATCATGATGATTCTGTAAGCTATCCAGCATACTTTTAAAAAATTCCCTTTTAGGCCCTGCACAGTAGCTCATGCCTGTAATCCCAGCACTGTGGGAGGCTGAGGTAAAGGGATCACTTGAGGCCAGGAGTTTGATACCAGGCTGGGCAACATGGCAAGACCCCATCACTGCAAAAAAAATTTTTTTTAATTAGCTGAGTGTGGTGATGTACACCTGTAGTCCCAGCTACTCAGTAGGCTGAGACAGGAGGATCCCCTGAGCCCAGGAGGTTGAGGCTGCAGTGAGCCATGATTGCACCACTGCACTCCAGCCAGGGCAACAGAGTAAGACCCCGTTTCTTAAAAAAAAAAAAAAAAAAAAGGCAGGTGTGGTGGCAGGCACCTGTAATCACAGCTACTCCGCGGGGTGCAGAATCATTTGAACCTGGGAGGTGGAGGCTGCAATAAGCCGAGATTGCGCCATTGCACTACAGCCTGGGCAATAAGAGCGAAACTCTGTCTCAAAAAAAAAAAAAAAAAAAAAATCCCCTTTTGGCTTGAATCAGCCAGTGTGGCTGTTTCTAAGTAAGCATCCTGACTGGCAACTCAGTCAAGCTGGATACCTCCCTCACTCCTTTTAGAACATGCCCTTTGCTTTCCTGACTCATAAAACACTGCCTACTGTTGCTTCCATCCAGAATTCTCCTCTGCCTTCACTATTGGCCAAAATCCTTCCCACCCTTTAATGCCTTGGTACAGCCTTTCTGAAGGGCAACTTTGCCTTGTTCATCTAATACCCTGAAAGTGTGCATTTCTTAAGACTCAGAATTCCACTGCTGGAAGTTTATTCAAAGAAAATAATCAGACTAGTATGCAAAAATGCATGTAATAAGAGTAGTCTTAAGAGTTACTGAGTACATACTATGTGCCAGGCATTAAACTAAACCCTTTAAATGCAGAATTTCACAACCCTTAGACTAAACATTGTAATTGGCTTTATTTCACAGATGAGAAAATGAAGACTTGCAGGTTAAATAATTTGTCCAAGGTTAAGGGATTATAGATGACTTTTTTTTAAAGTGTGGGGACTACAGCTGATTTTAATTGTGTATATTAATCTTTTCTGAATTTTCTACTGTAATAACCATGTATTAACATGTGTCACTTTTTAGGACAGTTAGATAGCACAGAAGCCTTACTCCTATTATTTTTTTCCTTTGGAAGTTTAGGGAAAATAACAAAGCAAGCATTCTCTTTCTTTTACTTTGAAAGGTATGGAAAGTCATCACCCTGGACTTTGAAACAAGAATAGTATTTACTCACACAAAACAGCCCTGAAAACAACATTCTGGATCTCATGTGTTTCCCATGTATACCAGCACTCAGCCAGTTACGTTTTGTCAATATGCAAGTAGTATGAAAATTATGTTGTGACTTGTACAGAATACTCTTTGGACGTGAGGATAGATTCACTTATCATCATAGCCATTTAGAGAAGAAGAAACCCACTTTCCCTGTAAATCTCCAGGGGTATTACATGCCCCAAATTACTATATTTGGAGCTTTTCTATACTCAGGCTGCTTTGCCTCTGATCCAAAAACACTAGCCAAGGATCTCCTTCCATATCTATGCTGAATTAACAGAAAAAATACCAAGCCAGGTCTATTAAATGCTAAAATGACCAAGTAAAAACTCCCCAAGCCACACCTTACCTCTTCTGACACAATAATTAATGGATACTTGTCCTCAGATAAAAAGTTGAAAATAACCCATATTTTAAATGCATCTTCTTCTGTAATGAGCAGGGGATTCTTTGTGAGGTTTTTTTTGACACAGAGGGTCCAACACATCCTATTGAATTCAATCTTGTCAAAGTTGTCTTGGACCTAAAAAGGAATAAGGAAAAACTCCAACAAATCAGTCCGATATAAGCAGTATCTAAGGCAAGTAAAATAGAAAGACAAAGCCTCCTTTGGCTCCCATTTTAATCAATCCAATTAACCAACAGCCATATCCTACATATTTGCTTTAGGTATTACACTTTCAGTGGCTCAATTAAGATGTTACATTTAGCATGACACTGAACCAACATCTGTCCATATCACTCCCTTGGCACATAAAATACTGACCTCTCAAATAGTTACCGTTTCATGTGTACACACTATCTTCCTATTAATAAACAGACTACCAATCCTAGCACTGACCTCTCAAATAGTTACAGTTTCATGTGCATACACTATCTTCCTATTAATAAACAGGCTACCAATCCTAGCACATGGAAGAAACTGAGAATGTCAATTACTCAGTATGAGCCAAGTACAGGTACATTATCTTTACATACACGGTCAAAGAAGAGGCTGGGCATGGTGGCCCATGCCTGTAATCCCAGCACTCTGGGAGGCCGAGGCAGGCGGATCACCTGAGGTCAGGAGTTTGAGACCAACCTGACAAACATGGAGAAACCCCATCTCTAGTAAAAATACAAAAATTAGCCGGGCGTGGTGGCGCATGCCTGAACCCGGGAGGCGGAGGTTGCAGTGAGCTGAGATCACGCCATTGCACTCCAGCCTGGGCAACAAGAGCGAAACTCTATCTCAAAAAAAAAAAAAAAAAAAAGGAAGAAGATACCTTCTTTTGGGGAAAACTATTTAACTGAAATTCTAAAACAACAATCCTGCCATTCATTCATTTGTTCACGTATCCAGTGTTTCCTCAGCATCTACTACGAGCCAAGTACTGAGATTAGATAGGCATGAGCCACTGTGCCTGGCCTATTTTTTGTTTTTATTTTTTAACATTGTTTAATTAATTTAAAAAATAAATAGAGATGAGGTCTTGCTATATTGCCCAGGCTGGTCTCAAACTCCTAGCCTTAAGCAGTTCTCTTGCATCAGCCTCCCACAGTGCTGGGAGGCACTTTTATATCCTATAAACTAAGGATATAAAGATGAAGAACTAGGTCTGTGCTCTTAAAATGTTCACAGTTTATTAGGGAAAACAGATATGCAAATAAATTTTAATATAACTGTATAATTTAACAGTGTATAATTCAATAGAATTGTTCACTCATTTGACAAATAAAATTTAGATCATAATTATTATTTGCCAAAGACAGTACAAAGATACTCAACATAATACTGGCCTATGTTCCCAAGGAATGTAAAGACAATTACAGCAGAGTGTGACAAGTACTGTAATAGAGATAAGCAGAGGATTTTGTGGGAGCACTGAGGAGCTAACACAATCTTGACATCTGGGGAAAGATTCGCAGAAAGAGTGACAGGACAACAGAGCTGAGTTCTCAAGCAGCATCAAGAGTCAAACAGATCAAGAATGGGATAAAGGGTATTCCAGGTAGAACAGAATGTGAGAAAGCCCCGAAGTGGAGGCAAGCATGGTTAGTTTGGAAGAACTGTGAGTATTTAATGTGAATGGGGCACCTGGTGCTGGAGGGTGGTATAACTAAGGCTCTTCGTGTAAGTGCAAGTAACAGGAACCACCTTGGGTTCCTTTAAAAACAAAAGGAATTTATTGGAAAAACAATGGGTAACCTCACAGATCTAACGCAAAGGCTAGAAAAATCTAGGCTCTGAAATTAGGCTGGTATCAAGGTAGAGCAGGCAGCCAGAACTGCGGCTGAACCACTCACGGGAACAGTCTGGTGAAGACACCACTGCCTGTATAACATGAGAGCACCCTCACTATTACCACTGCTACCACTGCCCCTGTCCATGATCTTCTGCGTCACTCACTGCAGATTCAAAGTTCTACTGGCTGAGCCTGGGTCACATTCCTGTGCTCTAGCTGCCAAGGAACAGGGAAAAATGAGTACCTGAACTTTCCAGATTTTGAGGTGTGAGACAGGTCCTGTTCCCCACCAAGACTCTGTAGAATTTCCCAAATGTAAGAAAAAAGTTCAGATGCTAGACAGACAGACAGACAGACACACACACACACACATAAAAGGCAAATTTCCATTACTTGGGACACAGTGAAAGACAAGCCAGTGAGGTAGGTGAAGACTGATCATTAGGAGATTTATCATTCATGTTAAGGAGTTAGGACTTTATCTGGACTGAAAGAGTTGAAGGTAGTAACAGACACACTCTTCATTTTAAAAGCCACATTCTGCACCAGTGCAGTGCCTCACTCCTGTAGTCCCAGCACTATGGGAGGCTGATGCAAGAGAACTGCTTAAGGCTAGAAGTTTGAGACCAGCCTGGGCAATATAGCAAGACCTCATTTCTATTTATTTTTTAAATTAATATAAACAATGTTTAAAAAAATAAAAATAAAAAATACATAAATAAATATGTATAACAATACAAAAATAAATAAATAAATAAATAAATAAAAATAAAAAACAGGCCAGGCACAGTGGCTCATGCCTATGTAATCTCAGCACTTTGGGAGGCCAAAGCATAAAGATTCCTTGAGCCCAGGAGTTTGAGACCAGCCTGGGCAACAGAGACAGACCCGGTCTGTACAAATAATAATTTTAAAAATTAGCTGAGCACAACAGTGCATGCCTGTGGTCCCAGCTACTCAGGAAGGTCAGGCAGAAGGATTGCTTGTACCCAGGTGGTCAAGGCTGCAGTGAGCCATGATCATGCCACTGCACTCCAGCCTTGGAGACAGGGCAAGACACTTAATAAAAAAAAAAAAAATTTTTTTTGAAAATTAAAAAAAAAAAAGCCATATCCTGGAATAACATGGAAGATGTACTGGAGGAGGCAGGCATGGGCAGCAGAATAACATCAGCGAAGCATTTCTTTTTAGAAAGATATGAACAAACCATTTTTTCACTATATGAAAAAAGTCACCAGCTGTCCGCAGGCCGAAGTTTCACCTGATCTCTAACTTTAATTTGTAGTTGGCAAACCAGTCCTCCAGGAGTAGAAAGAGCTCCTTTGTGTTCTGCCTTTAGTACCTTGCCTCAGTCTAACACCATTTCCCACGGCCCCATCAAATACAAGTGATCCCATGGAGGGAAAGCAGCAGCAGCAGCAGAAGCAGCAATTGCTGCTGCTTTTCTTTTTTGCCTTATCACTATCACCTTGAAGACTTACTATATGCTAGGCATTTTATATGTTATTTCTCACTTAAATTTTGTATTAGTCCTATAAGGTTAATTATTGCCCCTATTTTAGAGATCAGAAAATACAGGTTCCAAAAAACTGAGCATCCTTGAACAACATAGGTTTGAACTTCGAGGGTCCACTTAAATGTGGACTGGATTTTCTTCTGCCTTTGCCACCACTGAGACAGCAAGACCAACAACTTCCGCCTCTTCCTCAGCCTACTCAACAAGAAGACAATGAGGATAAAGACCTTTACAATGATCCACTTCCACTGAATGAATAGTAAATACATTTTCTCTTCCTTATGATCTTCTTAATAACATTTTCTTTTCTCTAGATTACTTTATCATAAGAATAACTGCACATAATACATTTTACATTAAAATATGTGCTAATCAACTGTTTATATTATTGGTAAGCCTTCCAGTCAACAGTAGGCTATTAGGAGTTAAGTTTTGGGGGAGTCAAAAGCTAACCTTGGAAGCCAGGCACAGTGGCTCATGCCTGTAATTCCAGCACTTTAGGAGGCCAAGGCAGGTGGATCGCTTGAGTTCAGGAGTTTGAGATCAGCCTGAGCAACATGGTGAAACCCTGTCTCTACCAAAAATACTAAAAATTAGCCAGGCATGGTGGCATGCATCTGTGGTCCTAGCTGCCCGGGAGGCTGAAGTTGGTGGGAGATCGCACTACTACATGCCAGCCTAGGTGACAAAGTGAGAGATTCTGTCTCAAAAAAAAAAGTTATACTTGGATTTTCAACTATGTGGGTTCAAGTGTCAACTGTACATTTACAAAGTTCACATGGCTAGTAAATATCAAAACCAAAGTTTAAACTCAAGCTCAGCAAGGTGTGGTGGCTCAGGCCTATAATTCCAATGCTTTGGGAGGCTGAGGTGGAAGGATTGCTTGAGACCAGGAGCTCGAGACCAATATAGGCAATATAGCGACATCTTATTTCTACCAAAAACATTTTTTTTAATTAGCTGAGCATGTTGGCATGTGCCTTTAGCCCCAGCTACTCGGGAGACTGAGGCAGGAGGATCACTTGAGCCTGGGAGGTGGAGGCTGCAATGAAGGCAAGACTGTGCTGCTGCACTCCAGCCTGGGCGACAAAGTGAGACTCTGTCTGAGGGGGAAAAAAAAATCCAACCTGGGCAACATAGTGAGACCCCTGTCTTTAAAGAAAAACATTTTTTAATTAGTAGGGTATGGTGGTTTGTGCCTATAGTCCTAGCTTGTCAGGAGGCTGAGGTGGGAGTCTCATTTGAGCCCAGAAATTCACGGCTGTAGTGAGCTGTGATCATGCTGCTGTACAAATTCACACTCTAGTCTGGGTGACAGAGCGCAACTCTGTCTCAAATGCTAGCTCTTCCCACCATACCAAACTGCTTGTAGAACTCAGTAGGTGGAGGCCATCTATGGGATGAATGCCATCTATGGGATGAATGCCATCTATGCAGAACATTTCCAAGGCCACCACCACCAACTCTATCCACACCCCACAAAACACTAAGTGGAAGATATGCCACACAGGGGAAATGACATGTGCACAAAAGCAGATAGCCTTGCTCTGAGAACAAGAAGTGATTCTAAGTGGATTCTGTGGTGAATCATAGGGTTCCTGAGGGGAAATGGCTAGATATACAGCTGGAAAAGCAAATATAAGACCAAATCACAAAGGGCTTCATAATTTTAAGAAATAGCCTGTAGGAAAACAGTTCAAGGAGTTTAGAACAGAATACATGAAGAACTCCTACAATTCAATAACAGAAAAACAAATAAGCGAATTTTAAAATGGGCAAAGGAATTATTCGACATGTCTCCAAATAATATATACGAACAGCCAACAAGCATATGAGAAGATGCTCAACATCACTTATGATTGGGGAAATGCAAATCAAAACACAGTGTGATATCACCTCACACCTGTTAGAATGGTCACTATCAAAAAAACCAGAAAATAACAAGTGTTATTGTTAGGATGTGGAGAAATTCGAACCCTTGCACACTGTTGGTGGGATTGTAAAATGGTGCAGCTGCTATGGAAAACAGTGTGGAAGTTCCTCAAAAAGTTAAAAATAGAACTACCATATGATCTAGCAATCCCACGTCTGGATATATATCCAAAAGACCTGCAAACAGGACCTTAATGAGACATTTGCACACCTATACCCACTACAGCATAATTCACAATAGCCAAGATGTGGAAGCAACCTAAATGTCCATCCAGGGATAAATGGATAAAGAAAATGTGATATACATTGGGTGCAGGGTACACTTCTTGGGTGACAGGTGCACCAAAATCTCAGAAGTTACCACTAAATAGCTTATCTATATAACAAAAAAACCACCTGTTCCCCCAAAACTATTAAAGTTTAAAAAAATTTTTTTTTAAATTTTTTAAAAGAAAATAAGGGCCAGGCACAGTGGCTCACGCCTGTAATCCCAACACTTTGGGAGGCCAACGCAGGTGGATCACTTGAAGTCAGGAGTTCAAGACCAGCCTGGCCAAGATGGTGATACCGCGTCTCTACAAAAAATACAAAAATTAGCCAGGCATGGTGGCAGGCACCTGTAATCCCAGCTACTAAGGAGGCTGAGGCAGGAGAGTCACTTGAACCCCAGAGGTGGAGGCTACAGTGAGCCAAGATCGCACCACTACACTCCAGCCTGAGCGACAGGGTGAGACTCTGTCTCAAAAAAAAAAAAAAAAGAAAAGAAAAAGAAAATGTGTTATATACATACAATGAAGTATTATTCAGCCTTAAAAAAAGAAGGAAATGCTCTCATAGGTGACAATAGGGAAGAACCCTGAGGACACTATGTTAAGTGAAATAAGCTAATCAAAAAAGACAAATACAGCATGATTCTACTTATAATAGAAGGTATCTAAAGTAATCAAACACACTTTAAAAAAATAGTAGAATGGTGATTGCCAGGGCCAGGGGGAAAAGGAAAAGAGGTGTTGTTCAAAAGGTGTAGAGTTTCAGTTATGCAAGATAAACAGGTTCTAAAGTTCTGTTGTACAATAATGTGCATACAGTTAAAAATACTGTACTATAGCCTTAAAACTGTTGAGGATAAATTTACATTATATATTTTTACCAGTTTTTTTAAGTATAAAATCTATAGTTTTCATAGAAAATAGTGCATAAAGCATTAGTATTCAAGTGTTTTCACACAAGGTATAATGTCAAACAAAATAAAGAAATTCAATCTTGGGTTTCCGGAATTTCATATACCATACACTATACCGAATGGTTTTCAAGGTTCTAAGAATAAGAATAAAGAAATATATGTGAAAGAATCTTGCTAAAGAAAAAAAATGCTTCCTTCCTGTAGGAGATAGCTAAAAATAAAGAAAAAAAAGGAAAAAAATGCTGCAAAGTATTTATTATTAAATTATATGATGTACTGACCATATACACAGCTGTAACAAGAAAAAAAAAGAGTTCTTTATGTGCTAATCTGAACTAATCACCAAGATATGACATGAAGGTACACAACACGAAGAATTATATAATGTCCAGTGAAAAATGCAAGTCAGAAAAGACCATATACAGCATGATCCTATTTTTATGTCTCCAGAGTAAAAATTAATCATACATTAAGATATACATATATGACAAAACTTTTTTCTAATGTGAGAGGAAAATGCACATAAAATTCAGGATGGTGGCTTCCTCTCGGGAGGAGGCAGGGAAATGACAAAAGAGAAGAGCAAAGAGGTTGAGGCAACATTACTGATGTGTTTCCCAAGATGAGTGGTAGGTTCACAGATGTTCATTTTATTATGCTTTATAATTTTCATATATCCTACAAATATTATTTTGTATATATCATATTATAAAATAAACAAAAAGACAAAATGGGGGGAAAAAAAACAAGTGCTGATCAATGTATACAGATCACCAGTGTATACAGATCACCAAGTATACACAGATCACCAGTGTATACAGATCACCAGTGTATACAGATCACCAAGTATACACAGATCACCAGTGTATACAGATCACCAAGTATACACAGATCACCAGTGTATACAGATCACCAGTGTATACAGATCACCAAGTATACACAGATCACCAGTGTATACAGATCACCAAGTATACACAGATCACCAGTGTATACAGATCACCAGTGTATACAGATCACCAAGTATACACAGATCACCAGTGTATACAGATCACCAGTGTATACAGATCACCAAGTATACACAGATCACCAGTGTATACAGATCACCAAGTATACACAGATCACCAGTGTATACAGATCACCAGTGCATACAGATCACCAAGTATACACAGATCACCAGTGTATACAGATCACCAGTGTATACAGATCACCAAGTATACACAGATCACCAGTGTATACAGATCACCAGTGTATACAGATCACCAAGTATACACAGATCACCAGTGTATACAGATCACCAAGTATACACAGATCACCAGTGTATACAGATCACCAGTGCATACAGATCACCAAGTATACACAGATCACCAGTGTATACAGATCACCAGTGCATACAGATCACCAAGTGTACACAGATCACCAGTGTATACAGATCACCAGTGCATACAGATCACCAAGTGTACACAGATCACCAGTGTATACAGATCACCAAGTGTATACAGATCACCAGTGTATACAGATCACCAGTGCATACAGATCACCAAGTGTACACAGATCACCAGTGCATACAGATCACAAAGTGTACACAGATCACCAGTGTATACAGATCACCAAGTATACACAGATCACCAGTGTATACAGATCACCAGTGTATACAGATCACCAAGTGTACACAGATCACCAGTGTATACAGATCACCAGTGTATACAGATCACCAAGTGTACACAGATCACCAGTGTATACAGATCACCAGTGTATACAGATCACCAAGTATACACAGATCACCAGTGTATACAGATCACCAAGTGTATACAGATCACCAAGTATACACAGATCACCAGTGTATACATATCACCAGTGTATACATATCACCAGTGTATACAGATCACCAAGTATATACATATCACCAGTGCATACAGATCACCAGTGTATACAGATCACCAGTGTATACAGATCACCAAGTATATACATATCACCAGTGCATACAGATCACCAGTGTATACAGATCACCAAGTGTATACAGATCACCAAGTATATACATATCACCAGTGCATACAGATCACCAGTGTATACAGATCACCAGTGTATACAGATCACCAAGTGTATACAGATCACCAGTGTATACAGATCAACCATTTGTGTACAAAGGGGAGAGAACAGATCATCTTTGCTGTTTGTATGAAGTGTAGCAATGTCTGCATCAATATGTCTTTGAGCTGAACTGCAGCTCAAGACTCTTATTCTAGATCCTGTCTTTCACCGTGTATCTGTGGATATGCAAATATTTGTTACCTGTCTACTACAGGTCAGTCAACATCTGGTATGGGAGGAGTCCCACATAAAATAAGACATACGTAGTCTCTAAGGAGCTTCTAGTGCGAGGAGGAAGACAGACTAACAGTTATGTGCAAATGCTCCAATAAAGGGGAATACAGGGAACTCTAGCAGGGCACAGTGGTTCATGCCTGCAATCTCAGCGCTTTGGGAGTCCAAGGCAGGCAGATGACTTGAGGCCAGGAGTCCGAGACCAGCCTGACCAACATGGTGAAACCCAATCTCTACTAAAAATACAAATTACCCAGGCGTGGTGGCTCGCACCTGTAATCTCAGCTACTCAGGAGGCTGAGGCATGAGAATCACTTGAACCCGGGAGGTGGAGGTTGCAGTGAGCTGAGATTATACCATTGCACTCCAGCCTGGGCAACACAGAAAGAGTGTCTCAAAAAAGTAAAATAAAATAAAATAATAAAAATTAAAAAAAAAAAAAGAGGGAAGATGCAGGTCCTCTTTCCTTGCCTAATGCAGCCATGGCTCGTGGTCCCAAGAAGCATCTAAAGCAGGTAGCAACTCCAAAGCATTGAATGCTGGATAAATTGACCAGTGTGTTTGCACAGTGAGGTCATATATATACACAGTAAGGCCATAAATATATATATGGTCTCTCTCTATATAGACAGTAAACAGAATTGTGTCTGTTATTAAAATATTATAGAACATACTGGGAAATTCTCAGAAATCCAGAATTTGGATAGGGATGATGGCCACACAACATAGTAAATACATTCACAACTATTTTACTGTACACTTTAAAATGGTAGGTTTTATGTTATGTGAATTATATCTCAATGGTTTTATAGTTTCATAAAACCATTTAAACCAGAGCAAGAGCCAAGAAGGAGAAAGTAAAATGGTAGGCTCTTCTCATATAACTACATATACATTTCTAACCTCAAACTCTTTCCTGAGTCCCAGTTCTATATTTTATTACAACTCACATGAAATCATGAATTCTTTGAAATCAAAGGCCATATCTTATTCAGTTTTGTACCCCTCTGCCTGGTTTGCAGTATTAATTTGCGCATTCATTCATTCAAATCATTGTGAGTGTTTACCAGGTACCAGTTACTATGCTAAGAGCTGGATAACAGTGAACCAGTTCTTGCCGTCACAGAACTCAGAGTCTGGAGAGGGAATCAGACACCAAACAATACAGCAACAACCCAACAACTAGTAAGTGCTATAGAGGAAAAGCACAGGCTGCTGCGGGAAACACATTATAGGAGAGCTGGTTAGCTCTGGGAAGGGTGGGTTCTACCAGGAGAAACCTCCCTGAGGAAGTGACAATCAAGTCCAGAGCTAAAGGATCAACAAAAATTCGCTGCATTTGATGGGCGGAGTTGGCCTTACAGCACAGGAAGCAGCATGTCTGAAGGCTCTGAGGCAGGAAGGGTCTTGGTAATCTGGGGAACAGAGAGAAGGCCAACGTGATTGCACTAAAGTGAACAACCCACATGTCCAACAACTGATGAACTGAATATGTAAATAAAACATGGTATATCCGTAACGGAATGTTATTCAGCCATAAAAAGGAATGAAGTATTGTTATAGGATACAACGTGGATGAACCCTGAAAACATTATGCTAAGTGAAAGAAGCCAGATACAAAAGGCTGGCTATTGTATCATTCCATTAATATTATATGTCCAGAATAGGCAAATATATATAGACAGAAAGTAGATTTGCACTTGCCTAGAGCTATAGGGGAGAGGGAGTGATTGCTAAATGGGTATGAGATTTTGGGGGCAGCAGTGAGATGAAAATATTCTAAAATCAATTGTGGTAATGGTTGTAGTGAATGAACAAAAAAACCACTAAATGGTACATGTTAAATAGACTAATTGTATGGTATGTAATTTATATCTCAATAAAACTGTTACTTTAAAAAACAATATATCTTTACAGTACATGACTCACATTGCTGGCCAAAGTATTCATCAGTATAAAGTCATTCATGTTTCTCAGCATGAAACCCCTTTATTTACTCAAAAGTTTATAGTCCTCTATAGTTTCACAAATATAATGAAAATGTAGAGTCCAACTTAGTCATTGCACCAAATTAAAACTATGTAACTTTCAGTCAGGTGCAGTGGCTCACACCTATAATCTCAGCACTTTGGGAGGACAAGGCAAGAGGATCACTTGAGCTCAGGAGTTCAAGACCAGCCTGGACAACATAGTGAGACCTCTGCAAAAAAAAGTTAAAAATTAGCCAGGCATGGTGGTGCACACATGTAATTCCAGCTACTCCCCAAGCTACTTGGAAGGCTAAGGTGGGAGGATCTCTTGAGACCAGCAGGGCAAGGTTGCAGTGAGCCATGATCATGTCACTGCACTCCAGCGTGGGCAACAGAGCAAGACCTTATCTCAGAAAACAAAAAAAAAAACAAAACAAAACCCACACTATGTAACTTTCAAAAAACAATGAACGAAAAAATAACACAGGCTAAAGAGCAATAAAAAAGAACCACATGAAAGCACGGGTTTGGGTGTTTAAGAACAGTACCACTTCCTACTAAATGATGTTGTTAGGCACACATTTGAAGTGCTTTGAGCACTGAAGGGAGTCATTTCATTAACAGAAGAAACTTGAGACTACACTTTATAAAAGAATTATAAGTGACATATGAACAAGAAAGTACACCAAGGGGAAAAAGCATAAATATTAGACTAGAAAAACAGAATGCAGAGGCTGCTAGGCTCTGGAGGAGAGACATACTGAACTGAAAAGTTTCTCTGTGTTTTTCTTTTGTGTATGTTTCCAAAAAACCAAATACAAAAAGGCTTCTGTTAGAAAGCACCAGATTCCCCAATTGGAACTTGGCATACTGCCAATGGATTAATGATTTTAATCATATAGCCCAAACCAAGACTTAATATGAGAATCAGAGAAAAGAAATGACAAGATTTGGACTAGCAAGCCTAATCAGCCATTAAATCTCATGGAAGAATTAGACTGCCTTAAAAATACGCTGAAGCAAAACTAGTTTTTTATATACTTTATTGGTACTAACTAGAAGGTAGTAATATACCACTTTCTTCAATTATTCACTGTCAGATAATCCAGCAATAGTGTCTCTGCCAAAAAAAAAAAAAAAAAAAAAAAAGAGCCCACAAAAGTTTCTTCCTAGACGTTTAAAGAATTCCATTCCTTTACTAAACAAGGATTTTTTTTTTTTTAACAGACAAGGTCTTACTTTGTTGTCCAGGCTGCTCTAGAACTCCTGGGCTCAGGTGATCCTCCTGCCTCAGCCTCCCAAAGTGCTGAGATTACAGGCATAACCTAACACGCCCAGCCAAGAAGGAATTTAAAAATTTAACATTTGGGGCCGGGCACAGTGGCTCACGCCTATAATCCCAGCATTTTGGGAGGCCGAGGCAGGTGGATCACCTGAGGTCAGGAGTTCAAGACCAGCCTGGCCAACATGGTGAAACCCCGTCTCTACTAAAAACACAAAAAGTAGCTGGGCGTGGTGGCAGGCACCTGTAATCCCAGCTACTCGGGAGGCTGAGGCAGAAGAGTCGCTTGAACTCAGAAGGCGGAGGTTGCAGTGAGCCAAGATTCCACCATCACACTCCAGCCTGGGGAACAAGAGTAAGACTTGTCTCAAAAAAAAAAAAAGTTAACATTTGGAAGGAAAAAATACTTGGTAAAGGAACAACAGACAGGTTAATCATTTGAAGTCTCAGGAAAGCTGAAAATTAATTCTATCAATGTAAAATAACAAAGTAAATACAAAAACCAACCGTAAAAATTACTTTTTGGAAAGTTTCAATATAATTTAACTCTTGGTATGAACCTCCTCAGAATAATTCTCCCAGGCAAAGGCAGAAAACCCCTAAAACAACCTGGGAAAAAAACTGAAAAAAACTGACCAAAATGAACACTAAGGAACACCATACACTAATTAAGACAAGAGAATCACCTTAAAACAACTTGAGACAGAACAGAAGAAAACTGGATGAAAACTGAGCAAGTGTGAGGTAATCAAAATGGCTTTTAAACAACTCTACCCCTCCCTGCCTTCGACCAATATTTCCCCCATGTATCCAAATATGAGACATTGGAAAAAAACTTAATTCCTAAAGGGAGCAAATAATCCTTCAATAGTACAGTTAAAGAAACACTGGTGGTGAAATTAAATGGCTTAGGTTCAAAAATCTACCTATCACTTATTAGCTAGGCCACCTTAAGCTGTTTCCTCTTTAGTTAATGGGGGATAATTCCAATTCTGCCTCACAGAATTAACATGAAGATCAAATGAGACAGTATGTATACATGACAGCATACCTTGCAACTGTTTAATAACTATTTCATATTTTCTCTACATAGCTGATTATAATCTCTAAGTTTTATGTTAACATTCTTCAGTCACTGTTGGCATTTCTTTTTTCAACCAAGTTTCAAATAAGGCACTAATCTTTGCTCAATTTAAACTCAAACCATGGAAACCTTGGCTGCTTTACTTGGATTGCAGGACTGGCAAAATTCCACTCCAGGTGGCTAAGCAATAATAAACAAGGGCTCACTGTTCCATCACATCCTCATTCCCTCCGTGAATAAGTTTCTCTCCAAATTTAGTGGCTCATTTTTGACTTTTAAAACACTACTATATTTCCTCCCCCAGTTATAAAACTTTAAAAACTTGAAATACTAAAACAAAGAACATTTTAAAACTAAATAAAATTCAGTAAGTTTAAAGAATGTCACACCAAGGAGAACAAAATGCAGTAGTAGGGTGCAGCACTTCAAGATATTAAACCATGTTTCTCTATCCACTGGCCCAGCACACACAAATTCTAGCACTGAAATAAGAAAAACAAATTCGAATTTCTGAGAATTTCCCAGTATGTTCTATAATATTTTAATAACAGACACAATTCTATTTACTGTCTGTATCTAGAGACTATATATATATATATATATATATACACACTATACAGCCTGGGTGACACAGTGAGACCATTGTGCCACAGTGCAGTGGCACAATCATAGCTCACTGTAACCTCAAACTCCTAGGCTCAAGCAATCCTCCCACCTCAGTCTCTCAAGTAGTTAGGACTACAGGCATGTGCCACCAAGCCTGGCTAATTTTTAAGTTTTTTTATAGAGATAGGATCTCACTATGTCACCCAGGATGGTCTTGAACTCCTGGGCTCAAATGATGCTCCTACCTCAGCCTCCCAAAGCACTGGGATTACAGGCATGAGCCACTGTGCCCAACCAGTGTCTATCATTAAACACACATACACACAGCAGGCCATCAAGTATTTGTGTTCTATAGTTTTATTGTAAGTATATATGAAATATATTCAGCAAATATTTGACATATTAGACATATTTACATATAATAAAACTATAGAACACAAATAAGCTACCTGAGCAATAAACAGAACAGCAACAAAAAAAAAGCATTATACTGTAAAGTGCTGAGGCTTTACACATCAATTTTGGTACAATTTAATTATTTTTTATTGAGATATAATTCACATACCATAAAATTCACCCTTTTAAAGTATACAATTCAGTGGTTTTCAATATATTCATAAGGCTTTATCACTGGTTAATTCTAGAATATTTTCATCATCCCTAAAAGAAACCCAAGATCATTAGTAATCACTCACCATTCCTACCTCCCCCTCACCCCAAGAAACCTCTAATCTACTTTGTATCTCTATTTACTTGCCTATTTTGGACATTTCATATAAATAGAATCATACCATATGTTGCTTTTGAGAATTTAATTAAATCTTACCTTTCATTATCATGTGGTTTTTCTTCCTTTTTTTCCGAATTAAAGCATGATCATGTACCACATGATAACTATAGTTAATAACAATGTATTAAATACCTAAAAATTGCTAAGAGAGTAGACTTTAAGTATTCTAACCACAAATAAGGATGTGAAGTAATGCACACTACCTAGTTTCACTTTACCATTCCACAATGTATACACATTGCAAAGCATCATGTTGTATCCCATAAATATATTTTTTTGGTCAATTAAAAAAATAAATATGAAGAAAAGAAAAAAGCACGATCAGGGTAATGTTATCATCTCTGAAAAGGAAATTCTTTAAAAACATGCATTGAGGTTGGGCACAATGGCTCACACCTATAATCCCAACACTTTAGGATGCTGAGGCAGGCAGATCACCTGAAGTCAGGAGTTGGAGACTAGCCTGGCCAACATGGTAAAACTCCATCTCTACTAAAAATACAAAAATTATCCAGGTGTCGTGGCACATGCCTGTTGTCACAGCTACTCAAGAGGCTGAGGAAGGAGAATGGCTTGAGCCCGGGAGGCAGAGGACACAGTGAGCCGAGATCATGCCACTGCACTCCACACTGCAGCCTGGGGGACAAAGAGAGACTCCGTCTCAAAAAAAAGAACCCAGGTCAGGCACAGTGGCTCACGCCCGTAATCCCAGAACTTTGGGAGGCCAATGGGGGCAGATCACCTGAGGTCAGGAGTTTAAGACCAGCCTGGCCAACATGGTAAAACCCCATCTCAACAAAAAATGCAAAAATCAGCCAGGCGTGGTGGCACACAACTATAATCCCATTTACTGGGGAGGCTGGGGCAAGAAAATTGCTTGAACCCAGGAGGCGGAGGATGCAGTGAGCTGAGATCATGCCACTGTACTCCAGCCTGGGTGACAGAGCGAGACCTGGTCTCAAAAAAAAAAAAAAAAAACAAAAAACATGTATTGGCCAGGCATGGTGGCTCACATCTGTAATCCCAGGACTGTGGTAAGCCCAGGTGGGAGGATTGCATGAGGGCAGGAGTTCAAGACCAGTCTGGGCAACATAGTGAGATCCCGTCTCTATAAAAAATGTTAAAACTTAGCCAGGTGTGGTGGCACGCAGCTGTAGTCCTTACTACTCAAGAGGCTGAGGCAAGAGGACTACTTTATTTAGCATAGGAGTTCAAGGTTGCAGGGAGCTGTGACAGCATTACTGCACTTCAGCCTATGCGACAGAGCAAGACATTGTCTCAAAAAACCAAAAAACATGTATAACACATGAAATACACACACACATATACATAGGCGTGCATACACACAAAGAAAGATCAGGAACTTGTATTGTGAGGCTGATATGGAATAAAAGATATAGATACAAAGATTATCACACAGATGAACATTGTAATTTTTAGAATCTTTGCTGCAAAATTCTTGAAAAATATTTCTCGTGGTTTCTAAAAAGAATCCTGGCTGGGCACAGTGGCTCATGCCTGTAATCCCAGCACTTTGGGAGGCCGAGGTGGGAGGATCACCTGAGGTCAAGAGTTCAAGACCAATCTGGTCAACATGGTGAAACCCTGTCTCTACTAAAAATACAAAAAATAGCTGGGTGTGGTGGTATGTGCCTGTAATCCCAGCTACTCAGGAGGCTAAGCCAGGAGAATTGCTTGAGCCTGGGAGACAGAGGTTGCTGTGAGCCGAGATTGCGGCACTGCACTCCTGCTGGGGAAACAAGAGCAAAAAAAAGAAAAAAAAAAGAATCTCAAAAAAAAAAAAGAATCCTGACTAACATTTTGGCATTTTCCAAACTATTAAATTATTATTATAAATGCTAATTACTATACTTTACTATTGTAAAAAGACATTAAACTATTTTAAAAATTATACATATAAATAATAATAAAAATCTGAAGCCATAGAAAAACATGCATATAGTTGTGTATTTAGGTTTGATGCAAAAATTGAGTTTTTAAAATTTTTTTAATGTTTTATTTATATATTTTTTGAGACAAGGTCTCACTATGTTGTTCAGGCTAGTCTTGAACTCCTGACCTCAAACAATCCTCTCACCTCAGCATCCCAAAATGCTGGTATTACAGATATAAGCCACCATGCCCAGCTGCAAGTATTTTACTTTTAATTCGAAAGTATTATCATTATCATTTTTTGAAAGGCATTATTGAAATATACTTGTTATGGAGAACGGTCTAAGCAAAAAATGATAAAAATAGTAAGAATTTAAAACTTAGAAGTATACAAAGAAATTTCATGCTCGGTGTTATAAATAGGCAAAAGGAGGAATTCACAAACTTTTGATATAAATGATTACTTTCATATCTAAACTAAATGTACATGATATGGAAAGATGACACTAATATATTGTTCAATTAAAAAAATAAGTTGCTTATATCCTACTGGTCACATAAAAAAACCTTTTTTTAAAAAGTTGCAGAGCTGTATGTATAATATGATCCTATTCATGTTGAAACAAAATAGCATATATTGATTTGAGGGTGTGTGTACATGTGTATGTGTGTGTGGGTGCATGTGTGTGTATGTTTTCAGGTAATTTTTGAAAGTCTACAAAGATATTCTCTAAATTATTAACACTGGTTACTCCAGGAAAATCAGACTACAAAAAATTAAAGCAACGTTCACTTTTTATTTCACATATTTCTGTATTAACTGCTTATGTACTACCTTTTGTAACTTTTTCATCACCAATTTTAAAAATTATTTAAATGTACCATCTTTTCTTGCATCAAATTCAAAATTTTAGTGTGTCAATTTGTAATGATCCAACCCAAGGGAAAAACCGAACATGGCCCCAAACACTAATAGGTGATATTTGACTTCCAAGCACCTCACAGGTTTTTTAAAGCATCTTTACTCAGAACATATCCCAGAGGAAATATCTAAGTGGTACCCTGAAAAGTCTGGGATAAGAGTTGGCTGTATAATATCTATACAGTAAAGATAATCATCACTTTTAATATTCACACATTACTCCACCACTTCCACACTTTAACAACCATTGCCCCAGCCTGGGCAACATGGCAAAGCCCCGTCTCTACAAAAAAATACAAAAGTGAGCCAGGTGTGGTGGTGTACGTCTGCAGTCCCAATAATGGGAATCTGAGGTAGGAGGGTCACCTGAGCCCGAGGAGGTCAGAGGCTACAGTGAGCTGAGATCGTGCCACTGAACTCCAGCCTGGGTGACAGGATGAGACCCCTCAAAAAAAACAACTATTGCCAGTATATATGAAACCAGATTTTTTTTTCTTCTAAAAACAAAAACAACAACAACAACAAAAAAAAACGGATACCTGTGCAGCACGTGCAGGTTTGTTACATAAGTGTACGTGTGCTGTGGTGGTTTGCTGCACCTATTGACCTATCCTCTAAGTTCCCTCCCCTCATCCCCCAACCCCCAACAGATCCTGGTGTCTGTTGTTCCCCCCTCTGTGTTCATGTGTTCTCATTGTTCAACTCCCACTTAGGAGTGAGAACACGTGGTGTCTGGTTTTCTGTTACTGTGTTAGTTTGCTGAGGATGATGGCTTCCAGCTTCATCCATGTCCCTGCAAAGGACATGATCTCACTCTTTTTTAGGGCAGCATAGTATTCCATGGCGTATATGTACCACATTTTCTTTATCCAGGCTATCATTGATGGGCATTTGGGTTGGTTCCATGTCTTTGCTATTGTAAATAGTGCTGCAATAAACATACGTGTGCACGTATTTTTTTTTTTTTCTGACACGGATTTTCGCTCTTGATGCCCAGGCTGGAATGCAATGGCGTGATCTCGACTCACTGCAAGCTCTACCTCCCGGGTTCAAGCAATTCTCCTGTCTCAGCCTCCTGAGTAGCTGGGATTACAGGAGCATGCCACCACACGTACTAAAAATAATTTTTGTATTTTTAATAGAGATGGGGTTTCATCATATTGGTCAGGTTGGTCTCAAACTCCTGACCTCAGGTGATCTGCCCGCCTCGGCCTCCCAAAGTGCTGGGATTACAGATGTGAGCCACCCTGCCTGGGCATGAATGTATCTTTATAGTAGAATGATTTCTATTCCTTTGGGTATATACCCAGTAATGCAATTGCTGGGTCAAATGGTATTTCTGGTTGTAGATCCTTGAGGAATCGCCACACTGCCTTCCACAATGGTTGAACTAATCTACATTTCCACCAACAGTGTAAAAGCGTTCCTGTTTCTCCACAGCCTCGCCAGCATCTATTGTTTCCTGGCTTTCTAATAATCACCATTCTGACTGGCGTGAGATGGTATCTCATTGTGGTTTTGATTTGTATTTCTCTGATGATCAGTGATGTTGAGCTTTTTCATGTTTGTTGGCCGTGTAAATGTCTTCTTTTGAGAAGTGTCTGTTCATATCCTTTGCCCACTTTTTGATGGGGTTTTTTCTTGTAAATTTGTTTAAGTTCCTTGTAAATTCTGGATATTAGACTTGATTTTTTTAAAGCACCCTGAGAGAGAATAGGTACAGATTAACACAAAACACAGTTCTTAATTTCAAAGAATGAACCAAGTTGGAAAAACATCAAACCAAGTTTAGAAGACAGTGGAGGAGAGGGAAGAATAGGAAGCACTGTCAGTCTCTCATTCTTTCTTCCTTTCTGGTTTATCTAGTGATTCTTTGTACCTCAACTCCTTAGTGAACTCACCAACAGGGGGCTTTTGGGCCCACTTGAAACATGCAAACCAAACAATGCTACACCCAAAAAAAGGTTAGAATCATACCTTTTCCAAAATGAACCTGTTTAAATAAGGCATGTAGCCCTGGTTGGACACTGGACCCTCATCATCATCCCTGAAGTGCTCTTCAAGGGCAACTGGGTCATGAGGAACCTTCAGCACCGTGCACAGGTTATGGGAAAGGACCTGCAAGGGAAAAGAAAATCGTTTAAAGACTCCCACTAACCAGCACATGACACCTTCACCATGAGTACAACATGCTGCTCCCTCTCCTGGGTAGAGAAAGATGGAAAATAAACTAGCAAAAACAGGGTGAGGACTGCTCAGCTGCAAGCCCCTACTTGTAACCTGTTATTCTTTCTCATTCCTTCCCAGGTTTGGTTCACTTAGAACTAGTCTCTATTACATGCCTACTATGAGCCAGGCTCCATGCAAGATCTGTGAATATAATACTCCTGTGGTCTTTTACTAATTTGTCCACATCAGAAAGAAAAGTGGGGTGGGGGGGGAAGTCTAAGAGAATGTGTTCAAAATTAAACTTTTCACCAAGTAGAGCAGAGTCAGCCAATTAGAGCTGTTCAGAGAAAGAACCTGGTATTATTGGGAGGCTGCAGCCAGGGGTTCTGGACAAGGAGGCTGACCTGGGCAAGTCACAACCTCTCCAGGCTTTAGTTTTCTCATTTATTCAATAGAAAGGGCCAAATTAATATACCAAATATTAATTAGGAATCTCTAAGTATCTAAACATTTCTAAAATTCTATGACTAGGCTAAATTTCAGCATGAGTATAAAAGAATATAAATATAAAAAGAGAAAGAAATCAAGGGCCTGGATTAGATTCAGGAAAAAATTAAATAGCAAAAATAGGAGTCGCCAACATGGTTAAAAATATTTTACAGAAAACCTGCATTCCATAGCATAAATACATATAAAGGGCTACTGGTCTTGCAATAACCTAAGTTCACACTTCAAAGTCCAGGTACAGTAGTTAAATGAGCAGTGTGGGCTACCTTAGTATTAATCTTGTTTTACATTAAATGAAAATTTCAAGATAGAACTTAAATCCCTTCCATTTCATTTGTGCTTTCTGAACAGGTCAAATTACATAGCTAAGGCTGTATTTTCTTCAACAGAGAATCTTCCTAGTTGAACCCCAGGTAAAAACGTTCCTTATTTTTCTCAGCCCTAAACATTTAACCTTAAGGAGCCACATTCATCTCAATAAATACTTTCATTTGCATTAAGCGAGTCCCTTTTTCTGCATACACATATTTCAGTTAGGAGTTTTTTTAAGATTAAACATTTTTAATCTATAAAATAATTTGCATATCTTCTTTCTAAATTTGTTTTGTTTCTCAAAGCTTCATTTATGTGGAGATCCTTTTCTACATGCTCTACTGGTTTTAAGGAAGTAAGTTAAGGAAGTAAATTCACAAATGGTTATAAATGCAGTAATGAAGACTACAAAGCAGGCTGTGTTTCTCAAGCAAACCCTGTGTTTGCCAGTAAAGCACATGAAAAGAGTACGGTGGAGCTTTTATTGGAGAATCCTGCACCACAATCAGCAAAATTTTAAAAAGATATTTAATTTATATTAGCCTAGTAAATCCTATATACTAAAGATCAATTTCAAGAATATAAAGAGCTTAATAACTGTAAAATGCTATGGAAATACAAGTATTAAAGAAATGCACACTTCTCAGATCAGGTTCAAATGTCATTCAAATTTTAAAATCATTTGGAACTTTACCCAAGTTAACAATTCCCAACTACTGGTTAAATTAAGGTATATCCATAAAACATAAAAACCATGAGAAAGCTTGCTATGTACGGATATGAAAAGATCTCCAACATAAATTAAGTGAAAAAAACAAGGTACCTAAGAATATGTATGCCATCTTTTGTATAAAAAAGAAAAGGGAGGAAGAAAAGAAATTCTGGAGGGATATATAAGAAACTAGTAACTGTGAAAGGAAGACAAGTTTGATGAGACCAAGGTTAGAAAAAGACTTCACTGTAGCTCTTCTTTGTATTAAGTTTTTTTAAAAAAAATTAACCTACTCAAAAATGTAGTACATATTTTTAAAATTAAATATATATATATATATATATATTTTAAGTGGCCAGCCTAAGATCACATAGATCAATCTATTTATCTTCATAGCCTATACTTTTTCTTCTACATTAACCTGCTGACTAGAAATGAGGTGTAAAAGGAAGACATATTCCACAGCAATGTACCATGACTAATGGATGAGTGAGCTGTAAGGGCAATAAATGAGTTCAGAAAAGGAGAAATAGTATGTGTTACAGTGACTTCACAGAGGAAGTAAAATGTAACTTATGGCTTACAGGATAGGTAAGGATAGCTTTAGGATAGGAATAGAGGCAAATACAAAAATTTCCAGATAGGGGAATAACATGATAAAAGTAGCTGATTAATCCAAAGCCTTCAGGAAACAAAAAACACCATCTCTCCCATACCCACCCTGTTCTCTACCTTAGGGTTTCACAGATCCTCTAACTAAAGCCCTGGCAGGGGCCTTGGATGTCATATTGTCATCCTCATCTTATAAATGGTGACTACAGACTCACAGATATTAAATTTGTTTTTCTTGACTAAAGTTACTGAGAAGAACTGAGACTAGAACTCGGGTTTTGTAATCTCTGGTCCAGCACTCTCCAGTAATAAGAAACATTATGTCTTCAGTTGTCTAAAGTCAACAATGCTCTTTGTACATATAGATGCTTAGTTTGATTAAGTGATCCCACTGCAGAAGATATAGATTTGAACTCAAGATTTCAGCCTTCGACAATTAAACAGCACTCTTGTTAAACACAGGGATGGCTAAATTCAGTGATAATTTTCTTAACCATCTTTACTTAGGCAAACTGTGAGGAAGGCAGCACAGTATACAAGGCACCTGGAAGAGACCTGCGCTCCAATGTCTCTGCATCCTCACTGTCAAATGAGAGTTGGACTTGTTTGTAAAACCCTTAACTATCAACCCAAACTCATTTCATAATTTAGATAAGAAGTCCAGCTTTGTGACAGCTTTTTCACTGTTAGTAAGGTCTATAAAAGGGAAGTCTTCTTCAAAAAATATAACAACAGGCTGGGCATGGTGGCTTATGCCAATAATCCTAGCACTCTGGGGGGCTGAAACAAGAGGATAGCTAGAGCCCAGAAGTTCAATACCAACCTGGACAACATGGCAAAACCCCATCTCTATAGAAAGTACAAAAGCTAGCTGGATGTGGTGGCACATGCCTGTAGTCCCAGCTACCTGGGAGGCTGAGATGGGAGGCTGAGGTGGGAGGATCACCTAAGCCTAGGGAGGTCGAGGCTGCATTGAGCCATGATCATGCCACTGCACTCCAACCTTGGTGACAGAGGGGGTCCCATCTCAAAAATTAATTAATTAATTATAATATATATGTATATATAAAACAACCAACTGAATAAAGCAACAATGAAACAGTATTTCTAAAAGAGGAAAAAATTGTGTACTATCTTTAAAACTTTTTATCAGCAACCTTTCTTTAAAGCTTAGACAGTATCTCAAGTATTTTTTTCTTTTTTAAGATTTATTTGTATTTTTTAAAAATAGAGATGGGGTCTCACTATGTGTGCCCAGGCGGGTCTCAAACTCCTGGGCTCAAGTGATCCTCCCACCTCAGCCTCCCAAAGTGCCAGGATTATACACATGAGCCACCATGCCCAGTCTCAACAAGGTTTTTTGTTTGTTTGTTTTTTGTTTTGAGGCAGAGTCTCACTCTGTCACCCAGGCTGGAGTGCAATGGCATGATCTCAGCAACGTCTGCCTCCTAAGTTCAAGCAATCTTTCCACCTCAGCCTCCCAAGTAGCGGAATTACAGGCACCTGCCACCACACCCAGCTAATTTTTATATTTTTAGTAGAGACAGAGTTTCACCATGTTGGCCAGACTGGTCTCAAACTCCTGACCTCAAGTGATCCACCCACCTTGGCCTGCGTGCTGGGATTAGAGGCGTGAACGACTACACCTTACCAAGGTTTTCTTTTTATAAAAATAAAATATACAAGAAATAAAATTTTTGATGGCCGGAATATAAACTAGTAAAAAGAAGTAAAAGCTCCTCCATAAACTTATACAGCAATTTATGCTTTTTCAAGTAGACTCATACCATCTATTAATTTGTTTTAGCCTCTCCACAGGGAGAATAGATATTATTGCTATTTTACAGACGAAGAGGCTGAGTCAGAGATTAGGAGATGTGTCCCAAATCACAGAGTTTTACGTGTAGCAAAACTGGGATTAGACCCAAGCCTCCCACTCTGGTGTCCTTTCCATGCTTTGCTACCTTCCCTCTGTTTCTGGAAAAACAGATAGCCCTGCCAATACAAAGATGGACACGCCCGTGAGTTGTTTCTAAATTTTAGTGATGTGCTGGTGCTACCCCAGCCCCACCCCATCAGCTCCACAGGGCCCAACAGAGATGACAGGCACTATTCAGCAGAGCCAAGTTAGTGCCAGTGGCAAGGAAGTCCACATACCTAGAAGTCTGGGACCGTTCTCTCTCTGGGAGCCCTCATCTCCCAGCACCCTATCCCTCTGGGGGAATCTGCACTAAGAGGCACTAACCCCTTCTCCAGATGAGGAAGCTGAAAAGCAGATTAAGACAAAAGAATCAGAAAGAGGACTACAAGTTCTTGATTTGTAAAAGGACTGCCCCAAATCATTCTAATCAGGGTGTTTGCAAGTTTCTTGAAAAAGCTGAATTTATCCCGCTTCAAATGCCTGTTCCTCCAAAGGCCATTCTTTCAGCACCCACATAATTGCTAAGCAGCTTTGCTCTCATTCTGCTGATCTGAAGAATAAACTATTGTTACCACAATAACAGATCCATATCCATGCCAGAAACTCATCTCTCCAGTTCCCTCATAGCTGTCTGCAGTTGCCTCTGCAGGGCCTCTGCTGACAAGATGACTAATTAACTGCATGAGCCCTGCTCGTGTGGTCTGTTCCTGTTCAGTGGTTTGCTTGCCATTTACCCCTTTTGAGCATTTTACTCCAGCCATCATGAAAATGAAATCAAGGATGGTGAACAGTGTTTTAACACGAGTAAGTAGTGTTCACCCTCCTTTCTCCAAAGACGTAGAGATTCTAAAAAGTTATTTAAAACGTGCCACCCAGTAACACACTGTTTCCCTTTACAGGATGTGCGTAATGGGCAAGATTCAACACTGAAAAAAAAGCGGAGTGGGGGCAGATTTCTATTCCAAAAGACTTATCTGAACTGACACAATTATAGACTTATAACTCATAATGGGCAATCTTTTTTTAAAACATTAAAATTCCTGTCTGATTTATAAAATTTCAAGCCAATGGCAAATTACCAGAAAATTCTTCCTAACAATGGACCAGCATGACCAATTTCCTACCACAGCTATGCCCTGCCTTAAAAGCATTGTCTACTCTAAGTCCTGCCCATTCCCGCATGGACTCATTTTCCCCTTCCAAACATCTTTTCATCCTGCTTGTCACTGCTTAAGTCTTGCTTGTTTCCTCTTACCTTTAATCTAACCAGCCTCAAAAATCTCAAAGTCATTGTTCACATTGCTCTCAATCCCTAAGTACAATCAGTTACCATCCTAGACACTTACACCAAATCTTCAAGTACCACTAACATCACGTTATCCCCCTGCCTAAAAATCATCAGAAGACTACAGAAGTAAAAGCTAAGGAAATATGTGAGTTGTATATTTAAGTCACTCCACAGGCCAGCCCACTTCACCTTCCTTATTTCTTCCCACCCTCTGCACCAACCATATAAATCCAGCCAAATAAGCTTACTAACTGCATCCCAGGCAACTTGTACCACATCCCTTTCTCCCCTGGGCCCTTGCTCAATTTACCCCTACCTCCTTTCCTGCCTAACAAAAATGGCATCTCTTTCTGAAGCCTTCACCACCCAAACCAAGATGATCTTTCTTCACTCTGTTTCCCAAGCAGTACCTCTTGTGCTAACTACCACACATGATTTCTCTCTCCTGTAAGACTGTACATTTCTGAAAGGCCCATATCTTATACAACATTGCATGCCCATGGCACCTGGCATGCTGCCCAGAATCCAGAAGACTTTCAATAACTGCTAAGTGAATTCTTTCTAAAAATTCTCTTAACACTAAAGCCGTGATACTTTAATATTAACAATAATCTTAGAAAATATACTATTTCTATCTCCTCACTTCACAGATAAAAAGACTGTGGCCTGAGACTTGGCCTAAGTCACACAATAATTAGCAACAAAGTAGGGACTAGAACTCAAATCTCTTAGCTCTCTGTCCCACAGTGATGCCCTGTGCTGGAAACATTTCTCTTCTGCCTAGTCACATCCTTCAAGATTGGGTCATTCATAAACTCTAGGAAATCTTTATGGATTACCACCCTGCCCCATGAACTCCTATTCAGCATTTAACTATGTTCTGTTTCAGATACTAATGGTATCTCAAATATCTAACTTATCAAATATCCTCCCTTATTGAAGGGAGGAAATAAATATTTTCCTTCTGCATCCTTCAGTGACTAGCATAGGGCTAAGCGAAGATTCAGTAAGAGCAGAACACTTACAGACAGATTAAGGAAAAGTAACTCAAAGTCATCTGTTGGAATGCTGTCCACAGAATATATGCCACTGATGTCATACAGCATGGATGGCACTGGATTACACTCTAACTGAACCACCTTTTTAAAGTTATTTTGGATAACTTACCAACTTACCCCTCTTCAGAAACTAAACAGAAAATACTGGTAAATTTGACCACAGAAAAATGCTTATATTTTCTTTTAAAAAGAAAGAAACCATAAAAAAACAAAAAAGGCAAATAGCTCCAATATTCAAATCATTCTTGTGGACACGAATAGAAAATTCACAAAAGAAACTAATCACTAATAAATAGAGGATACCTTTCAAGTTCAGGTGGAACTCCTGGGACCTTTAACTTTTGGATTGTATGGCTAAGGCATAATGTTGTTTGTTGTGTATTATATTTGGTATAACTTTTCTTACTGTTTCTCTACTAAGAATGCCTTTAAATATGGTTATTGTGATACTTTTTTACAAGGAAACTATATTTGAGCAGTTCCAAATTGTACATACTGTATGAACCTTGTCCTCTGAATGGGTTCCTTATTTCTACACGGAATTGCGTAGCTTGCAGTATCATGTAACTAAAGATTAAACCTCACCTTTTACTTCAAAAATAGGCAAATAAAATATAGGAAAAGATGCTTAATCTTGCTAGTAATCAAAAGAATGCACATTAAAAGAGCTACTACTTTTTGCCTAAGTAATACCTGGTGTTTGAGGAGATATAAGGGAGTAAAGACTACCAATATCCAACACTGCAGAAGGTACAGAGCAGGTTTTTCTCAACTTCAGTACTACTGACATTTTTGGCTGAATAATTATTTGTTTGGGGGACAGGGCAGGTAACCTACGCATTGTACAATGTATAGCAGTATCCTGGGTTAAAAACATTTAAAACATCTCAAATACCTGTGAATAGGAAATGGTTAAATAAAGCATGATGCATCAACACAATGAAAGAGTTCACAGTCATTATAAAGGATGGTGTCTGTATCTATATGCATTTATACAGAAAGATGACCCTAACACAATGCTTAAGAAGAGACTACAGGCCAGGCACAGTGGCTCTCACCTGTAATCCCAGCACTGAGGGAGGCCAAGGGAGGAGGATCACTTGAGCCCAGGAGTTCAAGACCAGCCTGGGCAACAAAGTAAGACCCTATCTCTACAAAAAATACAAAAATTAGCTGTGAGCCTGTGGTCCCAGCTACTAGGGAGGCTAAGGTAGGAGAATCAAATGAGCCCAGGAGGTTGAGGCTGCAGTGAGTCGTGATGGTGCCGCTGTACTCCAGCTCTGGCAACTGAGCGAGAACCTGTCTCACAAAAATAAATAAATAAATAAATAAATAAATAAGAAAATAAAAGAGGATACGAAAGGATACAGAATATGACCCTATTTATACAAAAGGACATATATGTCTGTGTATTTACATATGTGTATATGCATGTGTGTACATGATGGGGGAAGGGAGAAAGAGAGATATATAAGAAAGATATTCACTGAAAAGTTAATTACAACCTGCCTTTGGTGGTAGAATTTGAATGTTTTACTTTGGACTCTGTACTTTAATACATTGTTTGAGTATTCTATGTATTACCTTTCAATCAGAAAATGAAGCTTTTATCTTTTAATATTTTATATATTTTAAATAGAAAATTAAAAAATTAAGTAGGGTGGAGGGCTTGCTATGGTCTGAATGTGTCCCCCAAAATTCATATGTTGAAACTTAATCTCCAATGTGTCAGTATTAAGAGGTGAGGCCTCGCCGGGAGCAATGGCTCACGCCTGTAATCCCAGCACTTTGGGAGGAGGCCAAGGAAGGTAGATCACGAGATCAGGAGATCGAGGCCATCCTGGCCAACATGGTGAAACCCCATCTCTACTAAAAATACAAAAATTAGCCGGGCGTGGTGGTGTGTGCCTGTAGTCCCAGCTACTCGGGAAGCTGAGGCAGGAGAATTGCTTGAACCAGGGAGTCAGAGATTGCAGTGAGCAGAAATCACACCACTGTACTCCAGCCTGGGTGACAGAGCAAGACAAGACTCCGTCTCAAAAAAAAAAGAGGTGAGGCCTTTAGGTGGTGATTAAGTCAAGAGAGCGGAACTCTCGCAAATGGGATCAATGACCTTATAAAAGAGGTTGAAGGGAGAGAGTTCCCTAGTCTCTTTTGCCCTTCTGCCATGTGAGGATACAGCAACAAGGAACCATCTTGGGAGCAGACAGCAAGCCATCACCAGACACTCAATCTGCTAGCATCTTGATCTTGGACTTTCCAGTATCCAGAACTGTGATAAATAAATTTATATTATTTATAAATTACCTAGTCTGTGGTATTTTGCTGCAGTATCAGGACTAGGTGAAACAAGGCTCCTGCTAGAAAGCACCAGTAAAATTAGAAAATGAAAAGATCATTGTAGAACTATAAAGTTGATAAAATTAACTCCTCTGAGCCACCCACAAAGCATGCTTTCCCATACCTCTTTAAAAAGCCACCCTATGGAGGTTGTGGCAGGCCGAGATGGTGCTACTGCACTCCAGCCTCGGCACAGAGCGAGACTCCATCTCAAAAAAAAAAAAAAAGAAAGTCACCCTAATGGACAACAAAGTCCCCCAATTTGGGACAGCCTCCTGAGAGTCCAGCCCCCCAGTGAAATATTGCACAAATGTCTTTTAAGAAGGTAAATGATTTGTGAGGAGATTTAACTCCAGCAAGCTTCTTTATCTTTCTCACTACTCTGTAAGTTCCTTAAAGAGAGAGTCTGTATTTTAGCCATCTGTGCAATACGTATTTTAGCCATCTGTGAATACCAAAACCTAATGAAGTACCTAATGAGAGAGCTGTTCAACAAATGTTTGCTAAATTAGTCCCATTTAAGAATTTCCAAGAATTTTTTTCTTTTTTTAAATTTCATTTTGCTACTTTACCATCTTCATCTAGATCTGGGTCTTTGCATTTATTTTACTATACTACCATGTTTCTAGAAGAATTTTTAATTGGAATCTCTAGTTCAGATCACTTTCAGAGTGAAAAACAATGCCTCCATTAGTTCTTAACACCACCAGAACTAGCCAAGCACAACTCGTCTGGCCTGAGATCTAGTAGAGAAGTCCAGTTTCTTAAAATTCAAGTACAGACTTCTGAGAAAAGGACACAATAAGAATTAACAAGCAGGTGTGAGAGAAGGCTCTATAACAGAAGAGGGGGCTCTGAGCTCCTTGACTATCACCTCCTTAGAAGTTTAATTTAGTACACTCATCTCCAAGAGAAAATGTGAAGTCACAGTGTGCATTCAAAGTGGTGACAAAGACCACAAATCTGGCTGGACGCAGTGGCTCATGCCCATAATCTCAACACTGGGAGGCTGAGGCAGGAGGATCACTTGAGGTCAGGAGTTTGGGACCAGCCCGGGCAACATAACAAGACCCTGTCTCTATGAAAAATATAAAAATTAGCAAGGCATGGTGGCGCACACCTGCAATCCCAACTGCTCAGCAGGCTGAGGTGGGAGGACCACTTGAGCCTAGGAGTTCAAGGTTGCAGTGAGCCATAACAGCACCACTGCACTCCAGCCTGGGTGACAGTGTAAGACCCTGTCTCAAAAAGAAAAATTTTTTAATTTAAGAAAGATCACAAATCTGAAGTCATTAAAATATACAGAAATCAAAAATATATAAAATAAAATTAAAAATAAAAGAATGAAAAAAAATCACAAATGTGAGGTTTCCCTCGGCTGCCCCACCTTCTCACCAACCTGACCCCGCATGGTCCCTAAAATATGACTTCTATCCCTATCAATCTCTTGAAATTGCTTTTCTAAATGGATTCTGAGGTAGACACAGAGATGCACCACTCAGATGCCCCCTCAAGTAGGTAACTGCTACCCAGCTACAAGGACTGTGTTAAGCTGATAGCCTCCAGCTACTTTCAGGGTCCCAGTGACAGAGCGGGGTGGTAGGATCACTTTTCCTCAATGTGGGAGTCCCATAAGGGGCAATCTTTGCTTCAGAGCTCCTGGTTTTGCCAAATCCATATGATGGTTTGACAGTTCCTTTTCCCAATTTCATTTCCTCTCTCCCACCCCACAGGTAACACTTTTGTATTCCTAACAGTGTCTTAACATTGGCTTCCTGGAGAACCCATGCTGGGACAGATACCTTCTGGCCAAGTCACTCTCCCAAAGGTCTGGCAGTTGGCAGTCTGAATCACCCCCTCCTCTTAGACGTTTTTGGTCCCTGACATACCATTTTCTTTTCTTTTCTTTTCTTTTTCTTCTTTTTTTTTGAGACAGGGTCTTGCTCTGTTACTCAGGCTGGAGTGCAGTAGCTCGATCTGGGCTCACCACAGGCTCGACCTCCTGGGCTCAAGCAATTCTCCCACCTCAGCCACCATCCCCCACCCCTCACCCCCAGCAGCTGGGACTACAGGCACCTGCCATCACACCCAGCTAATTTTTCTATTTTTTGTAGAAACAGGTTTCACCATGTTGTCCAGGCTGGTCTCAAACTCCTGAGCTCAAGCCATCCACCTGCCTCAGCCTCACAAGTGCTGGAATTACAGGCATGCGCCAGCGTACCCAGCCCAGACAGAATAGTTTCTAAGTTCTTCAAAGGTAAATTTATGCAGTCACATCCATCATCCCTCATTCTCCCAATCTGGTCATTTCCCAAAGATCAATTTTCAACCCTCAGTTCTACTTTAATTTCTTCTTAGAAAGTGCTTTTGACCAGGCACAGTGGCTCACACCTATAATCCCAGCACTTTAGGAGGCCAAGGCAGGTGATCACTTCAGGCCAGGAGTTTGAGACCAGCCTGCCAACATGGCAAAAACCCTGTATCTACTAAAAACATAAAAATTAGCTGGGCGTGGTGGCACATGCCTGTAATCCCAGCTACTTGGGAGGCTGAGGCATGAGAATCACTTGAACCCGGGAGGCGGAGGTTGCAGTGCGCACAGATTGTGTCACTGCACTCCTGCGTGGGCAACAGACGAAGACCCTGTCTCAAAAAAAAATAAAAATAAAAATAAAGACAAGACATTCTGTGTTTATGAATCAAAAGACTTAAATTTTTTCAAATTTTATATTTTATAAATCTAAACATTTATAAAAAGAAAAAAGAAAGTGATTTTATTCTGACAACCTTAAGTCATCTCTATTCAAATGATTCATAGATCTCTTTCTGGTCTTAACCTCTCCAGTAAGCTCTGGTTTATATCACTAAACAATACTAGAGATTTCTATTCTAAATCTGCCTCACGTCCAAAAGATCCAAATGAGATCTCATCACTTTTCTCCCCAAAATAGGTTTGCCACCCTGATTCTGACTTTGGTATCACCATTGCCTTAACAAAACTATGGTCTCTTCTTCTATCTCTTTTTCATACAGTTTGTCCACCTTCTGGATCTAATTCAGCCCCAGCCAATGCCAACTCCTGTCTCTACTGCGTGAGCCGCTCTGTCACCTTCAGGCTAACCAAGCAGAGAGTGTGAGGCTGGGGAAACAAGGGCTCCTCCCCTCACCTCCCAGTACAAGGTCCCATTCTCCCCTCTCAGGTCCTGTCAAAGAGTTGCTGCAGAACAACTACTCCTCAGGATATAACCATGGTAAACACATCAAGCTACAAGGTTCAGTTAGAAGGCTAAACCTCAAAGAGCATGTCTGCCACCCTACATTTTACAAATGAGGAAACTGAAGCCCAGCAAAGAGAAGTGATTTCCCATTACCACACAAGTAATGGAGTACAGGTAACTCTCCTTACTCCCCAACTCCTCTCTCTCTCAACACTTTTCATGTTCCTCTAAAGGTTTTACTTTCTGAATCTTTCATCATAGTATTCTCACAGGGGAATTTCATACATCCTTTTCAAGTTAGTGACAAATGTCTCCTCCTCTAGGAAGCATTCTCTGAGCTAACTCCTCATGTCCTCACCCCAAGCTAAATAGGTTCCCTTCCTCTGCATTCTGCCTTCTGTATCTCACTGTATTTGAATTGCCAGTTTGCTCATCTGTATCACTCACAAGATTTTAAGCTCTACAAGGGGAGGGTACATATCTGTTTTAATTTCCATAGCTACCACTACTGACCCACACTCACCAACTTACCCAGACTTCATAGCACCCCACTAACAAGTCCCCCAATCTCCAGCCTCTCACCTTTAGTCATTAAACCTACATCATCAGAATAATTTTAAAACCGTATCTCTGCCATATATCTACCTAAAAACTTTAAATGACTTACCCTCTTTACAGGGTCAATTCTGAACTAATTCTAAGACAGACTGTCAGTCAATAAACATATATTAGCCATATATTCTGTGCAAAAACATTCAATGACATCTAAAATGTAGCCCCATCTCTCTTTAAATCCTAATTCTCCACTATGCTTTAAAACAAACCTTCTACTCCACTCACAGTATTTCCTTTCTGCTCAAATACTCCAAGTTGAGGCTCTTGCTCTTAATTTACAGTGCTACCACCATATTTGTCACCTTTCTGCAATTATACTGGACAAGATCTGCCCCATTCTCTCAAGACCTTGAGAGCTTGTCTGGAGGTTCTAGCAGGTAAGCACAGCTACTCATATACCCTTGACCGAAGACTGGTCCTCCTCTATCGAGGATGGTCGTTCTCTTTGACTGAGCACACAGCATTGGGAGGGACGCACATGGAGTGGTGAGGGAGGAAGGGGACAACCACCTAGCCAGCCAGATCAGCGAAATCAACCCTGGTGATCAATGGGGTGACAGATATCACAGCCAGATCACCCTCACATTCGCCATTCTCTCAAGAAACAGCTGAAGTACTATCTCCTTCATGAAACTTTGTCTGCAACTGTCTATATCCTTTTCTCTATTTGCCATGGAAATATACCACAAACCACATATGAAATTTAGAATTTTTAAAGCCTCATTTTAAAAAAAGTAAAAGGGAATAGGTAATATTAACTTAAATACTATATCCAAAATATTGTAATTTAAACATGTAATCGGTATTTTTAAAAATGCCTGCAATCCCAGCACTTCAGGAGGCTGTGGCGGGTGGATCACCTGAGGTCAGGAGTTCGACACCAGCCTGGCCAACATGGTGAAACCCTTTCTCTACTAAAAACACAAAAATTATCCAGGCGTGGTAGCGGGCACCTGTAATACCAGCTATTCAGGAGGATGAGGCAGGAGAATCACTTGAACCCAGGAGGCGGAGGTTGCAGTGAGCCAAGATCATGCCATTACATTCCAGCCTGGGTGACAAGAGCGAAACTCCATCTCAAAATAAATAAATAAATAACGAGATATGTTACTCTTGTTTTGGTACTAAGTCTTTGAAATCCAATGCATATTTTATACTTAAAGTACATATCAACTCAGGCTCATGAATTTTCAAGCAGTCAACAGCCAAACGTGGCTACTGGCTAACACTGGATGGCACGGCTTAGAGTGGTCATCTTCTACACACTCTAGAACTTGTTTATATATTGCGTCATTGTGGTCATTTCATGTATTATCTTCTTGACTACATCACACAATCCTCAACTTAAGGGACAAGGCTGCATGTTTTTTTCTTCCCAGGGTGCCTAACAAAAAGTGTTCAGTAGCCTGAAACCTTCAAATTCATATAATGTTTTATACATTAGTTTTCTTCAACATCATTGTTTGGTAGAAAATAAGAAAGAATTTCTGCTGTCACATATAAAGGTTGTGAGCTCTATTATAATCTTAAAATATAAAAAGCAGGCCGCGTGCAGTGGCTCATGCCTGTAATCCCAGCACTCTGGAAGGCTGAGGCAGGCAGATCACAAGGTCAGGAGATCAAGACCATCCTGGCTAACATGGTGAAACCCTGTCTCTACTGAAAATACAAAAAAATTTGCCAGGCGTGGTGGCGGGCACCTGTAGTCCCAGCTACTCAGGAGGCTAAGGCAGGAGAATGGTGTGAACTTGGGAGGTGGAGCTTGCAGTGAGCTGAGATCGCACCACCACACTCCAGCCTGGGCAACAGAGCAAGACTCTGTCTCAAAAATAAATAAATACATAAATAAAAATATAAAAAATAAAAAGCAAAGGAAGCTTCCCAAAGTCACCCAGGTAAAGGACCTCAGAATTCCAATGTAGTCTGATCTACTAATTGTCTGCTGTCCTATTACCTAACAGTGTTTCTCAAATCATCACTGAAGACGATCACTGAGACTGGAGTCAGTTGCTCATCAAGCTACAAGGTTCAGTTAGAAGGCTAAATTTCAGGAAAACAGCCAGCTAGCTGAGTATCCATCACCCTAGGAACTGAAAGAATTGATGGAGATGTGCTGCCTGCCAAGGCTGACATGCCCCATCCTTCCAGAGCTGTCTGTAGAGTGGAATGTAATACCTTCCAACACTGTCCATATGACCAGAACAACTTTCATCCTAACTAGCGTCACTTCTGGCTGATACACCATGCCCACATAACACCATTCTCCTCCTTCAAATCAAATGTTGTAAAGCTAATTATTCCTAAAGAAGCAAAAGGTACAGAAAACAGAAGAGTCTTAAGATCAAAAAAATTAGTGTTTCTAATATTGCAGAAATCTCTCCTTAACCGCAAGATCTCCTTATATGAAATTCAAGTATACACACAGATTTCCATTTAAATATCTCTCCCTCAACTGCTGAAAACTGCAGTTTCCAGTAGACACAGATTTTGAGTTTAAAGAAAAGGAACACGAAGGTAGGATGAGAAGAAGGAAATGAAGCAGAAAGTAGAGCAGGAAAAATAGTTTCATGAAACGCAGTCTTGGGGAAGAAAAAGGAAGCTGAGGCAAGGATCTACCTTAGGCTTGTGTTGTGGGAGGGGAACAAGGACATGCCTAAGAGGGACTAAGGAAGCGAGTGAGAGTGCTAATGTGCTAATAATCACCACTGATGGGACTAAGGTTCTATAACCCTCACGGTGGGAAGGAATGAGAAATACCTATTGAGTGATGGCATGCTGAGTACCTGGGAGAAGGTCGCCTAAAGCCTCTTCTGTCTCTAGCTTTGTTACTATGTACCTCTGGGACTGTGATGAGACCCCAAAGGAAATACAAAATGGAGATCAGAGAGGTTAAGAACTCTGAGTCCTAAGATCAGAAATGTACTATTAAGATGGAAGGTCAAATACCAAAAAAAAAAAAAAAAAAAAAGCACCTCAGAGTTTACGTGTTATTTTCGATAAAAGTACATGTATTTCCCAAAAAAAAAAAAAAACATAAAAATGTCCAAGTTATCTCACTGAAAAGTTTCTAGCAAGTAAGGAATAGAAACTAGAAATAATCCAACATTCATTATCCTATTTTAAGATATCTAAATGTGTAATTTTCTCTTTATTTAGAGAGCTGCCCTTACTATTTTATTTTGGTGATATCTACATAAAAAATATTTACAAAGACTTTAGGCTGGGTGCAGTGGCTCATGCCTGTAATCCCAGCACTTTAATAGGCTCACTCAAGACTCTGATCCCCAACCCCATTTTAAAAATTGATTGTTTTTGTTCCTCAATAGAACCTTTTACCATAGAGGTTAGCAGAAACACAACACAAAAGATTAGGAAGGGAATACTATACATGCCAAGTTCACAAAAGAATTAACTACATTTGTATATTGTGTTCCACAAATAAAAACCCTGTCTCATAATTTGCTTCCTTTATATTTTCAACTTACCAATGGCCTGGCTGAATTACCTTTGTAACTAGCAAGTAAAATTTTTTTAGGCTAAATGTCTGTATGGGAACAGAAAACATGGTATGATTCGTAAGATATCCAAACCAATTGTGAGGCAAAAGATAAAAAAACTAAAAAAAGATTTTAGTTGAAAATCTATCATTGAGAAAATACTAAAGATTTAAACTATCCATGTTGTTCATCAAAATTTTTTTCATTTAGATCTACACCAGAGTTGTAAATTCTTTTATTTCAAAAAGGTACAATAAATTTTTTTAAAGCTGTATTTCTAAAAACAACAGGATAAAAATGCACAGACAATGAGTTCATTTCAAGACATTTCCAGTGCTGACATGTAATTCACCCTGCAACCATAACTGCAAAGTAAAGCTATAACAGAGGTTGCAAAAAATATCACTAGATTTTGCTATATTTAAGAGGAAAACATTTACTAAACAATAAGGGTATTAATTTTAAGCTTCATTTTGATCTCTCAAAGGAACAGAAGAAGCTAGAAATAATGGTTACCTCCAGGACAGGGGACTAATATGGGCCAAGGGTTAAGGGAAACTTACTTTTCATTTTTGTAAATACCCTTTAGAATTTTATAAAATTTATATGTGTCTATATGAGATATTAAAAAAGCTTCTTTTTAATATACATGTTTAAATAATAACCTTTTTTCTTAGAATTGTATGTACTGTATTTCTAAGTAACACTGGAGATTTAGCATCTTTCAGCAAAACCACTGAAATTCTAAATAATTTTTTAAAAAAATTGTTAGCACCAGTAGAAGAGAAATAATTATTGCTTCTACTTCAAATAAGATGCCCTATTCCTATTTCCATTATGACTTCTGCAAATTTATACCATAATTTAAAAGTAACAATGTCTGTTTCAGGTGCCACATTAATAAGGTTTATTATTATTAGAGAGTATAGAATCCACATACGAATAGCTCTCATTAAAAAAAAAAAAGAGAGAAATACAGTTGGCCCTCCGTATCCCTCGGTTCTGCATCTGTGTGTTCAAGCAAGTGTGGACTGAAAACATTCCCCTTAAAAACTGCATCTGGGCCAGGCACAGTGGCTCACGCCTGTAATCCCAGCACTTTGGGAGGCCGAGGCAGGCGGATCACGAGGTCAGGAGACCAAGACCATCCTGCCTAACATGGTGACACCCCGTCTCTGCTAAAAAAATACAAAAAAAATTAGCCGGGCGTGGTGGCGGGCGCCTGTAATCCCAGCTACTGAGGAGGCTGAGGCAGGAGAATGGCATAAACCCAGGAGGCGGAGCTTGCAGTAAGCCGAGATTGCGCCACTGCACTCCAGCCTGGGCAACAGAGCAAGACTCCGTCTCAAAAAAAAAAAAAAAAAAACTGCATCTATACTTAACATGGGCAAACTTTTCTTCCTGTCATTATTCCTTAAACAATGTAACTTAACAACTATTTACACAGCATTTATATTGCATTAGGTATTATAAGTAATCTAGAGATAATTTAAAGTATAAAGAAAGATATACATAGGTTATATGCAAATATTATGCCATTTTATATAAGAGTCTTGAGCATCCTACGATTTTGGTATCTGCAGGGAGTCCTGGAACCAATCCCCCAAGGATACCAAGGGACAAACTGTACAAACAAAAGAAGAGCACCAAAACCAAACCAAGGGGGAAAAATGGTGGAAAAAATGTCTAACGTTGAATTCAACTACATTTACTCAGCTACCTATGTGCACCTAGCACCTTCCTATAAAGAAAACCCCTTTCCATCTCTCTCAATACAGTTTTCAGTCTACCATCAGTTAACACAGAATATACTAAAATTGCAATCAAAACAGATAATACAGTCTTAAACTATACGGTTTGTTCTAAGAAAGGACTATTCATGAATACAAGTTTAAAAGCAAGTAGAAAATGTGTTTCTGGAAGTCTGTTTCCCCACTATTAGCCTATTGCTATCTACTTCAGCTGCTGAAAAGCAAGTAAATCTTTGCTTAAGAAAAAGCTCAAAACAATCACTTAGTGTTCCTGGTTAGTTCAGCCTGAAAAACCAAGTAACACCAAATCAACATGACAATCAGTTGTATTTAACAATCCAATTGCAAATCAAGTTAACAGAGCTGATGACTTCTATGAACGTGCACAGGATGGGTGCAGAGATAAAGGCCTACGTACTCTCAACTCAGGTGGGGAGCCAGTCAAGTTACAACTGGAGCCAGAGAGACAGAGCTCCCCGGTAGAAGGTGCACAGATTGCCAGGAAGATGCCCAGTGAGATTACAGGGAATGCAGGAGAAGGAAGGAGAAAAAAAATCAAGGTAAGGAAAGGGAAGCAGACAGAAGTGGTTCCCTTTTTGGGGAGAGGGGTGGTGTGCGGAGGAGGGCTTAAAGATTCGAGAAAACCTACTGACCTGCAATGACCTTATTTATGGCTATAAATATATATAATATATATAAAATATAAAACAGTTGTTTTAACAAGAAAACATTACTGTGACTAGACAACCAGCAAACATCTGTTTCTATTGTAGTTTATGTAAGCCATAAGAGGTCTTTCTCCCTTTCTCCCTTTCCCTCCCTCTGTCCCTCCCTCCTCCCTCCTCTCTCTCTCTCTCTCTCTCTCTCTCTCTCTCTCTCTCTCTCTCTCTCTCTCTCTCTCTCTCTCTCTCTCTCTCGCTCCCTCTCTCTCTCTCTCTCTCTCGCTCCCTCTCTGTTTCTTTCTTTCTTTTTCTTTGGATACAGGGTCTCACTCTGTTTCCCAGGCTGGAGTGCAGTGGCACAATCATAGCTCACTCCAGCCTCCATCTCCTGAGTTCAGGCCATCTCCTGTCTCAGCTACAGAAGGAACTTGGACTACAGGCGTGTGCCACCATACCTCTCTAACTTTTTAAATTTCTTGTCTTACTATGTTGCAAAGGCTGGTCTCAAACTCCTGGGTTCAAGTGATCCATTTGCCTCAATCTCCAAAAGTGCTAGTATTACAGGCATGAGCCACTGCACCTGGCCTAGGAGTGGCTTCTATTTTTTAAATTTAAAATTTTTTTTTTTTTTTTGAGACGGAGTCTCGCTCTGTCGCCCAGGCTGGAGGGCAGTGGCATAATCTCCGCTCACTGCAAGCTCTGCCTCCCGGGTTCACACCATTCTCCTGCCTCAGCCTCCCGAGTAGCTGGGACTACAGCCGCCCGCCACCACGCCCAGCTAATTTCTTTTTTTGTATTTTTGGTAGAGAAGGGGTTTCACCGTGTTAGCCAGGATGGTCTCCATCTCCTGACCTCGTGATCCGCCCACCTCGGCCTCCCAAAGTGCTGGGATTACAGGCATGAGCCACCGCACCCAGCCTATTTATTTATTTTTGAGACAAAGTCTTGCTCTGTCACCCAGGCTGCAATACAGTGGCACTATCTCAGCTCACTGAAACCTCCTCCTCCTGAGTAGCTGGGACCACAGGTGCCCACCACCATGTCCAGCTAATTTTTAAATTTTTTGTAGAGATAAAGTCTCACTATATTTTCCAGGCTGTTTTCAAACTCCTGGCTTCAAGCAATCCTCCTGCCTCAGCTTTCCAAAGTTCTGGGATTATAGTCATGAGCCACTGCACCCAGCTTCCCAAGGGTTTTTTTTAAATCTGTGTTCTATAGTTCGATTTTATTGATAAGTTTGACAAAAGTCTGTCTGCAACATGTGATATTATGAGACAGAGATATACATAGATAAATATATATAGGTTTTCATCCATGGTCCCTGGCTCATAACGCCATAGCCCTTGTTATAATGTTGGGGTGCTTTAGGCCTCAGAAGCAGGTCTCAGAAAACAGAATCTCAGCCAGGTGCAGTGGCTCACACCTGTAATCCCAGCACTTTGGGAGGCCGAGGTGGGCAGATCACTTGAGGTCAGGAGTTTGAGACCAGCCTGGCCAACACGGCGAAACTCGGTCTCTACTAAAAAATACAAAAATTAGCCGGGTATGGTGGCATACACCTGTAACCCCAGCTACTTGGGAGGCTGAGGTAGGAGAATCGCTTGAACCCAGGAGGCAGAGGTTGCAGTGAGCCAAGATCATGCCATTGCACTCCAGCCTGGGCGACAGAGCGGGATTCCATCTCAAACAAACAAACAAACAAACAAACAAATAAATCAATGAAAAAAGAAAACAAATCTCTCTCTCTCTCTCTGACCTTCTGCCCTTTTTTCGCCTGCTCCTTTTTCTCCCCAAGGCAGGCCGTAGAAACTAAAAATATAATCTCATCTCCCCCAACCTTTCTATCTTGGAGCTGGCCATAAAGAAATTCTCTGACCTTCCTTGTCTAATTGAAGGCCACAAGACCTTCATTTCAGAAGGGGTCCTCCCCCATACCCTGGAGGAAGGAAAGCTACACAGAGAGACCAAGAAGAATCTGAACAGACAATCCTTGCTGGATTTTCCCACTCAGTCTATTAATATTAGATCATACCCTTTTTTGTCTAATCACATTTCTACATGGTTGTCTGTACTTTAATCATGACTATCCAATAAAGTCTCCATAAGAGACGGAAGAGGACAGGGTTTGAGGAGCTCCCAGAGAGCTGAACATGTAGAGGCTTAAAGGAAGGTTAATGAGAACTCATTCATGTACCAGGAGGGCAGTGCACCCCAACTCCATGAGGATAGAAGTTCCTCGCCCTGTGTCTCTCTTCATCTGTCTATTTGTATCCTTTAAAATATATTCTGTAATAAATCAGTAAACATGTCACCCTAAGTTCTGTGAGCCACTCTAGCAAAGTAATTGAACCCAAAGACGGGGTCACGGAGAACCCAACTTGAAGCTGGTCCATCAGAAGTTCCAGAGGCCCAGATTTGCAACTGGTAGGAAGGAGGAGGACCGTCTTGTGGGACTGAGCCCTCAAACTGTGCGATCTGACACTCTGTGGGATCTGACACTGTCTCCAGGTAGATAGTGTTGGAATTGAACTGGAGGATACCCAGCTGGTGTCCACTGCAGAACTGATTGCTTACTTGGTGTGTGGGGAGAAACCTCCACACATTTGGTCACCAGAAATCTTCTGTGTTGATTGTTATTGTGGTGTGAGAGCAGAGAAAAAAACAGTTTGTGTGTTGTTTCCACTGACATACTATTAAAATGATATCTAATTATGTTGTTAATTTTTCTTCAGATTTTGCTTCAAAATTTACTTGGATCATTTTTCTTTTACTTAATAATATGCTATTTGTTAAAAATTAGGTATATAAATAAGCTTTGTCTGTACTACACTGGGGGCCCTCAAGGCCAATATTTACTAATTATAGCAATGACTCAAGCACATTTATCTAAACGAATACCATTCTACAAAGTAATCTTCTTAAAAATGAAAGATACAGGCTGGATGTGGTGGCTCATACCTGTAATCCTAACACTTGTAGGTGGATGGACTGCTTGAGCCCAGGAGTTTGAGACCAGCCTAAGCAGCAAAGTGAGACCCTGTCTCTACAAAAAAAAAAAAAAAAAAAAAAAATTAGCCAGGTGTGGTGGCATACACCCGTAGTCCCAGCTACTCAGGAGGCTGAGGTGGGAGGATCACTTCAGCATGGAGGTCATGGGTATGGTGAGCTATGATCGTGCCACTGCACTCCAGCCTGAGTGACAGAGTGAGACCCTGTCTCAAAATAAATAAATAAATTTTTTAAAATAAGTAAAAAATACATTTATTCCAAAGATGATGTCAATATTCCAAGCTTTTCATAATTTATCTTTAGAGAAGAAATATGAAGTTTATGGGACATGGAAAGGAAGAACCAACCTGATTACTTTACAATCATATATATATATATATATATATATATATATATAGACACACACATATATGTATATATATATTTAAATATATTATTTATAAATATTATTTTAAATTATATTTAAATTACATTTAAATTATATTATATTATAATTATATTTAAATTATTATTTAATTATATATTTTATACTATAAAATATATTATATAAAATATATTATTAAAATATATATTATTAAAATATATATTTTATATATTATATAAAATATAGAAAAATATATAACATATAAAATATATTATATATTATAAAATATATTATAAAATATAATTATATTATAATTATTATATTTAATAATTAAATTAAATTAAAATTATATTTAAATTATAAATATAATTTATTTATTTTATATATTATATATTATTATATTATATATTTATATATTTATATTTATATATATTTATAAATAATAATATATTATATTTATATTATATATTTATATATTTATATTTCTATGTATACATAGAAATATATTTATATATTTCTATGTATACATAGAAATATATTTATATATTTCTATTTATATATATTTATATAGAAATATATTTATATAGAAATATTTATATATTTATATAGAAATATATTTCTATATAAATATATTTATATATAGAAATATATTTCTATATAAATATATTTATATATATTTCTATATATTTCTATATATTTATATATTTATATATATATTTATATATATTTATATATATATTTATAAATATACTTTTATATATTTATATATATATTTATAAATATATTTTTATATATTTATATATATATTTATAAATATATTTTTATATATTTATATATATTTATATATTTTTATTTTTATTTTATTTTATTTATATATTTATATTTTTAAATATATTTATATATTTTTATATTTATATTTATAAATATATTTTATATATTTTTATATTTATATTTATAAATATATTTTATATATTTTTATATTTATATTTATAAATATATTTTATATATTTTTATATTTATATTTATAAATATATTTTATATATTTTTATATTTATATTTATAAATATATTTTATATATTTTTATATTTATATTTATAAATATATTTATATATATTTTTATATTTATATATTTATATATATTTATATTTATATTTGTATATATAAAAAACAATAATAGGCCGGGCATGGTGGCTCACGCCTGTACTCCCAGCACTTTGGGAGGCCGAGGTGGGTGGATCACAAGGTCAGGAGTTCGAGACCAGCCTGGCTAACATGGTGAAACCCCGTCTCTACTAAAAATATAAAAAATTAGCCAGGTGTGGTGGCAGGCACCTGTAATCCCAGCTACTCGGGAGGCTGAGGCAGGAGAATGGCGTGAACCCAGGAGGTGAAGGTTGCAGTGAGCCGAGATGGCCCCACTGTGCTCCAGCCTGGGTGATAGAGCAAGACTCCGCCTCAGAAAAAATAAATAAATGAAAATAAAAATAATAATAAAAAATTAACTCTCAAAGGTATGAGACCATGTTTTCCTTAAAAGTTTTCTCCCTCAGCTCCAGCGTTGCCCCAAAGGGGTTCTTATCTCTGATTTCTGGTCCTCTGCTTTTCTTGTTCCTCTCATCATCTACCATAGCCATTCCCCAAGACTGTCAATGGCTCTTTTCTCCTCTTTTTCCAAGCTTCAACTACCAAATTCCTTACTGACAACCCCAAATTTTCCCAGGAATATCATCTCCAGCTGAACATACACCCATCAAGGACCTCAAAAAAATAAATAAATAAAACAAAAAAAAACTTTTCGTGTTCAAAACTGCATCACTGCATAAACAGCTCCTTCTTGTGGCTTTTCCATTTCTTTTAAAACCCACTTCTATTAAAAACCATTATTTAAAAAAATCAAAACCACTACTACACATCTGGTCAACTGTAGTTGACATCTGAGACATTTCTGAATCTGTCCTTTCCCGTCCTCCTCCCACCCAATCATGGGTCAAGGCTCATACCTTGACCCACCATTTCCCTCTTGTCCATCTTCACTGTCTCTAGTCCCTATTACCTCTTATCGGGGCTATTGCAATGGTTTCTGTTATCTTCCCAATCCACTCTAGCCAGCACATCTGCTATGTCGCCCCAGCTGGAGTACAGGGTGAGATATCGGCTCACTGCAACCTCCGCCTCCCAGGTTCAAGTGATTCTCCTGCCTCAGCTCCCAAGTAGCTGGGACTACAGGTGCGTGCCACCACACCCAGCTAATTTTTATATTTTTAGTAGAGACAGGGTTTTGCCACGTTGGCCACACTAGTCTTGAACTCCTGACCTCAGATGATCCACTCACTTCAGCCTCCCAAAGTGCTGGGATTACAGGTGTGAGGCACCGCACCTGGCAAGTAACTTTCTAAAGTGCAATTCTGATCACAACTCATCATTCTCTGAAAACCTGGGGGGCCCCTGGCATACACCTAATTTGTGTGGCAATCAAAGCTTTCTATGCATTAACCCCAATCTATTTCTGTAGCTTTATCACCAGCAATAACTCTCTCTCATACACACACAGGAACACATATGTGTATGTTCTACACTCCAATCAAAGTAAGTTACACAGAAGTCCCCATAAATACCTGATTCATTCCCATCTCTTGCAGTAGATCAGTGTTCCCTAGGGATAACAGCAATCAATAACTATCCATTAAATAAATAAATTAGGCTGGGCGTGGTCGCTCATGCCCATAATCCCAGCACTTTGGGTGACCGAGGCAGGTGGATCACTTGAGGTCAGGAGTTTGAGACCAGCCTGGCCAACATGGTGAAACCCTGTCTCCACTAAAAATACAAAAATTAGCGAGACATGGTGGTGCACATCTGTAGTCCCAGCTACTTGGGAAGCTGAAGCAGAAGAATCTCTTGAACCAGGGAGGTGGAGGTTGCCACTGTACTCAACCCTGGGCAACAGAGCAAGACTCCGTCTCAAAAAACTAAGTAATTAATTAATTAATAGAATGGGCTTAATCTTCCCCCATTCCTACATAATCACATCCTAACTTCCTTCGGAGTTCATTTCAAAGAAGCTTTTTTCATAAAGCAATCACACCAGTGAGAAGAAATCGCTTCTTCCTTTAAAATCTCATGGCTCCATATCTTCTGTCACACTCAGTATCTTTAACCCAATATTTCTGTTTGTTACCTTCACCACCAGACTTTATGTTTTTTAAGGATCAGTAATTGTCTGAGTAATATAATCTCTATCTGGAGAGAGAGAGTGTGCCTTCTTTAATGGTCATTTAGCCTTTTAATTTGCCTACCAAAGTTTAAACTCTTTGAAGGCAAAGATTCATATTTGTTTCTTTTTTCTCTGCCTTTCACCACCATATCCCTTATCTAGTGAATATATCCATTCTCTGTGTCAAAAGTTGTGAAGATAACTCAAAAAGGCAAGTATCAAAAATATTTTAGAATACCCATATAGCTTTCCAAAGCAATACATTTTAACCATCATTTTGGATACATAATTATTAGTCTGCTGTTTAACAAATCAATTATTTGACATTTCCTCCAAGGAGATATTAACTCTTAAGAGCCTAAAAATACTAATCTTCTGACTAAATTAGCATGGTACCTTACACATAGTAGACTTACAGAAGGTTACTGTATGAGTGAATGAATCAATCAACAAATTAAGGCAAAAACTCTACTCCCAGCCAACAGAACACAGAACTAGGGTCAAACACAAAAGGAGACCTAAATAAAAATGTTTAAATATTTTCAATTCTACGAACACTGGCAAGATGAACAGAACTGAACCAATCCCAAAGTCTCATACAGACAAGAGAGAGACAAAATACAATTGCACAGTTGCATTATCAACATACTGTGGGTGAAATCTATGAACTGGGATTTAACATTTCCTGCCAAGACGCTTTTCCTATAAGCAGCCATAAAGACAATTTTGAATAAAGTATCATCAAAGTAATCCAAAAAATCTCATTTATGCCGTCAATTGGAAGAGAAGAAAATGAAGAAACCATTGGCTTTAAAGTGTGAAAATAGGCCAGGCATGGTGGCTCACGCCTATAATCCCAATGCTTTGGGAGGCCAAGGCGGGTGGATCACCTGAGGTCAGGAGTTTGAGATGAGCCCAGCCAACATGGTGAAACCCCATCTCTACTAAAAATACAAAAATTAGCCAGGTGTGGTAGTGGGCACCTGTAATCCCAGCTATTTGGGAGGCTGAGGCAGGAGAATCGCTTGAACCCAGGAAGCAGAGGTTGCAGTGAGCCAAGATCGCACCACTGCACTCCAGCCTGGGTGATAAAGCGACACTCCGTCTCAAAAAAATAAAAAATACAACAGTAATAGTAATAAAGTGTGAAAATAGGATGGGTGCAGTGGCTCGTGCCTGTAATCCCAGCATTTTGAGAGGCTGAGGCAGGCATATAGTCTGAGCTCAGGAATTCAAGACCAGCCTGGGCAAATGGCAAAACTCCATCTCTACATAAGTACAAACATTAGCTGGGCATAGTGGCCTGTGCCTGTAGTCCCATCTACGTGGGAGTCTGAAGTGGGAGGACTGCTTGAGCCCAGGAGGTTGAGGCTGCATTGAGCCATGATCGCGCCACCGCATTCCAGCCTGGGCGACAAAAAGACCTTGTCTCCAAAAAAAGAGAAAAAGAATTATAAAGAGTTGTCTGGACAAGGTGGCTCATATCTGAATACCAGCACTTTAGAAGGCCAAGGCGGGCGGATGTCTTTGAGCTCAGGAGTTCAACACCAGCCTGGACAACATGACAAAACCCTATGTCTACAAAAAAATACAAAAATGAACTGAGCATGGTGGCTCATGCCTGTGAGCCTAGCTACTTGGGAGGTGGAGGCTGGAGGATCGCTTGAGCCAGGAAGTGGAGGTTGCAGTGAGCCAAGATAGTGCAACTGCACTCCAGCCTGGGTGACACAGCAAGACCCTGTCTCTCTCTCTCTCTCTCTCTCTCACACACACACACACACAGAAGTGTGAAAATCTTGGTTCTAGATTAGCTACTACTTACAACTGTGACTTTGGACAAATCACTAAACATATCATTGCAGTTGCTCACACCTGTAATCCTAGCACTTCTGGAGGCCAAGTTGGTTAAATTGCCTGAGCTCAGGAGTTCGAGACCAGCCTGGGCAATACAATGAAACCCCGTCTCTACTAAAACATACACACAAAAAAATTAGTCAGGCATGGCAGCGGGCACCTGTAGTCCCAGCACTTTGCAGGGCCAAGGCGGGCAGATCACGAGGTCAGGAGTTTGAGACCACCCTGGCCAATATGGTGAAACCCCATCTCTACTAAAAATACAAAAATTAGCCAGGCTTGGTGGCACGTGTCTGTAGTCCCAGCTACTCAGAAGGCTGAGGCAGGAGAATCGCTTGAACCCGGGAGGCAGAGGTTGCAGTGAGCCGAGATCACACCACTGCACTCTAGCCTGGGTGACAGAGCGCAACTCCGGCTCAAAAAAAAAAAAAAAAAATTAAGAGGTCATCTGGGAATATCTGGAAAAAAAGAATAAAATTTTCTTCTCCTCTTAAGATCTTTAAAAGAGAAATGATGGTTGAAAGCAAAAAATTTAATATTGTCTGATGGGGATTTCAATGTATGTAGATTAATAAATATGACAATTACAACATAAAGCAGTGAGAGTAAAGGGACCTATATGGTGATAAGTTTTCTACATTCTCCTTAAAGTGGTAAAATATTAACTCTAAGTACACTATGAAAAGTTAGGGATGGATATTCTAACTCCTAGAGCAAGTACTAAAAAAACCTACATGAAGAAATATAGTAAAAAACTCTATTAAAATGAAATATTGGCCAGGCACAGTGGGTCACACTTGTAATCCTAGCACTTCATGAAACCAAGGAGGGCAGATCACCTGAGCTCAGGAGTTCAAGACCAGCCTGGCCAACATGGTGAAACCCCGTTTCTACTAAAAATACAAAAATTAGCTAGGTGTGGTGACGCACACCTGCAATCCCAGCTACTTGGGAGGCTGAGGCACGAGAATCTCTAGAACCTAGGAGACAGACGTTGCAGTGAGCCGAGATCACACCACCGCACTCCAGCCTGGGCAACAGGGCAAGACTGTGTCTCAGAAAAAAAAAAAACAAAAAACTAAAGCATATTCAAATAATCCCAAAGATGGAAGAAAAAGAGAGGAAAAAAAAAAAGCAGAAACCAAATTATAATAAAATGGTAGCCCTAAATCAAACCATATCAATAATTACATTAAATGTAAATGGCCTAAATATACCAATTAAAAGACAGAGATTGTCAGAATGAATAAAAAAAAAGACCCAGCTACATCTATTTATTAAAAACTTACTTTAAATAAAATGGCATAGGTAAGTTAAAAGTAAAAATAAAAGTAAAATGTAGACCTACTCATAACTCCCCCGAACTGGAAATAACACAAATTCTCACAGATGCATGGCTAAAAACTACCATACATCCATGCAATAGAATATTACTTAGCAATTTAAAAAATTATTGGTACACACAACAAAATGGATTAATCTCTAAGGCATTATGCTGGGTAAAAGAAATCAGTTTCAACAGTTACAAACTATATGACTCCATTTACATGGCACTTCGGAAAAGGTAAAACTATAGCAATTAGGAAAGATCAATGGTTGCCGACAGTTGGGGTGGAGGCAGGGCAACATCAGGGAGTTTTTTAGGATGATGGAACTGAGGAAGCCATGGTTGTGGTGATAGTTATATAAATCTATACATATGTTGAAATTTATAGAACTGTACACCAAAAGTCAATTTTACTGTATGTTAATATTTAAAAATGAAGTAAAATAAAAATTACGTGGATGATCTCCATGGACCCTTCCAGACTATGATTCTATCAGTGAGAAAAAGAAAGGAGAGGCAAAAGGAAGACAAGGAGAATGTTAAGTCCTACTGGCATAAAAGCCACTACTCAGAAGAACGGGATTACTGTACAAAAATATACAAAACAAACCCAATCTTCAGAATTTATTCCCAGAAGGGGCTAAGAAAACCGGACATTCGGATCTAAAATATGTATATTTTTAAATGCCTATGAATAGCTTTTCTTGTCTGTTTCTATATTTTTTTACTTTGAAGAAGCTGCCAATTTCTGCTGGCTTAATGCCAATTTCGCTGCTTGGGGTTACTCAATTTACAAGCATCCCTTTATTTATACCCTATACTCTAGGGTCTCCGGCAGTCACAATAACGACTCTGAAAAAGCAGTCGCTTTTGCAGGGTGCCAGAAAGATCAGCGCTCCTCACCCGGAACTAAGGTCCCTGTGGGACACAGTACACCCCGTCCACTAGTTCCAAACTTAAAAGACGCTGGGCGGAAGGTCTTCCCAAGTCAAAAAGCCTCCCAAAGGAGAAGGACCCTGGAGGCCGGGCTTCGGGGCATTTCTGCGTCTCCGGACTGCCCTGTCGCCTCCGGGGCAGCTAGCCGTTTTGAGGACTGTCCTGGTGTGGGGCTGTGGGCTGCAGAAGGTTCTGCCCAGCGACCTTGGGCAAGTCCCTTCCTCTCCTGGAGTAAGAGGAAAATTCTGGGAAGGCTGTGTAAGGGAGCTTCCCATTGCCGCCTCAGAATCCACTTTCTGCCCCCCGCTCTCCAACGCCAAGAAGGAATCACACTTGGCCCTCCAGACTTCACCCCAGCCTTATGCCCGCCACCCTTCCCAGTCCCTGGGAGACCCGCGGGAACTAACACATCCAACCGAGGGCATGGCCCGAAGGCAAGGGGGAGGCAGTAAACACCAAATCCCGGTCTCAGACCCACTCCGCCCCAAGCGGGCCTACCGGGCGCATTCCGACCCGCCCCGCCCTGCGGTCACGGCCCGCCAGGTCCCGCTTCCACCCAAGGGAAGTACAGAGCGCGCCGGGGAGGGTCGGGTGGGGGGCCGGGTCAGGAGGCGCCCACCTTGAGCTGGGACTTGGAGACCTTGCCGCTGTGGTCCTGGTCGAGTGCGGTGAAGGCGTGCCAGATGGCTTTGAGCAGCTCCTCCTTCAAGCTCCCCATGGCCGCGGCCCTGCTGCCCCGCCAACCCCTCCTGCCCAGCCAGCCCCTCCGCGCCTCGGACGCCCCTCAACCTCCGCAGCCACAGCCCGCCGCGCAGTCACCTGACCCGCCAGGCCCCGCCCCCGCCAGGCCCCGCCCTGCTGCCGGCGCCGGTCCAGTGCCGCGCCCACAGCCGCCAGAGTGTGGGTTCTGCGAGTCAAGCCACGCCTGGTGGCAAGAATGCTTGGCCTTCAGTGTCAGCCAGGACGGTAAACACATCTCCCTAATGTTTCCCAGACCAGTTCGGGCCATTTTGGGTGCTCGAGTACAACACCTCACACAAATGACCGCGTCTTGAGGAAAAACCCGAGAGATTAGGTGAGCAGCCTACCCGCCTCCTCCCAGCGCCCCGCAGTGAAAAAGGGATCCCTGGTCCTGTCCTGGGAACGGAGTCACTGTCTGAGAAGGCCAGAGAAGACCCCGAAAAGTCCCCAGACCAGGACTGAAATGATAGCGCAGTCCCAAGTCGGGGAGATGCAGGGCGGCGGGGAGGCAGGAAGGACCTCGAGGGAAGTTTGTTGGTTCATTTCGCAAAAGTTTATTCATGCATACTCTATCTTGGGTTCTAGGGACACAGCGACGACGTTTAAGGGGAGTTTAGAAGTCAGGGTCAGGCAGCATTTTCTTCCTAACGCCTAGCTGTTGTTCAATTCACATCTTAGGAGGGGTTTGACCTGGGTAATACCTCTCTGTAGTGTTTCTCTGCTTGCAGAATAGGAGATCTGGGCCAATTCCAAATCACTCCACCCATTTTACTAATCCAAAGAGATGGACCATTTAAAAGAACGTATTCGGCCAGGCGTGGTGGCTCACGCCTGTAATCCCAGCCCTTTGGGAGGCCAAGGCGGGCGGATCACCTGAGGTCGGGGGTTCGAGACCAGCCTGACCAACATGAAGAAACCCCGTCTCTACTAAAAATACAAAATTAGCCGGGCGTGGTGGCACATGCCTGTAATCTCAGCTACTCGGGAGGCTGAGGCAGGAGAATCGCTTGAACCCGGTAGGCGGAGGTTGCAGTGAACCAAGATCGCGCCATTGCACTCCAGCCTGGGCAACAAGAGTGAAACTCCGTCTCAAAAAAAAAAAAAAAAGTATTCGATTGCAGCTGTTGAATTAATATCTGTTCGCGGTGGTCACAATGGTCACTTGATCTCTTTGGGCTTCAAATTATCCCGTATAAAAAGAGCAGGGTTGCACCAGATGTTCTGGAAGGGTTCTTGCAGTACTAGCATCCTAGGATAATAACTATTGCCGGTTAACTAAGGTCTGATTAAATCGCCAGGCTCAGTACCTCTCCTCTCCAATCCTGGACTAATTGGAGAGAACAATAAACACCAAGAGTTTTTAAAATGAGGTGGTTCTCAGATGAAGTTTGGTTTTGTTTTGCTTTTTTAAGTTCCTTAATGCACATGTTTGCCTTATTAAGAAAGGAAAAGATCTTCATAAGAAAGGGATATTTGGAAAGAGAAGAACAAGAAGGAGCCTCTTCAGTGAGTTTGAGATCAAAAAGGAACTGGTGGGGAAGAGGAGAGGATGGCCCCACTGACGAAAGAAGGGGCAGGAGCAAAAGGGTGGCCAGCCCCTCACTGTGACTGTCCTGAAGGTTCTACCCCATTTCATCACCATTTGTCAGGACTTTTCTTGCCCTACCAGAATCCAATTTCTATCATTTATCTTCCCCATTTCCAGCCCAAGTCTGCCAGTCAGCAAAACCACATGGTTTAACCTCTGATTTATTCATGCGAAGTCAGCTTACCCTGAGTAGCAAAAAAAAAAAAAAAAGAAGAAGAAGAAAAAAGAAACGAAGAAAACCTCCTAATTCTCAAGGTTCAGTTTAACCACTATATGACCCTTCTTCTCTCTCAGTATCTGGAAGTACCAAACATATTTCAAAGCCTTTTTTTTATGACAAGACCAGGACATTGTGGACTTCCAAATTCCTACTTCTCCCATCATCCTCATTCATACAATCCAAACGCATTTTTTTTCTTTTTTTTTCTTTTCTTTTTTTTTTGAGACAGAGTCTCACTCTGTTGCCCAGGCTGGAGTGCAACGGTATGATCTCAGCTCACTGCAACCTCCGCCTCCCGGGTTCAAGCGATTCTCCTGCCTCAACCTCCCAAGTAGCTGGGATTACAGGCGCCAGCCACCACGCCCGGCTAATTTTTTTATTTTTAGTAGAGATGGGGTTTCGCCATGTTGGCCAGGTTGGTCTCAAACTCCCAGCCTCAAGTGAGCTGCCCTCCTTGGCCTCCCAAAGTGCTGGGATTACAGGCGTGAGCCACCATGCCCTTCCTATCCAAACAAATTTTAAAGTAGCATGATGTCATAGAAAGCGCTGTGCTTTTCCTGGGTGCAGTGGCTCCTGCCTGTAATCCCAACACTTTGAGAGACTGGGGTGGGAGGATTGCTTGAGGCCAGGAGTTCAAGACCAGCCTGGGCAATGTAGCAAAACCCCGTCTCCACAAAAAAATTGAAAATAAGAAAGAAAGAAAAGTAAAGAGTTGTGCTTCAGAATCTAACAGATTATATTAATCTAATGCTGTGTAACCAATTAACCCAAAATTTAGCAGCTTAAAACTATAGTAAACATTATTTCATATTTTCTGTAAGTCAGGAATTTAGAAGCCACTTAGCTCTATAGTTCTGGCTTGAAGTGTCTCAGGAGGTTGCAGTAAAATATAGGGCTGTAGTCATTTGAAGGCTAGGCTGATGCTGGAAAATCTATTTCCAAGGTGGTTCACTCACATGGATGGGTCGTTTACAGAAGGCCTCAGTTCCTCTGTATATGGGCCTGTCCTCAGGCTGCTTGAGTATCCTTACAACACGTCAGCTGGCTTTCAATTGATTCAAGAAAGAGAAAGATGGAAGTTGCAATGTCTCTTACGATCCACCATCAAAAGTCATTCACCATCATTTCTGCAATGCTCTACTGATTGCTCAGGTCAAATCTATTTGATTTGGGAGGGAAACTACAAAAGGATATGAGTACCAATGGGCAAGAATCATGGGGGTCATCTTGGAAGATGGCTACCACACAGATGTCGGGAAGAATCCGGGCTTCCCCATTGACTCATCTATGAGTAAATATAAGGCTTCATTTCCTCATATGTAAAATGAGAATGCTAATATTTATTTTGCAACACTTCTTTTTTCTTTTTTTAATTTTTTTTTTTTTTTTTACAGCCCAGAGGTCCTTTATTTTTTTTTTTAACACCTATTATGCCATGAATTCATAGGAAATAGGTTCCAGCAGCTCAGGCTGCTTCCCGTTGGTTCTCACAAAGTGTGCTTCTCTGGGTGGAGCAGGCTGGCGCTTTAGTTGAACCCAGGTACCTTTCTCTTTGGCGTCTTTCTTTTTCTGATCATTTTCCTTCACGTGTTTCAGGAAGCTATCTCGGCTCTTAGAGTGCTTAATGTGCTCAATACGCACCTTAATTCTCTTGGCAAGAATCTTGCCCTTAACTTGTTTGTTTACAACAATGCCAACAGCATGCTGGGTAACATTGTAGACTCTTCCAGTTTTGCCATGGTAACACTTGTGGGGCATTCCTTTTTGAGCAGTACCCATTCCCTTGATGTCTACAATATCAGCTTTCTTATAGATTCGCATATATGTGGCCAAAGGAACAACTCCATGTTTTCTAAAAGGCCTAGAGAACATATATCGGGTGCCTCTCCTCTTTCCCTTTGTGTTCGTCATTTTGGCGAATTACTGGAAGATGGCGGTTCCGGCCGAAAGGAAACTTTTTTTTTTTTTTTTTGAGACGAAGTCTTGCTGTCACCCAGGCTGGAGCGCAGTGGCTTGATCTTGGCTCACTGCAATCTCTGGCACCTGGGTTTAAGCAATTCTCCTGCCTCAGCCTCTGAAATAGCTGGGATTACAAGCGCGTGCCACCATGCCCAGCTAATTTTTGTATATTTAGTAGAGATGGGGTTTCAGCATCTTGGCCAGGCTGGTCTTGAACTCCTGACCTCGTGATCCACCCTGCCTCGGCCTCTCAAAGTGCTGGGATTACAGGCGTCAGCCACCGCACCCGGCCTCTTTTTTTAATTTTTATTTTTTTGATGAGGTCTTTCCAGATGAGATCTATTTTGCAAGACTGGTATGAAGTTTAAATGAGAGGGTAGTATGTATAAGACACAGCATCAGCATCATGGTATCTGACAGTCACTGATGTTTGTACTGTGTCAATTAGGTAAGTTGAAATCTAGTTCCTCAAATGTCCGTTCCCAATGTGGATCCAGGATAGGATTCACTACAGAAGAATTTCGTGTAAGTTTGGAAGGAGCAGGTAAGATTTATGTAAGATTTGGAAGCAGCAGCCCTTGTGTTCTGAAGGTTGATGTAAATATCACATGCCGCTGCAGATCATAGAGTGGTTACTGATCTGCTAACATACTTTGTTGGTACAGAGCATTAACTGGCCCACAGCTCCTTCAACTCCCACCAAATTTTCTATTTCAGTGTCTCCAAGCCTTGGCGCAAGGCACGTGTAGTTCCATGGTAAAGGCATTAGCTTATGCTACATATCGCATGCTCGTCAATGTGAAAGATAGCTGTGAGTTCCATTTTGTCTTCGTGGGTTCCAGTTTGTCCTGTGGATTCTAGTTTGTCCTCACTCTCCCTCAATGCAATCCAACTTTTCTTCCTGATTGCTAGCCCTGATGACCTATCATAAACTTCAGGCCCATTGCTGGATGCAGAGGGAACAGCCTTCCATGTACTCATTCGTCAGCTTTCCTTTGTGATCTCTGGTTAGTGACTTTTCTGATTGTCCAGCCATCTCCTTTCAGACCTTTTCTTCCCTAGCTTCTCCTGCAACTGTATTGTATCCAATTCTCAGAATAAAGCCTGTATTCCATAGTGGTGGCCACTTCCCTGATCAGCCCATAACTGATAATAAAACTGGTGAAGTTAGACACTGCAACAATGAAAAGCATGTGTTGGCCGGGCGCGGTGGCTCACGCCTGTAATCCCAGCACTTTGGGAGGCTGAGGCAGGTGGATCACGAGGTCAGGAGATCAAGACCATCCTGGCTAACATGGTGAAACACTGTCTCTACTAAATATACAAAAAATTAGCCGGGTGTGGTGGCGGGCGCCTGTAGTCCCAGCTACTCGGGAGGCTGAGGCAGGAGAATGGCGTGAACCTGAGAGGCGGAGCTTGCCGTGAGCGGAGATCGCACCACTGCACTCCAGCCTGGGTGACAGAGCGAGACTCTGTCTCAAAAAAAAAAAAGAAAGAAAAACATGTGTCATCGGCTTTGGACAGGGGTGGGCGGAAGCCAAAAGGACCTCAAGAGAAGTCTTGAAGGACAGTGAGGGAATTGCTATTGAAGGTCGGTGCTTTGAGTTGACTTGTGTCCCCACCAAAATTCATATTGAAATTCTAACTCCCAGTACCTCAGAATGTGATCTTATTTGCTCTTGTTTTTGGGTTTTTTTAGCGACAGGATCTCAGTCACCCAGGCGGGGGTAGAGTGGTACAATCATAGCTCGCTGTAACCTTGAACTCCTGTGCTCAAGTGATCCTCCTGCCTCCGCCTCCCAAGTACATAGGATTATAGGCACATACCACCATGCCCAGCTAATTTTTTTACTTTTTTTGTAGAGACAGGGTCTTGGCTATGTTGTCCACACTGGTCTCAAACTCCTGGCCTCAAAGGATCCTCCCACTTCAGCCTTCCCAAGCACTGGGATTACAGGCATGAGCCACTGCACCCAGCCAGAATGTAATCATATTTGAAGATAGGGTCTTTATAGAGGTAGTTCACTTAAAATGATGTCATTAGGTTGGGTCCTAATCCATTATGACTGGCGTCCAAATTTTGGACACAAACATGCACACAGAAAGAACACCATGCCAGCCTGAAGACAGAGATCAGAGTGATGGATCTACAAGCCAAAGAATGCCAGACATTGCTGCCAGCAAGCAAACCACGAGAATCTAGGAGAGAAACATGGGACAGATTATTGCTCACAGCTCTTAGGCAGGATCAACCCAACCAACACCTTGATCTTGGACATCTAGTCCAGAACTGTGAGATTGCCAGGGGCAGTGGTTCATGCCTGTAATCCCAGCACTTTGGGAGGCCAAGGCAGGTGGGTCACTTGAGGCCAGGAGTTCAAGACCAGCCTGGCCAACATGGCAAAACCCTGTCTCTACTAAAATACAAAAAATTAGCTGGGTATGGTGTCACGTGCCTGTAATCCCAGCTACTTGGGAGGCTAAGCCACGAGAATCGCTTGAACCTGGCAGGCAGAGGTTGCAGTGAGCTGAGATTGAGCCACTGCACCCCAGCCTGGGTAACAGAGTGAGACTCTGTGTCAAACAAACAAACACACACAAAAAAACGGAACTGTGACATGATAAATTTCTGTAGTCTAAGTCACCGGTTCTGTTGTTTAAATCACCCTGTTTGTGGTACCTTGTTATGGCACCCTTAGCAAACTAATACAGTTGGATAAAACGTGACTCCTGTCATATAGTGGCAGAAAGTTTGGCAGCACCGTTGACTGAGGTAATGTAAAAAACAGAAAGAGTAGTGAGTATGTGGTGTGCACCTATAGACCCAGCTACTCAGGAGGCTGAGGCAGGAGGATCATATGAGCACAGGAGTTCAAGGCCAGCCTGCGCCACATAGTGAGACACATCTCAACAAAAAAAAAAGGAAAGAAAGGGTATCTCATGAAAATTAGAAAGCGCAGTTAATGATCTTGTATCTCATGGATTTGGCTAGGGAAGTTTGCAGTCAGAGTGTTGAAATTGCCAAGTGGAGTCTTCTATTTGTTTAAGACAAAATACAAGAAAGTTGAACTAAGGAATTGTTTAATTTTAAAGCAGCACTTAGAATATTAAAAAGTCAAGACTTGCTAGGTCAAAAATAAACCTGTTTCTAACCTCTATTATCTCCCAAGAAAAAGACTTTCACAGTAAGAGATGACCTAATAGCAAAGATTAAATTCAATACACTTCAAGTAAAGTGTGGCCTCTGGGTAAAAATAACCTTGAGGGGCTGGGCATGGTGGCTCACATCTGTAATCCTAGCACTTTGGGAAGCCAAGCCAGGAGAACCACTTGAGGTCAGGAGTTCAAGACCAGCCTGGGCAACACAGTGAGACCTGGTTGCTATAAAAATAAAAGTAAACAATAATAATCTCAAGGGCTTTTTTCAGCTCAGGAAACAGCTGTAAGATTGAAGGGCATGCTTCATAGACATTCCCAATTAGATAAAAAGGCTTCAGGAATTTTAAGAGCATTATCTCAGAGTACCTTGATTGTAAGTCCAAGGAAGAGAGAAAACAGCCTTTAAAGACTTTAGGGGGCCAGACGTGGTGGCTCAGGCCTATAATCCCAACACTTTCGAAGGCTGAGGTGGATGGATCACTTGAGTCCAGGAGTTTAAGACCAGCCTGGCCAACATAGCGAGAACCCCAGTTCTACAAAAGAAATTTTTTCTTACTAGCTGGGCATGGTGGCATGCACCTGTAGTCCCAGCTATTCTGGAGGCTGAGGTGAGAAGATTGCTTGAGCCTAGGAGGTCAAGGCTGCAGTTAGCTACATCATGCCACTGCACTCCAGCCTGGGTGACAGAGCAAGACCCTGTCTCTTAAAAGACTTTAGAGTGTGGCTTTTGTCTAATAGAGTGAACCTCAATGCTATTAATAGAAAACTCACAATGTTTTTCAGAGAATTATATTGGTAGAAGCACCATGAACTTGAACTGAAAAGAACAGATAGTTCAAAATGAAAAGAGACCTTATGGCACCCAACTTTATATAGAGAGGAAGCAGGCTGAAAAGGCAACTTATTTGCAAACACAGGTTATTTTTTATGGAAAAGGAAGCAAAGCTAAATGCAGAACCAAGAGTCCAAAGGGAAGAGCCAAGAATCACAGAGAAAAACTCCCTTGGAGCAGGACTAGGCCTTAGTCAAGGAACTAGAAATATGTGCCTGGATGGATTTCAGAATTGCTATGAGCCAGTAACTGCTTATGTGCCTCTCATTCTTCCTCCCTCCACCTTTTCCTTTTTCTTTTTCTTTTTCTTTTTTTTTTTTTTTTTTTGAGACAGAGTCTCACTTTGTGCCCCTAGGCTGGAGTGCAGTGGCATGATCTTGGCTCACTGCAACCTCCGCCCCCTAGGTTCAAGCGATTCTCCTCCCTCAGCCACCCAAATAGCTGGGACTACAGGCCCACGCCACCATGCCCAGCTAATTTTTTGTATTTTTAGTAGAGACAGGGTTTCACCGTGTTGCCAGGCTGGTCTTGAACTCCTGAGATCAGGCAATCCACCCACCTCAGCCTCCCAAAGTGCAAGGATTATAGGCGTGAGCTATCATGCCTGGCCCTTCCACCTTTTTCTTTTTTCTTTTTCTTTTTTTTTTTTTTTTGATAGGGAGTCTCACTCTGTCACCTATGCTGGAGTGCAATGGCACGATCTCGGCTCACTGCAACCTCCACCTCCCAGGTTCAAGAGATTCTCCTGTCTCAGCCTCCCGAATAGCTGGGATTACAGGCACACGCCATCACGCCTGGCTAATTTTTTGTATTTTAGTAGATACGGGATTTCACCGTGTTGCCCAGGCTGGTCTTGAACTCCTGACCTCAGGCAATCCGCCTGCCTCAGCCTCCCAAAGTGCTAGGATTACAGGTGTGAGCCACTGAACCCGGCCCTTCCTTCACCTTTTTCAATGGGAGTATTTGCTATAATTTTGCTGTCTTTATATCACCATTACATGTTGTTCAGTGTGCAAAATAGAGTTAACCATAGCAAGCCTGACTACTTATCCTTAGAAGGGCCTGCTTAGGCCAGGCATGGTGTTTCATGACTGTAACCGCAGCACTTTGAAGGCCAGGACAGAAGATCACTTGAGCCCAAGAGTTTGAGACCACCTGGGCAACATAATGAGACCTCATCTCTACAAATAAAAAAAAATTAGCTGAGCATGGTGGTGCATAACTATGGTCCCAGCTACTCAGGAGGCTGAGATGGGAGGATCTCATGAGCCCAGGAGGTCAAGGCTCCAGTGAGCTGTGATTGCACCGCTGCACTCCAGCCTGGGTGAAATGAGATCCTACCTCAAAAAAAGTAAAAGTAAAAAACTAGCCAGGCATGGTGGTGCATGCCTGTAGCCCCAGCTACTTAAGAGGCTGAGGCAGGGGTATCACTTGAGCCCAGAAGTTTGAGGCTACAGTGAGCCATGATTGCACCACTGCACTCCAGCCTGAGCAATAGAGCAAGAACCAGTCTCTAAAAAAGAAAAAAGACAGAAAGGTCTGCTTCCAAGGTTAGCCTTTTGTTTTCTTTTGTTTTGTTTTGTTTTGTTTTGTTTTGTTTTTTGAGATGAATCTCGCTCTGTTGCCCAGGCTGGAGTGCTCTGTCACCCAGGCTGGAGTGCAGTGATGCGATCTCAGCTCACTGCAAGCTCTGCCTCCCGGGTTCAAGTGATTCTCCCACTTCAGCCTCCCGATTAGCTGGGACTACAGGTGCATACCACCACGCCCAGTTAATGTTTACATTTTTTGTAGAGACAGGGTTTTGCCATGTTGCCTGGGCTGGTCTTGAACTCCTGAGCTCAAGTGATCCACCCACGTCGACCTCCCAAAGTGCTGCGATTACAGGTGAGAGCCACCATGCCTGGCCACTTTGCTCTGTGTCTTCTTGTTGCAGTAAATCTTAGCCATGAATATGACTATTTGCTGAGTCCTGTGAGTCTTTGTAGCGAATCATTCAACCTTGGGTGGGGGACCCCTAACACAGGCAAGAGACACAAATAACTTGTCTCTAGTTTGTGGCTCTTCTGATCAAGAGAAGATTGCAAACAAGGAGCCTCATTCACACCTGACCCTAATTTATATGAGATCCTGGACTTCAAGCCAATACCATGAAAGGGACATGAATTGTGGTAGCCTGTGCTGTTCATTCTATTCCTTCCTATAGACACACGTCAAGGAAGTCTAATTCCCCTCCTCTGGAATATGGGTAAACTTCCTGACTTGTTTGAGCAATAGAATGTGGCAGAACAGGGACTTCTAAAGCTAGGTTGTAAAAAACCGTATAACTTTTCACCTGGATTTCTTGGAATTTTCACTCTTGGGTTGCTCCCTCTTGGAAACTTCCTTCCATACTGTAAGAAGCTAAAGCCACATGGAAAGGCTGCATGGAGAGAGAGAATAATGCTGGCCAACCCCCAGCTGTTTCAGCCACACAAGCCCACAAATAAGATATGTTAGGAAAGGAGGAAAGGAGCTACCTGGGACATTCTAGACCCAGTAGACGCTACATGGAGCAAAACCGAAGCCCCAGACATATGACAATGTCATATGTTCTTGCCATCTCCAGCCATTTGAGCCAACCCAGCTGAGACCTCCAACACTGGGAAGCAAAGACAAGCCATTCCTGCTCTGCCCTGCCCAAACTCCAACCCTCTGGATCATGAGTACAATAAAATAGTAGGGCCGGGCGCCGTGGCTCACGCCTGTAATCCCAACACTTTGGGAGGCCGAGGCAGGTGGATCACAAGGTCAGGAGTTCAAGACCAGCCTGGCCAAGATGGTGAAACCCTGTCTTTACTAAAAATACAAAAATTAGCTGGGAGTGGTGGCAGGCACCTGTAATCCCAGCTACTTGGGAGGCTGAGGCAGAGAATTCCTTGAACCTGGGAGGCGGTGATTGCAGCGACCCGAGATTACGTCACTGCACTCCAGCCTGGGAGACAGAGCGAGATTCCATCTCAAAAACAAAAACAAAAAAACAGTAGTTGTTTTATGGCACTAAGTTTTGGAAAGGATGGTTATGTAACATTAGATAACCAAGCAGCAGTAACACGATAATGTCCCCAAGAAAATGTTTCCTTCTCCTGTCCACCAGAGAAGATTCTGTCTTGGCCTATTCAGATTCTTCCCCTCCCCTGCTTTCCAAGGAGGGTCCTGCCTTGCCAGACCAGCTTTTTGTTTTGTTTTGTTTTGTTTTGTTTTGTTTTGTTTCAGTGGAGAATTAAGAAGAAAGGAAGAAGGAAAGAGGACCACATTGCAGAGTTTTTTGCAGGGAAGGGACAGTCGTTGAAAAAAAAAAAAAGCGCTGCTACAGTATGTGAAAACATTGGATGGGAAAGGGATGAAGGGGGAATTCTAAGAAGTCTCATGGGAAACTAAATGTTTCTATAGTGTTCAAAATGTACAAATAAAGTATGCGGAATATTTTTAAATTTGTTCTGGCTGCATGGACTGTGTTCTTTTATTTAGGGCTAGCTCAGTCATGGCTGACACTTAGTCATTGCTTTCTAAGAGTTATCCTGCTAAGTGCTACACAGGAAAAGTAGGGGTTGATATGAGAGGATACACTGGTGAACTTGCTGGTCTGTTGGGATCAGGGAAGGCTTCAAATGAGAAAATGTCAATGAGTCTGGATCCTGATGGATGAGTTGCAGTTAACTGGGCAAAAAAAATGGGGGAAGAGCCTTCCAGACAGAAGGATCAGCCTGAAAGGAGAATGGTTTAGTCAAGAAACCCAAGTGAAGGCCAGCAGGTCTAGAGTGTGGTGAACACTGGGAAGAGTGCTGAGATGAGAGAAGGGAATTGGTTGGTATCTGAGTCTATTAAGCCAGGAGCAACAGGCCTGTCAGTTAGTTCAGTAGAGCTCTTATCTTCCCCACAAATACCCTGAAATACCCTGTAATCAGTGGACACTATCTGGCAACAGGAAGCAGAAATGTTGAATGTCTGTGACTAAAGTTGGCAGATGTGATAGTGGTATCCAGCCCCTGGCCACTGGGTCCCCCTGGTCACTGGGTTCAGCAGTAGCTGATAGCATCTTCATTACTGCCATTTCTTGAGGAGGAAAGGTCATTTCTGGTTCCACAGTAAGTCTCATAAGCTAGCCCCAGGATTTAACCAGAGCCTGAGGAAGTTAGGCCTGTCTCATGTCTTCAGAGTCAGGTGAGATTGCAGGCTCCTCAACTGGCAAAAACAACACCCCTCTCTGCCTCACAGGGTTATTATGAAGAATGAATAAAATAATAACAGCTGTGAAAGCATGGCATAATCATGATAGCCTATCCAAATGGGAGGGGTGAGAGTGACAAACAGGAAAAAGGAGAATAATAATAATAGAGTTCTGATGCCAAAGAGGACAAAGGCCTCTGATGCCTTGGGGTTGGGTGGTTTGCTCAAGGTACAAAAGCAGCAAAATATGATCTTTTAATGATAAGAACTGGGTGACAGGACTAACTTTGAAAGACTTCTCAGACATTACAAACTGGAGTTTCAGCTGAGCCCAGCATTCTATGAAAAATCCCAATTTAGTGATAATTCCACTGGGACCAAGGCCAGATCTACTGCTGCATTGAAGGCATGAAAATCCATATCAGCCTGACCCACCGAGGACAGAGGTAAGAGTACAGTCAGGAGAAGCTTACTACATGTGGCATTTGAGACTTGAGAATTAAAGTTCACAGATAGCTATAGAGGGGAAGGAATGACATTCCAGAAACAGGTAGCTGCATGTGCAGACGTATGGGAGCAAAAACAAAACAAAACAGGCCGGGTGCGGTGGCTCATGCCTGTAATCCCAGCATTTTGGGAGGCCGAGGCAGGGGGATCACGAGGTCAGAAGTTTGAGACCAGCCTGACCAACATAGTGAAACCCCGTCTCTAATAAAAATAAAAAATTAGCCAGGCGTGGTGGCGTATGCCTGTAATCCCAGCTACTCAAGAGGCTGAGGCAGGAGAATCGCTTGAACCCAGGAGGCGGAGGTTGCAGTGAGCTGAGATCATGCCACTGCACTCCAGCCTGGGCAACAGAGCGAGACTCCGTCTCAAAAAACAAAACAACAACAAAAAAGTATGTGAGAGATGAAGGAGAAAAAGGACTGCGGAATGTTGTAGAATGGTATTTTGGCCAATATTCTTTGGTCTTTGCAGTCACAAAGGTGGTAAAAGACAGGATTTTTTAAGGAGAAACTGAATCAAAAAGCCAGGCAAACCCACAGCCAACATCATACTCAATAGTCTAAAACTGTAAGTTTTTCTTCTAAGGTCAGAAACAAGGTAAGGATGCCCACTCCCACCACTTCTATTCAACACAGTACTGGAAGTCCTAGCCAGAGCAATTAGGCAAAGAAAAAAAAAAACATTCTAATTGGAAAGGAAGAAATGAAATTATCTCTGTTCACAGATGATATGATCTTATATGTAGAAAACCCCAAGATTCCACCGCTCAAAATGTTTAGAACTAGTGAATGAATTCAGCAAAGTTGCAGGATACAAAATCAACACTCAAAAATCAGCTGTATTTCTTATACACTAACAATGAACGATCCAAAAAGAAAATTACAAAAACAATTTCATTTACAGGAGCATCAAAAAGAATAAAATGGCCAAGCACAGTAATCTCAACACTTTGGGCAACTGAGGCAGAAGGATCACTTTAGGCCAGGAGTTCAAGACTAGCCTGAGCAACATAGTGAGACCCCCATTTCAAAAAAAAGTAGAAATTTTTAAGATATATATTTTAAAAAGAGTAAAATACTTAATAAGTAACTTAACCAGGAAGGTAAAAGACTTGTACAATGAAAACTACAAAACATTGCTGAAGGAAATTAAAGAAAACACAAATAGGCCAGGCACAGTGGCTCACACCTGTAATCCCAGCACTTCGGGAGGCAGAAGCGGGCAGATCACCTGAGGTCGGGAGTTCGAAACCAGCCTGACCAACATGGAGAAACCCCGTCTCTACTAAAAATACAAAATTAGCCGGGTGCGGTGGTGCATGCCTGTAATCCCAGCTACTCAAGAGGCTGAGACAGGAGAATTGCTTGAACCCAGGAGGCAGAGGTTGTGGTGAGCCAAGATTGTGCCATTGCACTCCAGCCTGGGCAACAAGAGCAAAACTCTGTCTCAAAAAAAAAAAAGAAAAGAAAAAAGAAAACGCAAATAAATGGAAAGTTATCCCACGTTCATTGATTAGAAGACTTAATTTTGTTACGATGTCAATACTACCCAAAGCAATCTACAGATTCAATGCAATCTCTATCAAAATCCCAGTGACATTTTTTGCAGAAATAGAAAAAAAAAAATCCTATGCCAGGCACGGTGACTCAAGCCTGTAATCCCAGCACTTTGGGAGGCTGAGGTGGGAGGATCACCTGAGGTCAGGAGTTCAAGACCAGCTTGGCCAACGTGGTGAAACCCCATCTCCACTAAAAATACAAAAATTAGCTGGGTGTGGTGACATGTGCCTGTAATCCCAGCTACTCAGGAGGCTGAGGTGGGAGAATTGCTTGAACCTGGGAGGTGTTCAAGCCGAGATCGCACCCTTGCACTCCAGCCTGGGTGACAAGAGCAAAACTCCCTCTTTTTGAGAGGAAAAAAATCCTAAAATTCATATGGAATCTCAAGGGACACCAAATAGCCAAAACAATCTTGAAAAAGAAGAATAAAGCTGGAGGCCTCACATTTCCTGATTTCAAAACTACTACAAAACTACAGTAACCAAAACAGTTTGGTACTGGCATAAAGACAGGCATATAGACCAACGGCATAGAATAAAGAGCCAAGAAAGAAACCTTAGCGTATATCATCAAGTGGTGTTTGACAAGGGTGCCAAGCCCCTTCAAAGGGGAAAGGACAATCTTTTCAACAAATAATACTGAAAAAACTGGATATCCACAGGCAAAATAATGAAGCTGGATTCTTGCCTAACATAATATAAAAAACTTAACTTAAAATAGATCAAAGACCCAAAGGTAAGACCTAAAACTCTTAGCAGAAAACATAGGACAAATTTTCACATTAAATTTGGCAATGGGTTCTTGGCTTTGACACCAAAGACACAGGCAACAAAAGAAAAAATAAACAAATTGGACTTCATGAAAGTTTTTAAATTTTGTGCATCAAAAGACAATCTCAACAGGGCAAAAAGACAACCCACAGAATGGGCAAAAATATTTGCAAGGCATGTATTGCCTAAGAGTTTAATATTTAGAATATATAAAGAACTTCTCAATCTCAACAACAACAACAAAAAACTCAAATTTTAAGTAGGCAAAGGATTTGAATATTCAAAGAAGGTATGCAAAAAAACTAATGCTTAACATTGCTAATGTTGATTAGATGCTCAACCTTATTATTAGGGAAATGAAAGTCAAACTACAATGAGCTGTCACTTCACACCCATTAAGATACCTACTATCAAAAAAAAGGAAAGAGCGAGTGTTGGCAAGGATGTGGAGAAATTGGAAACCTTGTGCACTGACAGTAGGAATGTAAAATGATATAGTCATTGTGGAAAACAATATGATGGTTCCTCAAAATGTTAAAAATAGGATTACCACATGATCCTGCCATTCCACTTCTGGATCTTACCCAAAAGAATTGAAAATAGGGTCTCAGAGATAGTTGTGTATCCATTTCATAACAGCATTATTCAAAATAGCTAAAAAGGAAAAGCAACCTATGTCCAAGGATGAATGAATGAATAAGCAAAATGTGGCATATACATACAATGAAATATTCTTCAGCTTTAAAAAGGAAGGAAATAGTGATACATGCTGCATGGATGAAGGCTGAGGACATTATGCTAAATGAAATAAGCCAGTCGCAAAAAGACCAACGTTATATGATTCCACTTATATGAGGTACTTAACAGAGTAGTCTAAATCATAGACACAGAAGTACAATGGTGGTTGCCGGGGAATGTGGGGAGAGGAGAATGGGGAGCTGTTGTTTAGTGGGTATAGATTTAGTTTTACAAGACGAAAAGAGTTACGAATGGTGATGATGGTTGCACAATGTTATGAATGTATTTAATATTACCAATTGTATACTTAAAAATAGTTAAGACGGTAAATTTTATGTTACGTGTATTTTACCACAATAAAAAAATTAGAAAAAAAGGCCAAGTCGAGTAGTGAAATCTCAGGACAAGACAGAGAGGAGGGGAATCTGGCATAAACCTAGAGGTGGAGAAATCAGGGAGAACAGGCCAAGTCATGGATCCAAACCCAAGGGCAAGAGGCAGAGCCTGAAGAAATGCCTGAGATTTTCTCATGGTTCCTATGGTCAAAGGCAAGAGTGCAGCCCAAGGACTTGTGGGTAATGCCCAGCTCAGGTGTAACATACATGTACAGTTGATGCTTGAACAACACAGGTTTAAACTGTGTGGGTCCACTTAAATGCAGATTTTCTTCTGCCTCTGCCACTCAGAGACAGTAGGATTAATCCCTCATCTTCCCCCTCCTCAGCCTACTCATCATGAAGAAGTTTATGATGATCCACTTCCACTTAATAAATATTAATATGTTTTCTCTTCCTTATGATTTTCTTAATATTTTATTTCTATAGCTTTATTGTAAGAATACAGTATATAATAAATATAACATACAAAATATGTGTTAATCAACTGTTTATGTTTATTAACTGTTATTCTATTCCATTAGTCTATATGTCTGTCTTTACGCCAGTGCCATACTGTTTTGATTACTATAGCATTGTAGTGCTTTTGAAACCAGGAAGTGTGAGGCCTCCAGCTTTTTTCTTCCTTTTCTGGTCAATAGGAGGCTATTAGTAGTCAAGTTTTGGGGAAGTCAAAAGTTATAAGAGAATTTTCAACTACGTGGGGTGGGGATACGGGTCAGCTAAAATTAAGGAGTGGCTTAAAGAGGAGCCCATGAAAAAAAGACTAAGAAAATGCAGCTACAGCAGTGAGCAGTGACTCATGCTTGTAATGCCAACACTTGTGGAGGCCAAGGCAGGAGGATCACTTGAGGCCAGGAGTTTGAGACCAGCCTGTGCAACATGGTGAGACTCCGTCTCTAAAAAATTACTTTAAAAATTAGCCAGGTGTGGTAGCACTTGCCTGTAGTCCTAGCTACTCAGGAGGTCAAGGTGGAAGGGTCTTTTGAGCCCAAGAGTTCGAGGTTGTAGTGAGCTGTGATTGTACTACCACACTCCAGCCTAGGTGACAGAGCAAGACCCTGTATCAAAAAAAAAAAAAGAAACACAGAGAGAAAGAGAAAAGGGGAGGGAAGGAGGGAGGGAGGGAGGGAGGAAGGGAGGGAGGCAGGGAGGGAGGGAGGGAGGGACGGAGGACGGAAGGAAGGAGCACCACCAGAGGGGTCCAAAATCTCCCCTCCACTCTCTCCATCAAAATCTTCTCCTAAGTGTGGGAAACCAATCTAAATTAAAGCAATTTATATTCAGGAGTGAATGACCAATGCTCCAGCCATCATGGGTATTAACCTACAAGTGTAAATTAATCTCCACTGGATGAAATTTTAGCCTACTTGAACTGGGAGTGGCAAAGAACCCTTCAATTATGGCTACTGTAGCCATTGACTTCAGCTTGTGGGAGAGAAGCAGAGGAGACAGTTAGAAGCAGAGGAGACAGTTGGAAGCAGCTCTGAAGCTCCTCTGAAGTCCTAATTCTGGGATACTCACGTGTTTCCTCTTTCCTAACATCTTCTTCTAATGAGAACATCTACGGTTTGAATCTGATGCAAACCTCTAACTGACAGCTACGTATCCATAGAGTTTCTGGGCAAATATTGGCATCCAAGTAGGACAGGGCAAATACTGGTTTCCAAGGTCCAGTTCAGCCTCAGGCTGAATATCCACCTGTCCTGTGCCCAATTATTGACTCAATAAGGACAGAACAACTCAGGCCTCTGACTCCACACAAGAAACTAATAGGAGAGAGTAGTAGAGAAGAGGTCATCACTCGCCATTCATCCTCTCCCTCTGGGAAAGCATAGAACATCTTTTCCTCCATTCTTCACTCCCTTCCTTTTTTCTCCATGCCTTCCTTTCCTCTTTCCTTTCTTCCTTCCACAAATATGTATTCAGCATCTTCTCTGTATCAGGTATTATGCCAGGCACTGGAGATCCAATAGTGGACATGCATGCACAGCCCTTTCCCTCGTGGACTCATGGTTTGGTGCAGTCCTGTCCCTTCTGATGACTTGAGGAGGCCATGCCATGTAGGTGCTGCTGAGTTACCACTCAGAACCATACAGCAGGCCTTCAGAGCAGCTTCCTCCTCCTTCCCATGTTTCCAGTCCCCCCTTATCTAATCTTTATTAATAGTGTCATTCAAAGGTTTTACCAGCCAGGAAAGGAAGGATTGAGTCTGCAGGGTCAGCTTTTTTTTTTTTTTTTTAATGGCATCTGATTTACACACCATTTTGTAACACATTATCAGACTCTCTTTTTACCTGGTTATTAAGTGACCATGAAGGTTGTTCAGTTTTTCCTGTTCTTGGTATAATTCCTGCTTTTTTACATAACTCTTTGGCTTACTCACAAGTTCCCTGAATACACTCTTCCCTCATTAGCAGAGAAAAATATATTTTATATGCAAAATAAACTTAACAGAAGAAATACAATAGGCCAGGCGCAGTGATTCAAGCCTGTAATCCTAGCACTTTGGGAGGCTGAGGCAAGCAGATCACTTGAGGCCAGGAGTTTGAGACCAGCCTGGCCAACATGGCAAAACCACGTCTCTACCAAAAATTTAAAAAAAAATTAGCCGGGGGTGGTGGTGCGCACCTGTAATCCCTGCTATTCAGGAGGCTGAGGCACGAGAATCACTTGAACCCAGGAGGCAGAGGTGGCAGTGAGCCAAGTTCGCACCACTGCACTCCAGCTTGGGAGACAGAGCAAGACTCTGTCTCAAAAAAACAAACAACAACAACAACAACAACAAAAAAATACAAGAAATAAAACAATTCGATAATGAGTTAGAGGGACATTGTTTCCAGGGGATACAACTGAAGAATATTTTTCTTTTTAAGACCATAGGTTTTTATTAAAATGTTTGATTTTTATCCAACTCTATCTTATTCTAAAATAGAAACTTCAGTAATGTTCTCTACCACATACTTCCTTAATTTTTAACCTGTCACCAAATTTATTATTGTAACCTCTTCTTTTTTATAATCTTCATTTGAATAATATATTACCATTCAGAACTCTCTTCATTGATGCAAATTTGTTTGCATTCATTTGTAGTCTAAACTAAATTTAGTGCTCAACTGTAAGATTTTCCAGTTAGCTCTGCACATGTATACTTTGGCTATTTATAAATAACCTGTACTATGCTTCAAATTTAATCCTTTTATGGAAGAATCGAAGTATGAGATAAACAAACAGTTTAGTATTTTAATCAAATAAAACCTGATAACAAAGCAAACCTGATATATATTTATGAGTTGTTTTTCTGTTATGTATCTACAGAAAAGTCTGCATACATTATGTAATTACACACCTGAAGATAGTATGTCAAGGGTTAGATGGCTGAAGAGATGAGGAAAGATTGGAAACACGGGAAGGAGAAGGAAGCTGCTCTGAAGGCTTGCTGTATCATTCTGAGTGGTAACTCAGCAGCACCCACATGGCATGGCCTCCTCAAGTCATCAGCAGAAGGGACAGGACTACACCAAGCCATGAGTCCACGAGGGAAAGGGCCGTGCATGCATGTCCACTGTTGGATCTCCAGGGCCTGGCACTCCAATATCTGATACACAGAAGTTGCTCAATACATATTTGTGGAAGGAAGAAAAGAAAGTGGAATGGAAGACAGGCATGAATGAAGTAAGGAAGGGAGTGAATGTCTAATATATAAGGCATGTAAATATTTCCAATCATTCCAAACATCTAGGTTAATGTATAACAAAGACACTATAATCAATTATATAATACTAACCAAGCAAAATTTTAAAAATACAGAGACTGGGTGCTGGGGCTCATACCTGTAAGCCCAGCACTTTGGGAGGCCTAGGCAGGAGGATCACTTGAGGCTAGGAGTTAGAGACCAGCTTGGACAACATAGAGAGACCCTGTCTCTACCAAAGATTAAAATAAACATATTAGCCAGGCATGGTGGTGCTTGCTTTTAGTCCCAGCTATTGGGGAGGCTGAGGTGGGAGGAGTTCTTGAGCCCAGGAGTTCCAGGCTACAGTGGGCTATGATCACACCACTGCACTCCAGCCTGGCCAACAGAGCAAAATCTTGTCTCTAAAAAAAATGTTTAAATACATAATTTCAGGAAATCCCCTATGAAGAGTATAGACATGGCAAGTGCCATTGACAACAAGTAAAGTTTAATGATTAAAAGGTGCCCAGCCTCCACATAGTGTATGATTCTATTCACGTGAACTGTCCAGAAAAGGCAAATTCAAAGGGACAGAAAGTAGACTGGTGGTTGCCCACGGCCAGGAGGAGGGGGGAATTGCAGCGTGACTGTTTAAGGGGTTTCTTACTGGTGTGATGGAAATGTTGTAAAACTGATTGTGGTGATGGTTGCATAACTCTGAGTATACTAAAAACCATTGAATTTTAAACTTTAAACAGGTGAATTGTATGGTATGTAAATTAATTTATACAATTCTGTTGTTAAAAGGATGTAAGAGGCACCCTAATGCGTGCTGACTAAGGTTTAGAAGGTGCCACCAAGTCCCCTGCTCCAGCCAAGAATCAATCTCAAACAAATAAGATAAATAACCTACAACCTTGGCCGGTATGAAATACTCTTATTTGAATTTGGGGTCTAGTAATATTACTGTAACCCTAGAAAAATACCAAAATAAATATTACTTATAAGAATAAGTGTAGAGGCAATAAAAATAAATTAAATCCATGATTTTAATGTTTTAAAATTAGAGTTAAGTGTAGTTTTAGCCTTTGTGATCATTTTATTTTCATGTTTCTCTCTGTGGTTTGATGTGTTAGGATGTTTGCAGGGTTTAAGAGATCAGTCTTATTGAATCTATTATTGTAATTTAGATTCTTTAAGGGAATTTAAATTAAGTTTATGTAGTGATCCTTATGATAGACTCCCAACATTCATTCCACTCTGAGATGATTAGTGAAAGCCAACTGGCAATCCCATTCTCGCCAGTGGTTCATTTAGGAACAGGTGTGTTACACAGTTCTGGCCAATGAGGTTTCAGGAAAAGTCCACTGTGAGGCTTCTAGGAGAGGTTTCCACAGTCCCCCAAAAAAGGAAATAGTAAGAATCCCACTTCCTCCTCTGAACTGTGTCTGGATATGACATTGGCACTGCACCAGCCACATTGCTAGCTGAGGATGATACAAATACACTGAGAAGGGCAGCAATGAGAGAATCACAGGAAATGGAGCCCAAGCCCAGACATATTGTGCTCGAGTCCACCCTACCTCCTGATTTCATGTTATGGGAGATAATAAATTTCCTTTCAACCTAGGCAACAAATTGAGACCCCATCTCTAAAAAAAAAAAAAATCAAAAAAAAAATCAAAAAATTAGCCAGGCATGGTGACATGCACCTGTGGTCCCAGCTACATGAAAAGCTGAGGCAGGAGGAACACTTGAGCCCAGGAGGCTGAGGCTGCACTGAGCCTTGATTGTACCACCGCACTCCAACCTGAGTGATACAGTGAGACCCTATCTCAAAAAAAAAAAAAAAAAAAAATCCTTATTGCTTAAGCCATTTTGAGTCAAGCTTTTCTATTATTTTCACCCAAAAGAAATATAGTTTGTAATTAGGATTTAAATGTAAAAACGTAGCTTAGAATTTTTTACTTCCGGCCAGGCTCAGTGGCTCACACCTGTGATCCCAGCACTTTGGGAGGCCAAGGCAGGCAGATCACCCGAGGTCAGGAGTTCAAAACCAGCCTGGCCAACTTGGTGAAACCCCGTCTCTACTAAAAACATAAAAATTAGCCTGGTGTGGTAGCGTGTGTCTGTAATCTCAGGAGGCTGGGGCAGGAGAATCACTTGAACCCAGGAGGTGAAGGTTGCAGTGAGCCGAGATTATGCCACTGTACTCCATCCTGGGTGACAGAGCTAGACTCTGTCTCAAAAGAAAAAAGAAAGAAAGAAATTCTTATGTCCTAATTTTGTTTACTAGGCATATAAATTTGATAAAGTGAACATCAATTATACTAGAAGTTGTAGAGGGTATTCCTTTGCCCACACAGAAGCCCCTTGGACTATAAAGAACCTAGAAACACTAAAAAGAGACAAATTTCAAAAAGAGATTCATCAGGCCAGGCACGGCGGCTCACACCTGTAATCCCAGCACTTTGGGAGGCCGAGGAGGGTGAATCACTTGAGGTCAGGAGTTCAAGACCAGCCTGGCCAACATGGTGAAACCCCGTCTCTACTGAAAATACAAAAATTAACCGGGCATGGTGGCACACGCCTGTAATCCCAGCTACTTGGGAGGCTGAGACGGGAGAATCGCTGGAACCCAGGACGGGGAGGTTGCAGTGAGCCAAGATTGTGCCATTGCACTCCAGCCCGGGCAACAGAGTGAGACTCCAGCTCAAAAAAAAGGGGGGGTGGGGATTCATCCCCTCACTCCTCATATGAGGACCAAGAGGTAACATGAGAAATGTTTTCAACTGTAGTGAAATATCTTTCATGTCGGGCATTAAATGTAAACTTGGGGAAGACACGTCTGCAGGAATTGCAAACACTGATCTGCTAGTATCATTTCTCATAGAGGAGGTGAGAGCAGAGAACACAATGAAACAGATCACTGGCAGCTGTGCTCTCTATCAATGACCAAAGGGGACTTCATAGGCCAAGAGTCCAAAATTCAAATGGCTTCAGAGCCCAGGCAAGTTCCATAGATGGATGAAACTGACCAGAGTGAGGCAGTAGGAAATGGTGGCCCCACCTAAAGACAGCATCTTCACTCCGATCCAGGTGATGTTACTATGAGGAAATGGAGCTTCAGTATCTCCAGAGCTTCCATTTTTCAAGAAAAGCCAGAAACCTGGATCATGTGAATCTATCAGTTTTTAGATTTTGGCAAACAATTCAACTTAAAAAGCAAAAGTAAAACACCATTGGACTAAACAAAAGACATCTATAGGCTGTCTGTGGTCCACAGGGTACCCTCTCAGCCCATAGACTTACAACAGGGTCAGAGTGGACATGTGTGAAGTTGAGAGGTCTGCCCTTGCTTTCAGGCAGGGCAAACATTTCCCTCAACAGAAGCTTCTTAGACACTTGGATTCTGGGCCACATAGCTGAAAAGATGTGGTTCATTCTAACAGCCCACTAAGAAGGATTAGTTGCAAAATGCACCTGAGTAGCTGAATGAAATAACCTGTTGCCTGGGGCCACTTAGTGGCATCTGCTTAAATGTTGACGATTGACCCACAATTTTCATTTCAATCCTTGCCAGAGCCAAGCTGTACATCCAATCAATGATTTGCTGCCAAGGTGATCAGTCCCACTAAACTCCTTTGCTGTGTTTATAGACACAGTCATTCACCTGCAATTGAAAACTAAAGAGAGAAGGATCGAGATTCCTAGAGCTGGAGTCTTGTCACACCTCTTTGGAGCTCCCCAGCACAGCGTAGCACAGTCCCTGCCTGCAGTGGCCACACAACAAATATTTACTGGTTTCTTGAAAATAAGAGTAAACCCAAGGCAAGTGAATGCCTAACTCATAGAAAAATCTGCTCATTTTCATGGGCCTGTTTGTGTGTATGTGTTTTGTTTGCTGTTTGTTTGTTTGTTTATTTTGAGACAGAGTCTTGCTCTGTCGCCCAGGCTGGAGTGTAATGGCACGATCTTGGCTCACTGCAACCTCCGCCTCCTGGGTTCAAGCGATTCTCCTGCCTCAGCCTCCCAAGTAGCTGGGATTACAGGTGCACACCACCACGCCCAGCTAATTTTTTTTTTTTTTGTACTTTTAGTAGAGATGGGGTTTCACCATGTTGGCCAGGCTGGTCTTGAACTCCTGACCTCAAGTGATCTCCCCACCTCAGCCTCCCAAAGTGATGGGATTACAGGTGTGAGCCACCACGCCTGGCCTGGGTGTTATTTTAAAAATAAGTGTGCTATGACATACTGTAGCAGGAGGAACGTAGGTTAGATATTAAGAACTATTTCCTAACTACACAGATTGTGAAATATTAGAGCAGACTACAAATGAGGAAGTGGCAGCTCCATCTACGCAGGACTTTTCTGCATAGGGTAAATGCCTGGTATCTTGGTCAGATGTTATCACTGGTAAGGCGGGAAGGTGGTATTTATGCAATGTGTGTGCTCCTGCCTGTCTTCACTTTTAGTAAGAGCCACCATTTACAAAGGATCAACCTGCTCAGTGTCTTACATCCCTTATCTCATCAAGCCCCCACAGAAACCCAGTAAGAGAAATTATCCCCATTTTACAGTTGAAGAAATGGAATAATTTGCTCAAGTTCACCCTGTTAACAAATGGAAGAGCCAGAATTAGGACACACATCTGTTTGGCTTCAGGATGGGCGTGGTGGTTCATGCCTATAATACTAGCACTTTGGAAGGCCAACGTGGTGATCACTTGAGGCTAGGAGTTTGAGACCAGCCTGGCCAACATGACAAAACCCCATCTCTACTAAAAATACAAAAATCATCAGGGCATGGTGAGACGTGCCTGTAATCCCAGCTACTCCAGAGGCTGAGGCATAAGAATTGCTTGAACCTGGGAGGCGGAGGTTGCAGTGAGCTGAGATGGTGCCACTGCACTCCAGCCTGGGTGACAGAGCAAGACTCTGTCTCAAAAAACAAAACAAAAACACACACAGCTGTTTGGCTTCAAAATCCAGGCTCCTTCCATCAGGCCATACTGCCTAAGGTCCCTGGGAAGAGCACCTGTGATTGCATGTCGGGAAGAGAGACAAAAAGGCAGTTAGGCAGGGGGAGCATTACCCAAAGAAGAAGTTCTCAGAGCACTGTTGAGGCCCAGACAGGAAGCTAGGGTCAGGAAGCGAGATAAGATGCCAGCTGGGGAAGAGACAGAGGCACCAAGGGGAAGCAAGGTCAGAACCTGGAAGTCAAGGGACATCTTTCCAGAAGTGAGTTGGGAGTGACTTGGACCATCCAGGAAGGGAAGATGTGGTACAGGGAGTTCCTTTTAAGCAACACCCAGCTCATGCTGCAGAGCCTGCCAAGCGCTGGCCGAGTGCTGCTGACCCGCCCAGCTCAGAGTTTCCTTTGGTGACCCTTGGCCTGCCAACAATGTCCTTGGACTGTTCTCATTCCCACTTCCTACCCATCAGCAATTGTCTTTGGTCTACGAGAGCTGAAACCCTGTTTCTAACAAAGACTATAATTTAATTATGTGCGTATGAACTTCCTCAGATACCTGCAATCATGGAACTTTCCTTCTGTAAAGCATGGCCCTGTTGTTTCTGCCCTGGTAAGGCCCAAGTTCCTAGAATAGCATCATTGCTGCAACATAAGATGAGGCAGGTTGAAAACTAGTGGGTCAGTATATTATAAGTTAAGCCACATTACCTTTTCTACTTAATGCTTGTGGCTGAAAAGAATTAATGTCTCCATTGCAAAATCAGCCAAAAAGTAGCTCCAGCTAATTCTGGGACTGGGGCCACATGTAGACTATTTCAATAGGTGATCTGGGTCCTTCATTCCCTCTTTGCCTTTCTGGCCAGGCATGGTGGCTCATGCCTGTAATCCCAGCACTTTGGGAGGCTGAGGTGGGTAGATTACCTGAGGTCAGGAGTTCGAGACCAGCCAGACCAACATGGTGAAACCCCGTATCTACTAAAAATACAAAAATTAGCTGGGTGTGGTGGTGAGCACGTGTAATCCCAACTACTTGGGAGGCTGAGGCAGGAGAATCACATGAACCTAGGAGATGGAGGTTGCAGTGAGCTGAGATCCCGCCATTGCACTCTAGCCTGGGCGACAGAGTGAGACTCCATCTCAAAAAAAAAAAAAAGAAAGAAAGAAAAAAGGTTTTTTTGGTTTTCCAAACTCCTGTGATCCTCAGGAGCTCCAGACTCCGTGTTCAGATAGGAAATCGAAGGACATGAACACAACACAGACATGAGGGAGAACACCTGGGCTGGGCTCCCAGATGTTTGACTAGAACTGATCACCAATTCCTTTCATTAAACTCAAAACTTCCTGGACGCTTAGGCCTCCTGGACCAGGAGGGAGCCCCAAACCTGCCCTGCAGGTCAGCGCCTTCGGGAAGTTACTTCATTCAGTCTGCACTTTCCTGAAGCCCACACCATTTAACGAGGGCAGTAAGAGCAAAATAAACCAGAAATTTAATAAATAAACAGAAAATAAACAAACCAAGACTTTTCTTTCTCTGGATGGCCTTAGGTTGGCCAGGTGAACAAATCAATGCAAGGACACATCTTCCTGAAATTATTTATCTCACCCCACCCACTATGAAAAAGGCCAGAGCTTATTTAGCTATGATTCCAGGGAAAGGTTCAAGTTCTTGAAAGCCTTTTGAGATTTTGGCCTAGGGATTAACAGAACTCTGGGCGCAATGCTTTGGATTTCAGACTAATCAAGTTATTCCACAATCATCTATTGGGTACCTTATATTTTCTGGGTGCTGAGTTGAAATGGTGGAATCCTCTAGAGATTACTAGAACACAGACCGTGCTCTCCAGCTGCTCAGGGTGGAGTAGGGAAGATTAAACTATGAAGTGGGTAACTCTGGCTAGAAGGAAAAAAGTGCTAAGTGCCACAGAGAAACATAACCAAATAATAATAATCATTTATGTTTGAACAGGACTTCTTTTTTGTTTTTTTGAGATAGGGTCTCTCTCTGTCACCATGCTGGAGTGCAATGGCACCACCATAGCTCACTACAACCTCGAACTCCTGGGCTCAAGCAATCCTCCCACCTCAGCCTCCTGAGTAGCTAGGACTATAGGCACATGTCACCACACCTGGCTAATTTGGTTTTTGTTTTGTTTTGTTTTTTGGTAGAGACAGGGTCTTGACACGTTGCCCAGGCTGGTCTCGAACTCCTGGCCTCAAGCAATCTCCCTGCCTTGACCTCCCAAAGTGCTGGTATAACCACGCCTAGCCTGATCAGGACTTTCGAAGTCAGTTTCCTCATATTGTCTCACTTGATCCCCAGCACAACTATGGTGGAGCTCTGCAGTTATTCTCATCTAGCATCCTTTCACCATGCTGGAAATGCACCCTAACTTCTCATTGCAGAAACTCCACCCACCCACACTCATCCCATGTGTTGCTGCCAGGGATGCACCCCAGGGTCTGAGGTAGAACAAGTCCCCTGGGCCCTAGGCAATCCAAGCATCAAATTCTCCTGGCCATAGTGACCACCTCAGGGATGGGCACATGACCCAATGAGAGTCCGTGATAACTTTGTTGTGACTTGAGAAAGATGTTCTCAAGCTAGTCAGCTGGACTTGAAGCAGAAAGATTGGGTTCTAAGAGTGCTGCCAGCCATCAGGCTACTCTTTGAACCTGGGCATAAAGGTGACAGAGCAAAAGGCAGCTCTTAGAGAAGATAGTCAGACTCCTGCTGATAGCATTTGAGCTTTGAGTCCACCCCATGCCTGAAGCCATCTCTACCCCTGGACTTTTCACCTATATAAACCAATCTATGCCCTCTTCAGGATGGATTTTCCTTCACTCAAAACCAAAATGGTCATAAAAGTGACTTTAATTCTGTGAGGGAAATATTTCCATCTGTTTTAGATAATAACTGAAGCTGAGATAGGTAAAAAGAGGCAGCTAAGGAGTAACAGAGCCAGGTCCTGAGCCCCTAAGTCCTGATATCAATTCACAGCTTGAGTCCTTTACACTGCAGTGGACTTCTTCAATCGCAGAAATACAGAGGAAGCACACAAAACTTTAAGCTGAGAAGATTAGTCAGGCTTCATAGCAGCACCCATTGAGCTGGACTTTGAAAGACGTGTTGGATTTGGCCTGCAGTAATGCCAAAAGTGTATGGTTAGTTACTTGGGAGGCTGTGGCAGGAGGATTGTGTGAGCCCAGGAGTTTGAGGCTGCAGTGAGTTAGGATCATGCCACTGCACTCCTGACTGGGTGACAGAACGAGACCCAGTCACCTGGGGAAAAAAAAGTACCTGGGTAAAGAGCGCATCATACGCAAAGACATAGGGCCAGGTGTGGTGGCTCACGCCTGTAATCCCAGCACTTTGGGAGGCCGAGGCAGGCGAAACACGAGGTCAGGAGTCCGAGACCAGCCTGGCAAACGTGGTGAAACCCCGTCTCTACTAAAAAAAATACAAAAAATTAGCCAGGCGTGGTGGCACGCGCCTACAGTCCCAGCTACTTGGGAGGCTGAGGCAGAAGAATCACTTGAACTCTGGAGGCGGAGGTTGCAGTGAGCCGAGATCGCCCCACTGCACTCCAGCCTGGGCAACAGCGAGACTCCATCTCAAAACAAACAAACAGAAAAGAGCACATTATATGCAAGGACATGGATATGAGAAAGCTCAGAGGTACACAGAAAATAACAAGCACCTTTGGTTTCTCTAAAGCATTGGGTAGATAAGAGAGGAAAGTAGGAAACTGAGTTAGAAACATACTTGGGGCAGAAAGTTTGGAGGACTTGAACTTTATCCTGAAGGCCAGAAATTCTCAGACCCCACTGTATTAAAGATTGGCTGCAAGTGACTGATACTCAATTTTGGCTAGCTTAGTTGCCCTATATCTTGGGGATGAGGCTATTGACCCAGTAAAGAGAATTCGAAAGAACCCACTCAGGAAAAAAAGTCAAATTCTTGGCTTTTAGTTCCAAAATAGTGTCTTCTTTTCTTTTTCTTTTCTTTTTTTAACACAGGGTCTTGCTCTGTCACCCAGGCTAGAGTACAGTGACATGATTACAGCTCACTACAGCGTCTACCTCCAGGGCTCAAGCGATCTTCCCACCTCAGCCTCCTGAGTAGCTGGGACTGCAGGTATATGCCACCACATCCAACTTTTGTATTTTATTGGTAGAGACAGGGTTTTGCCATGTTGCCCAGGCTAGCCTTGAACTCCTGGGCTCAAGCAATCTACCCGCCTTGGCCTCCCAAAGTGCTGGGATTACAGACATGAGCTACCACTCCCAGCCCAAAATAGTGTCTCAAAATCAGACAAGCTGACTGAACTGAGGCAGGAATCATCTCTCACACAAATAGAAATGCTGAGTAATTTTTAGAGACATATATGATAGCCAAACTAAGAAAAAAAGAGAGAAGGCCCAGGTGCAGTGGCTCGTGCCTGTAAGCCCAACACTTTGGGAAGCTAAGGTGCGCGGATTACTTGAGCCAGGAGTTCGAGACCAGCCTGGGCAAAATGGTGAAACCTCGTCTCTACAAAAAAATAAAAAATTAGCTGGGAGTCGTGGCACATACCTGTAATCCCAGCTAACCAGAGGCTGATGTAGGAGAATTGATTGGGCCCAGGAGACTGAGGCTGCAGTGAGCCGAGATTGCACCACTGCACTCCAGCTGGGCAACCAAGCGAGACACTATCTCAAAATAAAACAGAGAAAGGGAGAGAGAGAAGATCCAAATAAATAGAATCAGCAATGAAAAAGGAGACATTACAATTGATACTGCAGAAATTCGGAGGATCATTGGTGGCTACTATGAACAACTATATGCCAGTAAATTGGAAAATCTAGAAGAAATGGAAAAATTCCTAGACACATACAACCTACCAAGATTAAACCAGGAAGAAATCCAAACCCTGAACAGAACAATAACGAGTAACAAGATCAAAGCAGTAATGAAAAATCTTCCAGTAAAAGACAGCCTGGGACCCAATGGCATCACTGCTGAATTCTACCAAACATTTAAAGAAATAATACCAATCCTACTCAAACTATTCCGAAAAAATAGAGGAGAAGAGAATACTGTCAAACTCATTCTACAATGCCAGTATCACCCTGATACCAAAGCCAGACAAAGGCACATTAAAAAAAGAAAATTACAGGCCAATATCTCTGATGAATATTAATGCAAAAATCCTCAACAAAATCATAGCAAACTGAATTCAGCAATAGATTAGAAAGATCATTCATCATGACCAAGTGGGATTTATCCATGGGATGCAAAGATGGTTCAACATGTGCAAATCAATCAATGTGATACATCATATCAACAGAATGAAGGATTAGAACCATATGATCATTTCAAGCAATACTGAAAAAACATTTGATAAAATTCAACATCCCTTCACGATAAAATCCCTAAAGATATATCTGAGATTGAAAGTAAGAAAGAGACATTCCCAGGTGCCACAAATCAAAAGGGAACCCAAAGCTACCACAGTAAAGAGAATCTGAAGCTAAGACAGAATAGGTCTTGGCATGGCAGCAGGAAATGAGGCCTTGAGCCCTGACGAGATCTGAAGTTGGAATAAAGATTTTATTTGCTCCCCACAGGAGAAAAGAAAAACTCTACTTACCAATTTGGGGAAGGAACAAGAAAGCTTGCCATTGGCCTAGACCACAGGGAGGAAAAGAATCAGCTATGAAAAACAGGAACCTCAAGTCTGTTTCTACACCAATGGGACATGAACCCACATAATCTAGCAGGTGCAGGCCATAGATACTGAGCAAAATACGAATAAAGTCATGTCCAGCCAGTGTGATAGCTTTGGAAAACATCAAATATAAGAACCTAATATCATAAAAATAACCAGTAGAAAAAGACAGACTACTTACAGAAGAATAACAAACCACTGCAAGCTACTCTTCAACAATAGATGCCCAAAGACAAAGAAATAGCTTTTAAATTACTGATGGAAAATAATTGTCAAACTGAAATTCTACCCAGCTAAACTAGCATTAAAGAAGGAGAGGCAAATACAGATAATTTCCAACATACAAACCACCCAGTTTCTTCCTGAAATAATGATTAAAAATATTTGTCAGCACAAAGAAAATTGAACCCCAAATACCTGAAGTAATAGCACAAATAGGTATTCATACGGATAAGTCTAAGTAAGTATTGGCTTCTTAAAAAAAGAAGACCAACTCAAAGTGGCTGGTTAAAAATAAGATAGATCTGGAAAACCCAAAATAATCAAATAAATAGTTATTATAAATAATAAGAAAAATAGATGAGAAACTTTAATAAAAATAACTACAGGGAAATTATTAGTCTCCAAATATATCAAAAATAAGCAGCTGAAAGATAAAATGGAAGCAAACACCGTTTACAATAGCAACAAAGACAATAAAATACCTGAGAATAAACATAGCAAAAATGTGCAAAAAAGAAAACTTTCCATCTCTACTGGAGGACACGAAAGAGTAACTGAATAATTAGAAAGGCACACCATGTTCTTGATAGGAATACACACTTCATAAAGACTGATCAATCTGGCCAATTTAGTCCATCAATTAAACATCATCCTATTAAAAACACCAATAAATTTTTTGAGGCAGATAAGCTGATTTTAAAGTTCATATGAAAGAAATAAACAAGCAGAAATAGCCAGAAAATTTCCGATGAAGAAGAAAAAAAAAAAAAAAAGGAGAAACAAGCCCTACCAAATAGCAAAATATAGAGCTATAATTATTTTAAAAAGAGAGTATTTGTGCATTAATAAATGTATCAGTGAACAGAATAAAAAGTCTAGAAAAAACTCAAGTATATACAGGAATTTAATATGTGCTAATGGTGGCATTTCAAAACAGGATATGATTGATTATTCAATAAGTAATTTTGGATAACTGAGTAGTGATCTGAAACATAATAAAGTTGGATTTCAATCCAACTTATTCTAATCCATATCTTATATTAAGTTACTTCTATAATTTAGCAAAAAATTTAGTGAAAAAAATGGCCCATAAAAATGCTAAAAGAAAACATGGAAAAAAATTTTTTAAATAATTTTAGAGTTTCAGAGTAGTTTCTTCTAAGCACAACACAAAACTCAGAAGATATTTTTAAAATTTGATACATTCAATTACATGAAAATAAAAGCATTTCTACATGGCAATTAAAAAAACTATAGGCTGGGCACGGTGGCTCATGCCTGTAATCCCAGCACTTTGGGAGACCAAAATAAGAGGATTGCTTGAGCCCAGGAGTTGGAGACCAACCAGGGCAACATAGCAAGACCCCATCTCTATTTTTTTTTTATTTAAAAATTTAAATAAAAGTAAAATGCTTTAAACCTATAAGACAAAGTTTAATAATTGGGGAAATGATTTGCAAATCATGTAATAGATAAAGAGCTCATTTTTTTTTGATATGCAAAGTGCTCTTGCAAATCAGTAGAAAAATACCGGCCCAGGGACAGTGGCTCACGCCTGTAATCCCAGCACTTTTGGAGGCCAAGGCAAGCAGACCATTTGAGGTCAGAATTTTGTGACCAGCCTGGCCAACATGGTGAAAACCCGTCTCTACTAAAAATACAAAAATTAGCTGTTGTGGTGGCAGGCACCTGTAGTCCCAGCTACTCAGGTGTCTGAGGCAGGAGAATCGCTTGAACCCAGGAGGCAGAGGTTGCAGTGAGCCAAGATTGCGCCACTGCACTCCAGCCTGGGTGACAGAGCAAGACTCAGTCTCAAAAAGAAAAAACAAAACAAACAAACAACAACAGAAAGCAACAACAAACAGAAAAAGAAAAGAAAAATACCAACAGTTAAAAAGAAAAAAAAGACAAAGCTGTAGACAGATCATAAAAAGGAAATACAGGCCGGGTGCAGTGGCTCATGCCTGTAATCCCAGCACTTTGGGAGGCTGAGGCGGGTGAATCACCTGAGATCAGGAGTTCAAGACCAGCCTGGCCAACATGGCGAAACCTCGTCTCTACTAAAAATACAAAAATTAGTCGGGTGTGGTGGCACGTGCCTGTAATCCCAGCTACTCGGGAGGCTGAGGAAGGGGAATTGCTTAAACCCAGGAGGCAAAGGTTGCAGTAAGCTGAGATCATGCCACTGCACCCCAGCTTGGGCAACAAAGTGAGATTCTGTCTCAAAGAAAAAAAAAAAAAGGAAATACAACTGGATCCTAAAAACAAAAAATATAGTTACCCTAAGACATGTCTTATCCCCAGTCAGAACATCAAGCTCATGGTTCTGCTTTTCAATTCTGACTCCAACCCTGACAAGGCCAAACAAGTTGAACTGATGAGAGACTATTGCATTAAGTATCCTAAAGCTGACATGCAGATTTTGCCTGCGTCTGAAGAGTTTTCAAGAGCTCCAGCCCTGGAAGTAGGATCTTCCCAGTTTAATAATGAATCTTTGCTCTTCTCCGGTGATGTCCTCGTGTTTACTACAGAATTCCTTTAGTGATGTCAAGCAAATACAGTTCTGCACCAACAAATACCTTTTCCAATCATCTTCAGCTAGTGTGACCCAAAGATTGTTTATAATGGGAAAGTTCCAAAAACAAAAACAAAACAACTTTTTTTTTTCCAAGACAGAGTCTCACTTTTGTCGCCCAGGCTGGAGTGTAGTGGCGTGATCTCAGCTCGCTGCAACCTCCATCTGCCGGGTTTAAGCGATTCTCCTGCCTCAGCCTCCAGAGTAGCTGGGATTACAGGTGTGCACCACCACACCCAGCTAATTTTTGTATTTTTAGTAGAGACAGGGTTTCACCATCTTGGCCAGGCTGGTCTCGAACTCCTGACTTCGTGATCTGCCTTCCTCAGCCTCCCAAAATGCTGGGACTACAGGTGTGAGCCACCATGCCAAGCCAAAAACAATTGTTTTTTTTTTTTTTTTGAGATGGAGTTTCACTCTGTCTCCCAGGCTGGAGTGCAATGGTGCGATCTCGGCTTACTGCAACCTCTGCCTCCCGGGTTCAAGCAATTCTCCTGCCTCAGCCTCCCAAGTAGCTGGGATTACAGGTGCCCGCCAGCATGTCTGGCTAATTTTTTGTATTTTTAGTAGAAACAGGGTTTTGCCATGTTGGCCAGGCTGGTCTTGAACTCCTGACCTCAGGTGATCTACCCACCTCGGCCTCCCAAAGTGCTGGGATTAGAGGCGTGAGCCACCGCACTCAGCAAGGTCTGCCATTTCTTGAGTACCTGTTACTTATTATTATTCATGTCTATCAGGAGTATGTTTAGTATGTTTTATTTGCAGTAAATCGATCTCCAACGATTTCCTTTGAAAATGCTTTTTCCCCTCCTTAACTTTTACATTGCTTCCGTTTTACTAAATATTAAGTGTTCTTTGACAATTTTGGTGCTCACGTCTTTTGGAAACAAAAGTGAAGTGAATCTGTCATTATACCAGAAAGTTTGCTTGTTGTCTCAGATCAAATGTGCCTGAATAAATTTTTTTTTCATTTAGATTTCAAACAGTGATAGACTTGCATTTGAATATACATCATTGGAGATCTGCTTATTTGTAAATAGCCTGTTGCTCATTTGGAAAAATAAACCAGTGAACAATATATTCCTATTGTACTTTTCAGAACCATTTTGTGTCATTATTCCTGTTGTAGCTGAACAATTGTATTACACTTGGAGAGTAAAAGACTTGAACACAAAAAAAAATAATAATGGCTCCCAATTTATAAATGATATTACCATGTGTTGGGAAAGACTGAAAGAGGAGGAAGTTTGGAGGAAGAAATCAAGAGTTTTATTTTGAACATGTTAAGTTTAAGATATTTATTAAACATGCAACTGGAATTGTGAAGTTTGTATGTAGACTGAGTCTGGAACTCAGATAGGATATTTAATCTGGAGATAAAAATTTGGGAGTTATCAGAATATAAACAGTATTTAAAACTATGGGATTGAGGATCTCGTCAAGGGAAGGGTATAGATAGAGGTGTAGAATTTCCATATTAGTTTTTCAGTTTTTTAATTTTTTATTTTTAAAAGCTTTTTGGAGAGACAGGGCCTCACTATGTTGCCTATTCTGCTCTTGAACTCCTGGCCTCAAGTGATCCTCCCGCCTTGGCCTCTAGAGGTGCTGGGATTAGAAGTGTGAGCCACTGCGCTGGCCAGAACTTCTACATGTGGAATTCAAGGAGAGGAGGAGGAGCTGTAAAGGACAACGAGAATGAGTTTCAGGAGAGTGTGCGGTCAAGCAGAGAGTGACGTTTTAAGAACAGTGTGGTCAGTTATATCAAAAGCTGACAATACACCAAGTAAGATTAAGACAAAGAAACGTCCATTGGATCTGGCATCCTAAAGATCACCAGTGACCTTAACCGTGGTGGTTTCTGTAGGGGGGTAGGGGACAGAAACCAAGTATGAGGTGGTTGAAGTCAACACAAGGAAGTGAGCTTGTCTCCAAAACCCCCTTTGCTTCAAACACCCAGGCATGATATTTAAAATATAAAAATGATTTTTTCCAAAAAGACACAGTTGCACTCTTATATATCTCCATGATATGTAATCCAAGATATATATATATCTTATGTATCTCCATGAACCAGAAATAGAATGGAAACACGTTAAGCTAAGTATTTCCTTAGGCTGAAGTCTCAAGCTTGTGGGGCTCTAAGTCTGGAAGTTGGACACTAGCAGCTGGATGGGGGTTTAGCAGGGGAGTAGGGGGCTAAAGCACTCCCCACAAGGTGGGAGACGGAGGCTTCCAGCTTGATACCAGAGGCTGAAGTGAGCTCCATCGCTTGTGAAAAGAAGATGAAGATAATAGCAGTTAACCTATGGACTGAGACTTTATTAGAGACTAGAGAGATGAGGAGCAAAGAGAACACCTCATTACCAGAAATTGTCAAGCTGTCTGCTGGACCCATAACTAATATCTAGGGATATTAGTTATCCCTAATATGCCACATCCCTAATATCTAGGGATAGAAAAATCATAATCCTAAGCTTTGACTCTAGTTTGAGGCCCAGAGGGCCAGCTGGAGCCCTCCTGGAAAGGAATGAGGGGAGAGTAAGAGAGAGAGAAATCAAACAAAAATGAATACTTTCTCACGCTAAAAGACCTTTCAACCATAATTACAAAACAGAAAGATAGCCTTTGAAATTAACAATCAGACCAGAAATTTTCTCAAATTTCCTTTGGATTTTAAAAATGTTCAGAGATGAATGCATAACTTTCATTTCAAAATGAAATTATTCAGCAAAAATAGGCAGAAATGAAACAGTATGAGAGAGAACCAACTGGAAATCCTTGAAATAAAAAAAATACACTAATTGAAATTTTAAAGGTCATAAGTGGGAGAAACTCTAGATTGAACACACTCAAACAGTAAATTAGGGAATTGGAAGACAAAACTGAGGACTCATTCAGAATATAGCACAAGATAAACAAAAAACAGCAACTAAAAACATGGAGAACAGATTACAAGATTCAAATATTTATAAAATAATAAGTGTTCCAGAGAAAGATAATTAGATGGAAAAAGCAATATTTGATGAGAAAACTACTGAGTTTTTTCCCCCAGAATTGAAGAAAATGCCCTATAAATGGAAGAAATTTACACCCAGCCAAATTACCATTCAAGAGTGTTGGGGGTAGGAAAAAAAAGATTCCGCATATAAAAACTAAAAGATTCTTAACACTTACAGGCACCTTATGAAATAAACGACATATATATATCACTCACACACATGCGCGCACACACACACACACACACACACACACACACACGTTTTTTGAGACAGGGTCTTTCTCTGCCTCCCAGGCTGGAGTGCAATGGTGTGATCTCAACTCACTGCGACCTCCGCCTCTTGGGCTCAAGCGATTCTCATGCTTCAGCCTCCCAAGTAGCTGGGATTATAGGCGGGTGCCACTGCCGCCGGCTAATTTTTGTGTTTTTAGTAGAGATAGGTTTCACCATGTTGGCCAGGTTTCCCAACATATATTTAAAGTCTGGGCGCAGTGGCTCATGTCTGTAATCCCAGCACTTTGGGTGGCTGAAGCAGGAGGATCGTTTGAACCCAAGAGTTCGAGATCAGCCTGGGCAACATAATGAGATCCGCCCCCCCCCCCCCCAATCTCTACAAAAAATATCAAAATCAGCCGGGCATGGTGGTATATGCCTGTGGTTAAAAAAACAAACAAACAAAACTGAAAGATACTCTCAAAATGTAAGAGAGGACCTATTACTCCTTTGCTCAGAATCCTCTAGTGCTTCTCATGTGACTCCGAGTAAATGCTAAAATCTTTACAACAGCCTACAAGGTCCCAGGGGGTGGCAAACTAAGGCCGGCCAGCAAAATCCTTGTATGGCAAGAGGGAAGAGAGGGCTTTCACACTTTTTTCAAAAAGAGAAAGAATATGCGATACAGACCACATGTGGCTTGCAAAGCTAAAAATACTTACTATCTAGCACTTTACAGAAAAGCTTGCTGACCTCTGCCCCCAACAACTCGGCCCCTTTGTGATGCAGGGTTCATCCCCTAGCCTGACTCCTTCTTTCTGCTCACAGAGCTCCAGGCAGACTGGCCTCCTTCTCATTCCTTGCAGTTTCTTGCAGTTTTTCCAACCAGCCAGGCACGCTTCCGCCCGGAAATCATGGAGGACAGGAAAAGCATGAGGAAAAGGAGGACAGGAAAGGCATGAGGGGGCTGTTCAATAGTGATAAAGTCGTGGGTCAATGTCTTGAAATGTAATAAGGTCAAATAATTGTAGCACGGTGATTCATTTTCTATTGCTGCCAGTTTCTCGCAGTTATTCCAAAGAGCAGGCACGCTTCTGCCCTGCCATTTTCTGCCATTTTCTCTGCTGGGAATGAATGTTCTCCCCGCAGATAGCTGCACAGCTAATTCCTTCTCCCTTGGGTCCTCACTTAAAAGCACCTTCTCAATGAAGCCTTACCTCACCATGCTAATTAAGGATCATTATCCCTCTGCCTACACTCCTAACTCACTCTGCTTTCTTTGTTTCATAGCACATATCACTAACATACATGTTTTAATTTTTATTGCTGTTGTTTTTTTTTCTATATATTTCCTACTAGAATATAAACTGTTCCTGGTGCATAGTGGCTGCTCAATATGTATTTCTTGAATGCCCGTATGGGTCATGAAAGCCATCACATCCCTCTGTTTTCTATACGGCACTTGTCACTAGCTGTAAATGCCGTATTTAGGGATTTTGTCCACAAACTTCATGAAAGGGGGGATCACAGGATGACAGTCAACATATATCAAGTATCCAGTGTAATATTGATTCAATGACTACACATTCCATACATCTTTCAAAAGAGTGAATGGGAAGGGAGGAGATAGACACACAGTGAGCCAACAACTTTTTCAATAATGTTTGCTGTGAATGGGGGCAAAGAAATTGGATGGTGGCTGGAAGAGGACATGGGGCCAAGAAGGTGCTGAAGATGGGGATCCAGCAAGTAATTCCGATGGACACATATGCTAATATCATAGGAAAGAGGAGGTAATTAAAGAAGCAGGGTTCTTGGAGAGGTGAGAGCAATAGGGTGCAGGGACAGGAGGAGAGAGTGGCCGATAGTGGGCAGAGATCTGTCCTTCCACTGTAACAAGAGGGAAGAAGGAACAGTCTCAGGCAGGGTTGCAGCCTCGTGGGAGGGAAGATGAGGGAGTTCCCATCTTCTGGCCTCTGGTTCCTCACTGAAGTGTGGGAGGTAATATTATCTGCTGAAACTGAGGAGTGGAAGTACATGGGAGGTTTCAGAAGAGAGGACAGACAATGTATAAGAAACACAAAGGAACTTTATTAGGGAAATGGAAAAGGACAGGCAGCTTGGCAGTTATTAAGGGTTATTTAGGGGCTCTAACATGAATTTAAATGAAAGCAGTAGGCTCGATTTGGTGATTTTTTTTCTTGAGCAACACCAGACTCCTTGGTTACCGGTGCGAAGAAGACTGTCAGGTGCGATCAGGGTGATTGTAGCAAAGCAGTGGTTCTCAATGTGTGGTCCCTGGACCAGCAGTATCAGAATCATTGAAAACTGGTGAAAAATGCACATTCTCAGACCCCACCCAAAACTCCTGCATCAGTAACTGCGGAGGCGAGGCCCAGTAGAATGTGCTTCAACAAGCTCTCCAGGCGATTCTGATGGCGTGCCAAGTCTGAGCAGCACAGTAATAAAGGGAGAGAAGAACAAGAGAGCTGAGGATGCTTATGTGAGGTGATTAAAATGGCAGGCTACAGAATCTAAATTGGAAAAGGAAGACAGGAAAGACATGAGGGGGCTGTTCAATAGTGATAAAGTCGTGGGTCAATGTCTTGGAATGTAATAAGGTCAAATAATTGTAGCATGGTGTATTCATTTTCTATTGCAGCCGGAATAAAATACCAGACTTAGTGCCTTAAAACAATAGCCATTTATTATGCCATAGTTCTGGAGGTAAGAAGTCCAGGTACAGCATGTCTCAGCTGGCTCCTGTTTAGAGTCTCATAAAGGCTCAAATTAATGTGTTGGTGGGACTGCATTCTTCTGGAGATTCTAGGGATAAATCTGCTTCCAAGCTCATTCTGGTTATTGGCTGCATTCAGTTTCTTGCAGTTGAAGAAATGAGGTTCCCATTTTGTTTCTGGCTGTCAGCCAGGAGCTTCTATCAGCTTCTTAAAACCACCTGCATCCCTTGTCAACTTGCCTCCTCCATCTTTCAACCAGCAACAGCACTGGAGTCCTTCTAATTATTTTTATTTTTATTTTTTTGTAGAGATGGGGCCTTGCTATATTGCCCAGGCTGGTCTCAAACTCCTGGCCCCAAGCCATCCTCCCACCTCAGCCTCCCAAAGTGCTGGGATTCCAGGCAGGCATGAACCATTGCACCCAGCCTGGAGTCCTTCTTTCACCTCAGGTCTCTTCTGACTTCCCTTCCAGCCACATCTCTTCTGCTTTTCTCTTTTGTTGCATCTGTCTGACTCCAGCCAGAGAAAGTTCTCTGCTTTTAAGAACTTTGGTGATTAGATTGGACACACTTGGATAAGCTAGGCTAATCTACCTATTTTAAGGTCTATAACCTTAATTATATCTACAAAGTTCATTTTGCCACACAAGGTTATATGTTCACAGGTTCCTGAGATTAGGATGTGAACATCTTGGGAGACCTTTATTCTGCCTCCCACAACATGAAGTGACTAGAACAAATGAGATAAAGAAGCGGAAGGTGCAGAATTTAGAGGTGGGGAAGATTCTGGTGGTAAGGTTCAGGGTGTATCCACAGGAGTGAGAGGAGTAGAGGGAATGTCATTGGTGGCTAGAAGGCCAAAGAATTGAGAGGCCTGGGTGTTGGGAGGTCACCCACCTGGATGGTGGAGTCATCGATGATAATTACGCAGCAGGGATGGAGGGAAAGGCTATGAAGCAGGAGGAGCTCAAGTTCTCATCAAAAGGCTTTAGTCTCACTGACCATCGGAATTACGTGGGAGCTTCATAAACATGCATGTGTTGGAGCCCCACTCCTGCAATCCTGAATCATAATCATGATTATGATTAGTCTGAAGCATCACGCTTCTGATGATAATGAGATTAGGAGCTACAACTGCAGGCAAGCAGAAGCTGCAGAAGCCTTTGGTTGGGAAGTCAGTGATTATAACTATGCTTTGAGATATTGGTCTCTGGGATATCAAGGTTTATGCAAGAATGAACAGTTTGAGGGGAACTTTGACTTCCATAGACATTTTTCTTAATTTTAAAAAATTGTTTTCAATTTTTAATAAAAATTATATTTAGTAGAAACCAGGTCTTGCTGTATTACCCAGGCTGGTCTTGAACTCCTGGGCTCAAGAAATCCTCCTGCCTCAGCCTCCCAAAGTGTTAGGATTACAGGCATGAGCCACCATGCCAGCCCATAGGTACTTTTGCATAAAATTGACCTAAGGATGCACCTTCAGTGTCTACCATCATGCCTGTTGTCCTTTCCCATTGAGAGGTGACAGCGTGCTGGCAGTCCTCAGAGCCCTCGCTTGCTCTCGGCACCTCCCCTGCCTGGGCTCCCACTTTGGTGGCATTTGAGGAGCCCTTCAGTCCCCCACTGCACTGTGGGAGCCCCTTTCTGGCCTGGCCAAGGCCGGAGCCCACTCCCTCAGCTTGCAGGGAGGTGTGGAGGGAGAGGCATGAGCGGGAACCGGGGCTGTGTGCGGCACTTGCGGGCCAGCTGGAGTTCCGGGTGTGCGTGGGCTTGGTGGGCCCCGCACTCGGAGCAGCCAGGCAGCCCTGCTGGCTCTGGGCAAAATGGGAGACTTAGCACCCGGGCCAATGGCTGCAGAGGGTGTACTGAGTCCCCCAGCAGTGCTGGCCCACCGGCGCTGCACTCGATTTCTCGCCGGGCCTTGGCTGCCTTCCCACGGGGCAGGGCTCGGGACCTGCAGCCCACCATGCCTAAGCCTCCCACCCACTCCATGGGCTCCTGTGTGGCCGGAGCCTCCCCGACGAGCGCCACCCTCTGCTCCACGGCGCCCAGTCCCATCGACCACCCAAGGGCTGAGGAATGCGAGCACACGGCGCAGGACTGGCAGGCAGCTCCACCTGCAGCCCCGGTGCGGGATCCACTAGGTGAAGCCAGCTGGGCTCCTGAGTCTGGTGGGGACGTGGAGAGTCTTTATATCTAGCTCAGGAATTGTAAATACACCAATCAGCACCCTGTGTTTAGCTCAAGGTTTGTGAGTGCACCAATCGACAGTCTGTATCTAGCCACTCTGGTGAGGACGTGGAGAACCTTTATGTCTAGCTCAAGGATTGTAAATACACCAATCGGTACTCTGTATCTAGCTCAAGGTTTGTAAACACACCAATCAGCACCCTGTGTTTAGCTCAAGGTTTGTGAATGCACCAATTGACACTCTGTATCTAGCTGCTCTGGTGGGGCCTTGGAGAACCTGCGTGTGGAAACTCTGTATCTAACTAATCTGATGGGGACGTGGAGAACCTTTGTATCTAGCTCCGGGATTTTAAACGCACCAATCAGCACCCTGACAAAACAGGCCACTTGGCTCTACCAATCAGCAGGATGTGGGTGGGGCCAGATAAGAGAATAAAAACAGGCTGCCCGAGCCAGCATTGGCAACCTGCTGGGGTCTGCTTCCACGCTGTGGAAGCTTTGTTCTTTCGCTCTTTGCAATAAATCTTGCTACTGCTCACTCTTTGGGTCCACACTGCTTTTATGAGCTGTAACACTCACCGTGAAGATCTGCAGCTTCACTCCTGAGCCCAGGGAGACCAGGAGCCCACCGGGATGAACGAACAACTCCAGACGCGCTGCCTTAAGAGCTGTAACACTCACGGCGAAGGTCTGCAGCTTCACTCCTGAGCCAGCGAGACCACGAACCCACCAGAAGGAAGAAACTCCGAACACATCTGAACATCAGAAGGGACAGACTCCAGACACGCCACCTTAAGAGCTGTAACACTCACCGCGAGGGTCCACGGCTTCATTCTTGAAGTCAGTGAGACCAAGAACCCACCAATTCCGGACCCACCATCTCCCCTTTCACAATCTCCCTTTCTCTTTGCAAAAGAAAGGTACATCTCTTACCCATCCTGAATCTTATATTGCAAATTGGTCCAGGATATTAAAAATTCATCTCTTTAAACAGGACACCTATAGGAGGCTTCAAGTCTTTCCCTGTCTTATACATATTTCTGTTAAGTTTGAAGCACCACAGTGGAAACAGTGTAACTTAGCACATGTTGAGATGTTAGAGATATTGACCAAGGAATAACAAGCTTTATTCCTTCTCCCATCTCTAGACTGCTGTGAAAGAATGCTTTGCTTCCAAAACAGAATCCTATGAGGGCAAATGAGGGCAAAAGAAATAGAAGTTCAGTAGGAAATACCAAACACGGCAGCACCTTCTGTCATCCCAGCACAAACTCAGGGCCTTGCTCTCTGCCTTGGATAGTTATTCAATTTAGAACTAGAATTCAGACAAGAGATAAGGAAACACACATTTTATTGAAATTGAAAACTGAAGCCTAATTGGCTATTAATTTGATAATAAGACTGGTTTTGTCAATTTGGTTATATGACACATATTTTCCTAAGTTGAATGAGTTGCTTCTGTAGCTCTAAGGTTCCGACAAACTATAAAGCCCATAGTAAGATAAAACATTTTATTTTTAAATAATTATATTTGGTCCAGGCATGGTGGCTCACACCTGTAATCCTAGCACTTTGGGAGGCCTAGACGAATGGATTGCTTAAGTCCAGGAGTTCAAGATCAGCCTGGACAACATGGCGAAACCTGGTCTCTAAAACAAACAAACAAACAAAAAATTATATTGGCAAGGCATACTAAAGTTAATATTTTTATGTCTCCAATTCTTTCTCAGTATATTGGGCTACATAAGTTTCCTCTATATGAAATAATGAAACATATAAGTAATTTTTTTTTTTTTTTTGAGATGGAGTCTCACTCTGTCACCCAGGCTGGAGTGCAATGGCGTGATCTCGGCTCACTGCAAGCTCCGCCTCCAGGGTTCAAGTGATTCTCCTGCCTCAGCCTCCCAAGTAGCTGGGACTACAGGAGCCCCCCACTACGCCCAGCTAATTTTTTGTATTTTTAGTAGAGACGGAGTTTCACCGTGTTAGCCAGGATGGTCTCGATCTCCTGACCTCGTGATCCACCCGCCTCAGCCTCCCAAAGTGCTGGGATTACAGGTGTGAGCCACCGCGCCCGGCCAAGTAATATTAATTTGTTACGTTTTGGTAAGAATTTTCTTGGAGCCGGGCGCGGTGGTGGCTCATGCCTGTAATCCCAGCACTTTGGGAGGCCAAAGCATGAGGATTGCTTGTGCTGAGGAATTTGAGGGGCAACATGGCAAAACCCCATCTTTACAAAAAATGCAAAAATTAGCCAGGCATGGTGGCATGCAACTATAGTCCCAGCTTATTGGGAGGCTGAGGTGGGAGAATCACCTGAGCCAGGGGAAGTTGAGGTTGCATCGAGCCATGATTGCACCACTGCACTCTAGCCTGGGCGACAGGGTGAGACCCCATCTCAAATAATAAAATAAAATAACAAAAATAACCCTGGCTCGTTTTAAGAACTCATATAACACCAAAATGTAAAAAGTGAAAAATTAACCCCTTTGTCCCACCCATTTCATTTTCTTAAAGCTATTGCAGTTACAAAATGGAATGATTTCTATAATACCACACCTCAGGTGGGAAAAAACATAGACTAGCTAGAGAGGAGAGGAGTCAAAAGGTGAGGAAGCCTAACTCCTGGGTCACCCTGGGTCTAAATCTGGATCTGTGCCTGCCCTGAAGGCCTAACTCAATGTGCTCAGCTGCAGGTACACTCACACCCTGAGGGTAGTAAGGAATAACACTGCCCCACTCTTTGTGTTTCCAGATGCCTCTGAGACCCAGGGCCCAGAGAACTTCTGTGCATAGACCCTGCAGGCAGATTCCCCTTCTGGGGCTCTACTAACTCTGGTACCCATATATTTCAGTCCTTTCAGGGACTTGCATGTTTGAAAAACCTGCTGGTTAACCTGGATGAATCTCTATTTGGTGTAACTGGTAGCTCTTCCCCACATTCCTTCCACCCACCAGCATGTCCCACCCCAGGAATTGACTGGCCTCAGAGAGTTCACAGGGGATGAGGAAGGGAAGGTTGAGCATGGTCTCAGTTGCACAGCTGCCCCACACAGCTGCTTGGAAAGCTTTGGTCTTCTGATCCCGCTTTTGTGCCCTTCTTGACCCGAGGCAGGTCCAGAGCCCCTGGGCAATAAAAGGACAGTATTTACTGGAGGAGCACCAGCCAGTTCACTTCATTCATCCCACCTTGAGATATTTGGCTGCTCCTGCAACATATTGGTAGCTCCGTGAGAGTGAGACAAATGTCCTGCTCAAAGATTATAACACTTGTGTGCTTCGCCTTTTTTTTTTTTTTTTTGTCTCGCTCTGTCGCCCAGGCTGGAGTGCAGTAGCGTGATCTCAGCTCACTGCAGCCTCCACCTCCTGAGTTCAAGCAATTCTTCTGCCTCAGCCTTCTGAGTAGCTGGGATTACAGTTGCACGCCACCATGCCTGGCTAATTTTTGTATTTTAGTAGATATGGGGTTTCATCATGTTGGCCAGGCTGGTCTCAAACTCCTAACCTCAGGTGATCCACCTGTGTCAGCCTCCCAAAGTGCTGAGATTACAGGTGTGAGCCACTGCACCTGGCTGGGTGCTTCATCTTTTGAGTTAAAGGTCTGTCTGGACATAGTACTGATATTCCCAGTGTCTTCCATGCTGAAAGTGCAGAGAAGGCATTTGATGAATGATTAACTGAATGAATGAATGAACAAATGACTACATGGTTTCTCTAACTTCCTGTTTTTTAAGACTGTCACTGCAGTGTGTTTTAAAATATGCTTTCATTCCCTGCCTTGGTCCAGGCCCTTGCAATTTTTTGCCTGTGCCCTTCACCCAGTCCAGAAGAAGTCTCAGCAAAATCTTAGGAAGGTAATGAATGAGACAAGGGGCTAGCGGAGAGAAGAGCATTGTAAGCAGAGGAAAGAGGCAGGAGTGTGTCTGGCATGGTTGAGGAACAACAAGGAAAGCTATGTTGCTGGGGCCAATTGAGTGATGGAGAGAACAGTAGGATGTAGGGTCATAGGTAGAGGCTCTGGGTCAGATTGGGAAGGCCATTATAAGATCTTTGTCTTTTTTTTTTTTTTTTTTTTTTTTGAGACAGAGTCTCACTCTTTCACCAGGCTGGAGTGCAGTGGTGCAATCTCGGCTCACTGCAACCTCCACCTCCCAGGTTCAAGCAATTCCCCTGCCTCAGCCTCCCAAGTAGCTGGGACTACAGGTGCGCACCACCACACCTGGCTAATTTTTTGTATTTTAGTAGAGACAGAGTTTCACCATGTTGGCCAGGATGTTCTCGATCTCCTGACCTCATGATCCACCCACTTGGCCTCCCAAAGTGCTGGGATTACAGGCATGAGCCACTGTGCCCAGCCAGGACTTTGTCTTTTACTCTGAAACGGCAAGCTGTTTGGAGGGTTTTGAGCAGAGGAGGGACGTGATCTGACAGGTTTTTTTAAAATCCCTCTGTTGAGAACAGAGTGGTCGGGGATGGGGAAGGCCAGTTGCAGAAGCAGAGAAATTGTTAGGAGTAAGCCAGGCAAGAAACAACCAATGGCAGCTCTGATCTGGATGGTAGCAATGAAGGTGGTAAGAAGCGTTTGGATTCTGAATATATTTTCAAGGCAGAGCCAAGAGAACCTCCTAACCAATTAAATGTGGGAGATAAGAGAAAAAGTAAAGTCACTCCAGGATTTTGTCTGAGCAATGAAAGAATGGTGACATCATTAACTGAGATGGGCGAGGCTACGGGTGGAATTGTTTAGGGGAGTTAAGATCAGATGTTGTTTTGGATGTTTTGAGCTTGAGTTGTCTTTTAGACATCCAAGTAGTGATGTCAAGTAGACAGCCGGATAAATGATTGGGAGAGAAGTCTGGGCTGGATCTCATGCCATTTCATGCTTTAAATATATCCTCACTCATGTCTCCAAAATCAGCTCTGACTTCTCCCGTAAACTTCAAGTTCTTATATTTCACTGCCTACTTGACTTATTCGCTTAGCTTTCTAACAGGCATCTCAAATTTAATATGTTCAAAACTAAATTCCTAATTCCCCATCTCCCTACACAGAACACAAGCAAATGAACAAACAACAACAAAACTCAGAAAACACAATAGCAGTTCCATTCTTCCTAAAGCTTGATGTCATCTTTGACTCTTCCCTTTCTGACTTCTAAACCATCAACAAATCCTATTAAAACCGTCCCCAGGGCGCTGTGGCTCACGTCTGTAATCCCAGCACTTTAGGAGGCTGAGGTGGGTGGATCACCAGCGGTCAGGAGTTCGAGACCAACCTGGCCAACATGGTGAAACCCCGTCTACTAAAAAGACAAAAATTAGGGCCACGCATGGTGGCTCACACCTGTAATCCCAGCACTTGGGGAGGCCAAGATTGGCAGATCACCTGAGGTCAGGAGTTAGAGACCAGCCTGACCAACCAAGAGAAACCCCATCTCTACTAAAAATACAAAATTAGCCAGGCGTGGTGGCACATGCCTGTAATCCCAGCTACTCAGGAGGCTGAGACAGGAGAATCGCTTGAACCAGGGAGGCGGAGGTTGCAGTGAGCCAAGATCGTCCCATTGCACTCCAGCCTGGGCAACAAGAGTGAATCTCCATCTCAAAAACAAACAAAAAAAACCCCATCCCCAGGCTATCCCTATCACTCACACCACCATGTCCCACTCCAAAGAAGGGCTTCATCTCTTGCCTGGATTATTGTAACAATCTCCAAACTCTGGCTGTCTGTTCTCCATCGACACATTCATTCTTTTAAAATCAGAGTATCTCATTCCTCTGCACAAAACCCTTTAACAGCTCTTCTTCTCAGAGTGAAAGCCTATAGGCCTCACAGGGTGTGGGCCCACCACTTACGACTCACCTTCCTACTCAAAACAGCTTTCACTCCTCCTGGCCCACTCCACTCCTGTCACACTGGCCTCCTTCAACACACCAAGCACACTTCTACCTCAAGGCCTTTGCAATCATGTTTCCTTTGCCTAGATAGCAGTTTCCCCAGCCAGGCACAATGGCTCACACCTGTAATTCGAACACTTTGGGAGGCGAAGGCAGGAGGATCTCTTGAGTTCAGGAGTTTGAGACCAGCCTGGGCAACATAATGAGACCCCCCATCGCTACAAAAAAAGAAAAAAAAATTAGCTAAATGTGGTGGAGTATACCTGTAGTCCCAGCCACTTGAAAGGCTGGGACCGGAGGATTGCTTGAGCCTGAGAGGTTGAGGCTGCAATGAGACATGATAGCACCACTGCACTGTAGCCTGGGAAACAGAGCAAGACCCTCTCTCAAAAAAAAAAGAGAGAGAGAGAAAGCCCTTTTCCCAGATTTGCAAAAAGGTTACTTCTTCATTTCCTTCATGTCTCTGCTCAAATGTCAACTTATCAAAAAGGTCTACTTATCAAGTAAATCTACTTGAACTTAACTTGGCTGTAAAATGAAACCAACTATGCCCTTGGAATTTTTCTGGGGTCTGAGGGAGGGACAGTCTATAAGTAGGGAAAGTCAAGTCCTGGCTCTACTCCAAAGTACATCCCATCTCCCTTACCTTGCTTCATCTCTCTCTGTTACACTTACCAGTACCTGACTATATATGTATATTTAAATTAATGTTGAAAGCATGACTTCTCTGGAACTTGAGAGTTCATGACATCAGAAACTGGCTAGGGAAAAGAAGAGACCTCAGCATGAGCACAACGTTCATGACACACCACCACCACTACCACACATACACACAAACACACACACACACACACACACACATTAAATAACCTGGAACCGATGCAATTGTACAACAAAGGGAAATGATAAAGTGTGCTTGTGGGGTAGAAAAGTGTACAGTAATTGGCTGGGTGCAGTGGCTCATGCCTGTAATCCCAGCACTTTGGGAGGCCAAGGCGGGCAGATCACCTGAGGTCAGGAGTTCGAGACCAGCCTGGCCAACATGGTGAAACCCCGTCTCTACTAAAATACAAAAATTAGCCAGATGTGGTGGCACATGCCTGTAGTCCCAGCAACTTGGGGGGCTGAGGCAGGAGAATCGCTTGAACCTGGGAGGCAGAAGTTGCAGTGAGCCGAGATCATGCCACTGCACTCCAGCCTGAGCAACAGAGTGAGACACCGTCTCAAAAAAAAAAAAAAGAAAAGAAAAGAAAAGAAAAGTATACAGTAATTAAAAACACTAATTACAAAGACAGTAAAATGCTTATAGTATGTTACGGAAAAGTAGTACCATCAATTGCAAAACAGAGCAACTCAATATATAATTACATACAGTACTGCTATAATCACAACAATGCAAAATACATACACATAGGAAAGCTGAGATTTAAAACAAAATTGGTTATTGTGTTAGGCCTATTAAGGGGATTATGGGTAGTTTTGTAATCTTTTATTCCTCACAAGTAAAAACAAACAAACAAACAAACAAAAAACTTATACTCTTTTTTTCCATAAAAGGAACACGTTTTAACTCCCTGGGCACACTGGTTGAGGAAAATCCCAGCCCAGTGAAGTCAGCACCCAAGTTCCCCAGAGACTCCCATGTGTGGTTGGCAGAAGGGTCCTGGGCCAGGTCTGTGCAGAAGGGCTGTCCCAGAGGTTGAAATGGGTAGTAAGTGAAGCATAGAGTATTTGCATGACTAACCCAGGGGAAAATACCCACCAGAGAGTTATTTCTATTTAAGACAGAGAAATGCAGAAGTAAATCTACTTGAACCTAATATGGCCTTAAAACGAAAACAACTGTGCCCCTTGGAGTTTTGGGGGGCCTTCCTGTAGGGAGAGAAAATCAAGTCCAGGCTCTAGTGACCTTCACTGGAGAACCAAATTCTCCTGCAGGGGTCCAGAATGGGGGCTTCGGGCCCTCAAGGGGGCTTCAGTGCTAGTGCAATGAGTTCTGAATCCATAAACCTGCTGAGCATTGACCTTAGACCAGCATTTCTTAACCAAACTAAGGTTATGAACCCTGGTAATCATAAAAACGACAGAACTTCTTCCCAGAAAAATTGCACATTTGCCCTAAAATATGAAACAATCTCAGGAGTTTCATGGGCTCCCTGAATCCTATCCACTCCTAGTTGTCCCCATACCCCAGATTAAGACTCTCTGATGGACCTGAATAAATACAATGTCCTACATACAATGTATAAAACGTGTACGCTGTTTTTCAAGTCTACTGATAGAAATGTGATGAATAAATACAACTTCATTTAAAAGAAATACTGAATTTAGAGACTTCCTGTTATATGTGATCTCCAGAGGACCAGTAAATGCCTGTGCAAGCCAAGGAACACGTTAAAAAGAATCCCCTATCCCTGCAACAAAGCCCGAAAGGGATTCTACTGGGACAGTTGCTCGGTCCCAGGGCCCAGGCATTGGAGAGAGCCTCGCTCCAGAGACTCTGTGGCCCCACCGGAGCCGGTGCCGGCTTTTAGGGGTTTTCTCACGGAAATGTTCAGCTGCCGGTGAGTTCACGTGCATTTAAGTTTTATTCTCCAGTTAGGACCGGGTTTTCCAGATGTGGGTTGTCAGCGCGTGCCCAGTAACCAGCTTGCGCCCAGGTGCGAAACGCAGTCATTGGGTCTCTCCGGGTGTGCGTCCTGGGTGGAGCCCCAGGGGCCCCGGCGTGGGTGGCCGTCCTGCTCCGCGGGTACCCGCGGAATGCCCTGCCCGCATGCTCCCTCTGCTGGGCGCGCCTCGGCGCCTTCCGGGTGCACGGCCCTGCCCAGGAGCGGCGCGTGGGGCCCCGGGTCTGCGGATGAATGGGGAGATAGCGAGGGGAGGGGCGCACAGCACAGCCCACTCCCCCTTACCCACGCCTCCAGAACAGTCCTACCCCTAGCCCCAACACCTCCTTCTATCCCCGCCCCGCTCTCCCCAGACGCTCTTAATCTGATTGAGACTTCGGCACGTAAACGCGGTTCTAGGAGCCCGGACTGGCTCAGTGCACGACTTATCAGAAACTTACCCGTATCTAACACACAATAGATTCGTGCACATCTGTTGAATAAAGAAGAGTTTGTTTTTCGTGTTTGAACCGTGTCTGCTTCAATAACGCTTCCTGCAGTGGTCCTTTTTAGGAGGGGTACAGTGAGTGGTATACTGCGAGGGAAGCGGGACAAGGAGGCAAAGGGAAGGGAAACAGGCGGGCCCAGAGAGCAGCTTCCGAGTGACCTGGAAAATCAGCGCCCAGAACTCATCTAGACACAGAGGCTCGGTGCCATGGCATTCCGCGCTGACTGCCAGAACCGCGGGCCGCGGAGCCAGCACTGTGCCGGCAACGTGGTGGGGCGAATGCCCTGGGGTCGGAGAGGTGGAAAGGCCCGAAAGGAAGAGCCCAGAAGGGGACAGTCCCCACCCAACGGCAGGGTAAAGGCCCGTCTCTACTGGTTACTAGAGACGTGGAACCCAGGAAGCTCGAGGCCCCAGGAAACCGGCATAGAAGGAGGCCTGTCAAAGGGGCCCCGAATCCTCCCGCAGGGACAGAGCGACACGTCCACCCGGGCTCGGAGGACTAACACCAGGAGTCCCCTGAGGCCCTGCCCCAGGCTTCCCAGGTTGTGGGGACACCAGCTGCCTGCAGGGGGCGGGATGTTCCTTTGGCGCTGCTGGGCAGTGACTAAGAGCAGAAACAAAAATAGAAGCTGAGATCAACGGAAAGGAATGAGACTGAACAAACACACGCATTAATCCTGATGGGATACATAGTAAAATAACATTCCCAAACACGGCAGTAAGAAAAGATGAACTATGTAAAGAATGCGCAGATAAATGAATGAAAATTTGGAGGACAAAAATGTGTTTCACATCGTATTTCAAAATAAACACCAAGTGGATTAAAGTGCTAAATATTTTAAAGAACAGCCATAGAAACTATATATTTAATAGGATAAGGCAGTTATATTTATGGATAAACGTCAGCGTTCTCAAAACTTTGAAACAACAGAAGAAACAACAAAGGAAGACTAACGTTCAAAAATACAAAAACTGGACAGAATTTTAAAAAGACAACAGATTGAGAAAAATGTCTGCACCAAGTGACAAGCAAATACTACCTGAAATGTATAAAAGCTTGTTTATAGGCCAGGTGCAGTGGCTCACGCCTGTAATCCCAGCACTTTAGGAGGCCAAGGCGGGTGGATCAACTGAGGTCAGGAGTTCGAGACCAGCCTGGCCAACATGGTGAAAGCCCCGTCTCTACTAAAAATACAAAAATTAGTTGGGTGTGGTGGCACACGCCTGTAGTCCCAGTTACTTGGGTGGCTGAGGCAGGAGAATCGCTTGAACCCGGGAGGCGGAGGTTGCAGTGAGCCGAGATCGCACCACTGAACTCCAGCCTGGGTGACAGAGCAAGATTCCATCCCCCCCACCCAAAAAAAGCTTGTTTATATATATAAAAACAATCAAGGTACCAATTGCTAAATAGACAAAGAAGGTAAACATGCACTGTAATTCACAATAAGAAATAAAAGTCATACCCAAGTGCATGGGGAAAACGTTCATTGATAATCAGAAACTTTAAACTTAAAACAGTTATGACATAACACCTTACATCTACTAAAGTAGCAAAAATGTTTTAAAATTATAATGCAGGCTGGATGCAGTGGCTCATGCCTGTAATATCAGTTCACTGGGGGCCAAGGCAGGAGGTTCCCTTGAGGCCAGGAGTTGGAGACCAGCCTGGGCAACAGAGTGAGACCCTGTCACTACAAAAAATTTAAAAATTAGTCCAGCATGGTGCTGTGCTCTAGTAGTCTTAGCTACTTGGGAGGCTGAGGTGGGAGGATCCCTTTAAGCCTGAGAGTTACAGTGAGCTATGATCACACCAGTGCACTCCAACCTGGGCAATAGTGAGACGCTGTTTCTGTAAAAATAAATAGAAAAAAATATAATAGAAAAACAGAAAAAAAATAATGCATAATGTTAGCAGCATGGTAAAATAATAGTCACCATTGCTTCATACAACTCTATCTGGTTTTTTTGAGACGGAGTCTTGCTCTGTTGCACAGGCTAGAGTGCAGTGTTGCCTCACTGCAACCTCTGCCTCCCAGGTTCAAGTGATTCTCCTGTCTCAGCCTCCTGAGTAGCTGGGACTATAGGCACATGTCACCACACCTTGCTAATTTTTGTATTTTTAGTAGAGATGGGGTTTTACCATATTTATCAGGCTGGTCTCAAACTCCACTGCTCTGTTGCCCAGGCTGGAATGCAGTGGCGCAATCTCGGCTCACTGCAACCTCCGCCTCCCAGGTTCAAGCAATTCTCCTGCCTTAGCCTCCCAAGTAGCTGGGACTACAGGCGCGTGACATCACACCCAGCTAATTTTTATGTTTTCAGTAGAGACAGGGTTTCGCCATGTGATCCACCCACCTTGGCCTCCCAAAGTGCTGGGATTACAGGTGTGAGCCACCGCGCCCGGCCCATACAACTCTTTTGAATAGCAATATAGTGATCTTCATTTATTCAACAAACAGCTATTAGGGAGTTCCTATTGCAGATTAAATACTACTGTAAGATCTCACTATAATGGAGGGAAGAGACAACAAAGAAACAAATATACATGATGCAAGGTGGTGGTAGCGGTAGGAAGAAAAATAGAACCATGAGCAATGGGACGTGCTAATTGCATCAGCTTGGTTAGTCAGGGTAAGCCTCCCTGATAAGATGACATTTGAACAGAGCAACACGAATGAAGTGAGGGAGCAAACCTCATTCACACCTGTGGGAAGAGTGATCCAGGCAAAGGGAACAGAAAATATAGTGACCTTGAGGCAAGATCATACTGTAGTAGAACATCAACTGATTGCCTTTTAACCATGCACACAGTAACACGGAAGAAATGTTTAAATTAACTTACTTTATATACATATTAAGACCCACAAGAAATGTATTAAGCAGAAGCAATATAGTCAAATACCTGTTTCTTATCTTAACTAAACAAAAACTTAACCTCAGTGGAAGGTGACATTGCCAAAAGTTTGCTTCACCCCATCCTCTTCTCAAAGCTAGAGTCTGCCAGACATGAAATGTTATGTCTTCATTTGCAGCATGCTCAGTCCTTTTCTAAATAATATCTAAACATGTGAATTAAAGTACTGTCACAGCTCAGAAAAACGGTCATCACAATAAAGGCAAAAAGTCTTGAGTGGGATTATCCAGTTTTGTAGTTTTTTTGTTTTTTGTTTTTTGTTTTTTTTTTTTTCTGAGACAGAGTCTTGCTCTGTCGCCCAGCCTGGAATGCAATGGCGCGATCTCAGCTCACTGCAACCTCCACCTCCCGGGTTCAAGCGATTCAGCCTCCCAAGTAGCTAGGATTACTGGCACCTGCCACCATGCCCGGCTAATTTTTGTATTTTTAGTAGAGGCAGGGTTTCACCATGTTGGCCAGGCTGGTCTCAAACTCCTGACCTCAAGTGATCCACCCGCCTCAGCCTCCCAAGGTGCTGGGATTACAAGCGTGAGCCACTGCACCCAGCCAGTTTTGTAGTTTTAATTACCATCACTTTTCTAGTGAGCCTCAAATAAATCCCTAACCTGAACCTCAACCCTGAACTCCAGACTCAGATATGCACCTGTCTTCTTGACCTCTCCACTTAGATGTCTGATAGGCACTGCAAATTTAAATGTCCCAGCTGGGCACCATGGCCCACACCTGTAATCTCATCACTGTGGGAGGCAGAGGCGAGCAGATCCCTTGAGTTTAGGAGTTAAAGACCAGTCTGGGCAACACAGCAACACCCTGTCTCTACAAAAAAAAATTTTTAATTAGCCAGGCGTGTTGGGACATGCCTGTAAGTTCTAGCTACTAAGGAGGATAAGGCAGGAGGATCACTTCAGCCAGGGAGGTTGAGGCTGCAGTGAGCCATGATTACACCCCTGCATGCCAGCCGGGGCAACAGAGCAAGACCCTGTCTCAAAAAAAAATTAAATGCCCAAAACTGACCATTTATTTTCCATCTGCCATCCCCTCCCCCACACACACAATGTAGTTTCTCTAACAACTAATTGCAAGGCAATTCTTTTTTTTTTTTTTTTTTCTTTGAGAGAGAGTCCCACTCTGTCACTCAGGCTGGGGTACAGTGGTACCGTCTCGGCCCACTGCAACATCTGCCTCCAGGGTTCAAGCAATTTTCCTGCCTCAGCCTCCCAAGTAGCTGGGATTACAGGCATGCGCCACCACACCTGGCTAATTTTTGTATTTTCAGTAGAGACAGGATTTCACCATGTTGCCAATGCTGGTCTCGAACTCCTGGCCTCAAGTGATCCACCGGCTTCAGCCTCCCAAAGTGCTGGGTTTACAGGTGTGAGCCACCACACCCAGCCAACTAACAGCAAGTCACAAGGCCCCATGTGACCAGCTTCATCACCTCTGTGACCTCCTACTCTACCCTTCCATCACCCCTCTGGGTCGAATTGGCCTCCTTGCCGTTCCTCAAACACACCAGACATGTGCCCACCTCAAGGCCCTTGGACTTGTTCCCTCTACTGAGAGTGATCTTCCCCTCCATAGTCATCCGTGGTCCACGTCTCAGTTTGTTGAGGTCTTTACACAAAAGCCAAAGCAACTTTCTGAGTGAGGCCTTCCCTATACAACCTATCTAAAATAAACACACACAAAAACTCCCTGATTTGAATTTTCCACTTTAGCATTTTATTGCCTTTTTCAAGACAGGGTCTTGCTCTACCACCCAGGCTGGAGTACTGTGGCGTGATCATAGCTCACCACAGCCTTGAACTCTTGGGCTCATGCAGTCCTCCTGCCCCATCCTCCCAGGGCCACAGGCATGTGCCACCATGCCTGGCTAATTTTTTATTTTTATTTTTTGTAGAGACAGGGCTCTCACTATGTTCCCCAAGATGGTCTCAAACTCTGATCCTCAAGCAATCCTACACCTCAGCCTCCTAAAGCACTAAGATTACAGGAGTGAGCCACCATGCCTGGCCCATTTTATCACTGTTTAAAGTTATATATTTTTTACTTGTTTATTTTGTTTATTGTCTATATCTCCCTATTAGAATGTAATCCTATAAGCCCCAAGGGCATGGATTGTTGTCTATTTTGTTCACTGATGTATCCCCAGTGCCCAGAATGGTGCCTGCCACCTGGTAGACGCTTGATAAATATTCACTGAATGAATAAGAGTGGGAAGGAAAAGCACATAATAACCACGTGGTATGGATCAGAGACAAGAAACATTCTTATTAACAGAAAACTAATTTAGGGAGATTACTAAGAAAGTCAGGTGTGGTCATGCAAAAGATTCTACAAAATACAACTAAATGTCTGAGTCACCAAGATAGGGGCTGGGGGTCAAATAGTCTCTGACAGAGAAAGCTGACCCCCTCCCCGACTCACAGTTTACATCCAGCTGCCTTCAGAATCACAGTCCACTGAGGGCTGAGAACTCCAGAATCTACACATGCCCAGCCCCCATACATACCTTGGTCCCGGAAGATGGGTGGGAGCTAATGGGGCAAAGGGATGTCTAAGGTTTGTTTCTCTCAGCTGGGATGCTCTCAGGTAAGGCATGGTAACAGAAAATCCAGTTCAAACTGGTGTCGATAATAAAGAACATTTGGGAGTCTGAGGTGGGAGGATCACTTAATCCTAGGAGATCGAGATCAGCCTGAGAAACCAAGCAAGACCCTGTATCTTGCTTACAAAAACTACAAATTAATAATAATAAAAAAAATTAGCCAGGCGGCCGGGCACAGTGGCTCACGCCTGTAATCCCAGCACTTTGGGAGGCCAAGGCGGGCAGATCACCTGAGGTCAGGAGTTCGGGAACAGCCTGACCAACATGGAGAAAACCCATCTCTACTAAAAATACAAAATAAGCCGGGCGTGGTGGTGCATGCATGTAATCCCAGCTACTCTGGAGGCTGAGGCAGGAGAATCGCTTCAACCTGGGAGGCAAATGTTGCGATGAGCCTAGATTGCAGCACTGCACTCCAGCCTGGGCAACAAGAGCAAAACTCCGCCTCAAAAAAAAAAAAAAAAAAAGAATGGACTCAGACAAGTTGTTTCTCCTTATAGGGGTAGAAATGGCTGCAGTTTTTAAAGATTTTACATCTTTGCACTAGACTTCAATCTCACTTCAAATTACTGGGCTTCAATCTGTTTGGGTCAATGTTTGTCATAGATTCACTCCAAAGCAACCCCTGTGACCAGAGAAAAGTCAACACACAGAGGAGGGTAGAGCTGGCTTGGGCCATTCCCTGACCCAAACACTGGGCCCGGGGATGGGATTTTTCTAACTGATTTAGGACACGCCCCTGAGGCTGGAAGTGAAGCCAGTCCTACCTAAAGAGCTCCTCCATAGAGAACAGTGTGTGAATGGATGGGAGACCGACTACAGAGTCCATGACAAAGACATATCCACCCAGGGGGTCCAGGAGACCACTGTCTACTTCTATTCTGACTTAGGTCTAGTTATCCCTCTCCTCACCAGGGCCAGGCCCTGCAGAGGCTCACCAAATTTCTGTTGGGAACTTGGTGCATACCAAGCTATAGGCATAGCCTAGGGCCTTGGTCTGCACAGCGTGGAAGCCAAGTCAATCCTGGTCTCTTTTAGTGCCTCTTCAATCAGCCCCATGATGCCCCCAACTCTTCCTGTCATCCTAGGCTGACTCCCAAAATGCAAGTGAATCCGACAGTGGGCCTCTCCTACACTCTCGGGATGATGCTGCCCTCTGTGTTTCCGGCTATTACTACAGCGTCCTGAGCCTGTATCACCTGGAACCTTGGTTCATTTACAGATGGGAGCTCCCTCCACTTTCTGCTTTAACTGAAACCTGGCTGAGGACATGGCATGAGTCCTTGCTAACTTCATCAAGATAGCCTCCCTACCATGTGACAAGGAGGAAGGTGGTCCACATGCCCCGTCCTCACTGCCTCTTTCACATCACCACTGTTTTTGGGCTCCTTTCCTCGGCACTTCCCCTACATTCACTGAGGACTTTGGCCCCTGACTCACAGACTTCCCAGGAGAAATACTGCCATCATCCTGGGTGATTTAGTGTCCCTGCGGATAACACCTTCTATATCTTAATCTTAAAGTCTCTAACCCCCTTGTCTCCAATGACCTTAGCCCTTCTTACTGCTCAGGCCACGCATCCCCTTGGTCACACTCTGAGCCTTGTCATCACCTAAAAGTAATACTCTGACAAAATCCGATTATCCAAACATAGGCACCTGTTCTTACAGCTCCCCCTTCCTTATCTCATTACATCTGTGTCCCCTTAAACTTCCATCTTCTTTTTTTTTTTTATGGTGAAAAGATATATATATGTATATTTAGAATTAGGCATCTGGACTCAGTTTAGATGATCCCAATTTTGTTGACAACATCCAAAGCATCGTAATCAGGAGCCAGTCGAACATATGCCTTCTTCTCTCCATCAGGCCGAATCAGGGTGTTGACCTTGGCCACATCAATGTCATAGAGCTACTTCACAGCCTGTTTAATCTGGTGCTTGTTGGCTTTAACAACCACAATGAACACAAGTGTGTTGTTGTCTTCTATCTTCTTCATGGCAGACTCAGTGGTCAGCGGAAACTTGATGATAGCATAGTGGTCAAGCTTGTTTTTCCTGGGAGTGCTCTTCCGAGGATATTCGGGCTGTCTCCGGAGTCGCAGTGTCTTGGGCCGCCGGAAGGTGGGTGACGTGTGGATCTTTTTTTTGTGGCTGTGGACACCGTTCAACACTGCCTTCTTGGCCTTTAAAGCCTTCGCTTTGGCTTCAGCTTTAGGAGGGGCAGGAGCTTCCTTCTTCGCTTTCGGTGCCATCTTGTGAAAAGGCCTTCCATCTTCTTGACATCACGTAGTGCTGAGCAGTGTAGGGAAAGCTCCATTCCCCTGTAGACTGGCGCCAGGGTCTTCAACCCCTTGACATCTGGGTTCTCTCTCTATTACACCACTGAAGCCACTAATGTTGCCAGGGACTTCCTTGTTGCTAAACTCCAGGGACCCCTTATCTTCTTAGTCCTCTAAGTCCTTATCTTTTTAGTCCTCTTCTCTATGTTGACCACTTCTTCATTCTTGAAATCCTCTTCTCCTGCGGCCATTAAATTGCCGGTCACCCATCATTTTCTTCTAACTCCTCAAATGCGCTTTCTCCTTTTTCTTCACTAATTCCTTTTCTTCCCATTAGCCCCATAAATGTTGCTTTTCCCAGAGCTCTGTCTTGGTTTACTTCTCCTTTCATTTTACAAATTCTTGGATTATCTCACTCATACCCAGGGTTTCAACAACCACGCAAATACCAATGATGTCCAAACCTAAATTTGGGGCCTTGATTGCTCATTGGGTATTGCCACTAGCATGCCCTGCAGGGGCCTTAATTTCAGCATTTCCCAAATTGAACTTTCTATTCTCTACCCTAAACTCTGTGGGACATGACAGACTGTATGGCCGGGCACAGTGGCTCATGCCTATAACGCCAGCACTTTGGGAGGCTGAGGCGGGTGGATCACTTGAGGTCAGGAGTTCAAGACCAGCCTAGCCAACAAGGTTGAAACCCCGTCTCTACTAAAAATACAAAAATTAGCTGGGCGACATGCACCCATAATCCCAGCTACTCGGGAGGCTGAGGCAGGAGAATCGCTTGAACCCGGGAGGTGGAGGTTGCAGTGAGCTGAGATTGTGCCACTGCACTCCAGCCTGGGTGAGAGCAAGACTCAATCTCAAAAAAAAAAAAAAAAAAAAAAAAAAAGACAAAAAAAGACCAACAGATGTCACCTCCCTCCAGACAGAAAAGGAAATTTGAATAGTACTCATCATTACTAATTTAAGATGTATTAAAATGTCCCAAATATCTCTTTTATTCAGCAAGTTGATGAATATAAAAATATTTATAATCTTATTTTCTCCTTCAAGTCCTGAGTGGCTCAACTGTGAATTCTCCTCCCACAGATGATTTCAGGAGGACATGCTGTGCCTTGGCCATTGGCCCACCTTGTATTGGCCATAGACACGAATCATGGAGTAGACAGCAATTGTCTTGTAAGTGGGTGCAGTGTATTTGTTTGCATGTTTAGAAATGTATTTTGCTTTCATGCAGATATTAAGCATACTATAAGAAGAGGCTGGCCAGGTGCAGTGGCTCACACCTGTAATCCCAGCACTTTGGGAGGCCAAGGCAGGTAAATCACATGAGGTCAGGAGTTCCAGACCAGCCTGGACAACATGGTGAAACCCCGTCTCTACTAAAAATACAAAAACTAGCTGGGCGTGGTGGTGGGCGCCTGTAATCCCAGCTACTCAGGAGGCTAAGGCAGGAGAATCGCTTGAACCTGGCAGGCAGAAGTTGCAGTGAGCTGAGATCGTACCACTGCACTCCAGCCTGGGTGACAGAGCGAGACTCTGTCTCAAAAATAAATAAATAAATAAATAAATAAAATTAAAGAATTAGCCAGGTGTGGTGGCAGGTGCCTGTAATCCCAGCTACTCCGCAGGCTGAGGCACGAGAATCACTTGAACCTGGGAGGCGGAGGTTGCAGTGAGCTAAGATCGCGCCACTAAACTCCAGCCTGGGTGACAGAGCCAGACTCCATCTGAACCACAAAAAAAAAAAAAAAGAAAAAAAAAAGAGAGGCTGAGTCATGTGTAAAGCTGAAAACAGATATGAGACCCAGCGTGTCCTCTGAAGACACTCCAGGAGGGTCTTATATCACCTTTTGAACTGTGGGCTCTTACCAGGCAGTTCCAGGTCTTATGTAAATGGACTGAGAATTTTCTAGAAAGTGAGACACCAGCTCTGGTAATGGAGCTTCCAAAACTGGCTAGGGGAAAAGCAGTCCCTATTGACACAGTGCCTCCTGGGTGCCACTGTGATTGAGGGATGCAAGGTAATCTGAGGTCTCAGGATGAACAAAGTTTTGGATAACATTAATTTAACCTACTCAGTTTGTCATCTGTTTTCTTGGTGTGTGGTGCAAGAAACAAAAACCTAACCAACTACTTCAAGAAGGAAAAGCGGGGGTTGAAGCTGGTTGGAAGGATAATTGAGTGTTTCAAGTAGCAACTAAACCAGAAGAATACAAGGGAAACTCTGATTTGGGGCCTTGGTCAGATACGAATGGAACCAAGGATTCAGTTCTCTGGTTTCCTCTGCATGCTGCCTTCAGCTTTCCCCACCATTGCCTGAACTCCTCAGTGTGACTGGGTGCCATTAGCTCCCTGGCCTCATTCACATCCCACCTGCCACTGGCAGAGAGGGACTGGTCTATTCTCACTCTGCTCTGCGAAGGGACTTTGGCCTGGCTTGGCTCAGAGGGAGACCCCCAAACTATTGGTGGTTGGGCTGTGAAGAGATCTGATGAGACCTCTTGATTCAAGTCTGCCACTGGACCAATTAGCTATATGCCATGGGGACAGGGTCATATAGTACAGACCTGGTCATTGGGCACTCACCCTATGTAACAAGGACAATTTCCAGGGTAGAAGGATGTGTAAGAATATTAGAATTTGGGGCCGGGCACGGTGGCTCACGCCTGTAATCTCAGCACTTTAGGAGGCCGAGGCGGGTGGATCGTCTGAGGTCAGGAGTTCAAGACCAGCCTGGCCAACATAGTGAAAACCCGTCTCTACTAAAAAATACAAAAAATTAGCTGGTCGTGGTGGCAGGCGCCTATAATCCCAGCTACTCAGGAAGCTGAGGCAGGAGATTCGCTTGAACCCGGGAGACGGAGGTTGCAGTGAGCTAAGATCGCGCCACTGCCCTCCAGGGCAACAAGAGCGAAACTCTGTCTCAAAATAAAAAAAAAAAGAAAAGAAAAGAAAAGAAAAAGAATATTAGAATTTGGACTGCAATTAGAATATTAGAATTAGAATATGGGCAGCCACCCTAGTGGGGATTACTACATCATTGCTAAGTAATTTTTTTTTTCTTTTTTTCTTGAGACAGAATCTCACTCTATCACCCAGGCTGGAGTGCAGTGGCACGATGTTGGCTCACTGCAACCTTCACCTCCTGGATTCAAGCGATACTCCTGCCTCAGCCTTCCGAGTAGCTGGGATTGCAGGAATACGCCACCACATCCAGCTAATTTCTGTATTTTTAGTAGAAATGGGGTTTCGCCATGTTTCCCAGGCTGGTCTCAAACTCCTACACTCAAGCCATCTCCCTGCCTTGGCCTCCCAAAGTGCTGGGATTACAGGGGTGAGCCATCATGCCCAGCCGCTAAGTGTTTTTCAATTCTTTCCCACAACACAGTCAAATAGCCTTAGTACGTTGCCCATGATAATGAGGTCATGTGCCAAAACACGTAAGAACATGGCTGAGACCTCTCTCCTTGCTCTGTCAGTCCCTCAGGCCCCTGGGCTGTCCTCTGTCTCCTGGCTTCCAAGGCCTCAGCCCCTCTCCCAGGCTGCTTGCAAAAGTGTCTACCCAAACCCTCCCTCTGTGTTTGCTCCCTCTGAGTTGATCTCTTTTCTTATTATGCCCAAAGGGAGAGCCTTGAAGTCTTCTGGAAGGGAAACATCTACAGATGTAAATCTGCACGTGCTCCGTAAGAAGACTGGAGGTTGAGGAAGGGTTTCCTTCTAAGATCTGGTGCAGCCGGGAGTGGTGGCTCACGCCTGTAATCCCAGCACTTTGGGAGGCCAAGGCAGGCGGATCTCTTGAGCCCAGGAGTTCAAGATCAGCCTGGCCACTATGGCAAAACCTCATCTCTACAAAAATACTAAAATTAGCCGGGCACAGTAACTCCGGTAATCCCAGCTATTCAGGAGGCTGAGGCAGGAGAATCGCTTGAACCCAGGAGGCAGAGGTTGCAGTGAGTCAGGACCGCACCACTGCACTCCAGCCTGGGTGACCAGAGTAGAACCCTGTCTCAAAAAAAAAAAAAAAAAACCAAAAACCAAAAAACAAGCAAACAAACAAAAAAACCTAGTGCAGAAGAATAGGTGAGGGGAAGGGGCATTTGTGTTGCAGACTCCCCACGTGGGTCTGGGTCCCTCCCCGGGTGAGGGTATTTTCTGCCCCCCTAGATGTGTGAGCCAATGTGTGTGTGTGTGTGTGTGTGTGTGCGTGTGTGTATGTGGTCATGCATGAGCCTGTGTGACAGACCAACTGCATGCAACTGACAAGTGGGCAGCTGAGAGTGGGCAGTGATTGTCCCAGGCCCTTCCCACTCACTCCAGGTGCAAGCCGGGATCCAAGCCTTCTGCCTCTGGCTTGCAATTGAATTTGACATCTGCACTGGCCCTTGCTGCTCCCTAAGGTTTGAGCTCTTATTCACCTTCTGGCCACTTTGGTTAGCATCTCCTCCTCTAGTTTCAGCTTTCACATTAAACCGCAAACCCAGCCTGTGGGAAAGTCCTCCAGTCAACCTCACACCAGCAACACTCTTGGGGCTCAGCAGGAAATATGCATACTACTTCCTGTCGGGGAGGGAGCTAGATTCTTCCTGGTGCTGTCTGGACACCAAAGAGTAAGAAAGATAGAGAAGCAGCTGCTCTGCCAAAGGGGAAGAAATGCTCAGCTCCGAAGTACAGCTCTGCCCTCCACCACCAGCCTCCAGCTCTGTCTCTGCTGGGGCCACTCAGCATTCGGGAACCAAGAGATAGGAAGGGACCCAAGGGGACCTGTGGGTGGTAATGCTCAAGACTCAGGCACAAGGGCCTGGGCACAGAGGAGGCAGCACCAGGAACACTGGAGACAGGGGGATGGTGCAGGGGACATGAGGGACAGTGCCTAGATCAAGCCTGCTGAAGGAGCAGACGGCAGAGCTGGTGTTGCAGCAAGAGCAGCTGCTCTGGGCCCTTGCCAGAAGAAGATGGGGCTCCGAAGAGGACAGCATTGCAATGGTGACACAAGTCCTTCTCTTCTTTTCTTCCCAGGGTTGTTGTGACTCATTCCTTGATGGAAAAAGCCTAAGCTCTCTTATATACATTCCTTTCATTTGCTCATTCATCAATATTTTCAGCTTTGGTCTGAACAAGAATAAACAGAAATTCATATTTTTCAGAAGTTTGCTTATTGCAGAATTGAAACCCAGCAATGGAAAACATGAATCTGGCAGTGAAACTGGCTTCACTGGCAGTGAAACACACTATGCTCTTGCCACCCTAATAACCTGCACAGCTGCATTCCTCTGGGCCTTGTTCATGATGATGGATCCCGCTACCTAGGAAACCCTTCTGCCTCATCCACTTAGCAAACTCTTATCCATCTTTCAAGCCCTAGATGAGGTGTCGCCTCTCCTGCGAACAGCAATACCCAGCTCTTTATCCCGTGGATTCATTGCTTACCATTTGGTCCCCATAGTGACCTATGCTTGCCACAAAAGGACATTATTTTATTGTATATGGTTAGTTGTTTCTGCCTAATACCTCCACTACACTGTGTACAATGGAGAAGGAAGAAGGATTATCTTGTTTGTATTTGTATCTGTGTCTAGCACTAGCTAGTAACTGCTCAGCATTCAGGTACCAGGAGAAAGAAGGGGACCTGGGGTTGACATTGCCCAAGTCTCAGGCACAGAGGCCTGGGCACAGAGGAGACAGCACCAGAACACTGGGAGCAGGAGGATGGCGCAGGAGACATGAGGGTGCAAGGACTAGCACAGTGCAAGTCCTTAAAGTAAATGTTGCTGCACATGGTGGCTCACACCTGCAATCCCAGCACTTTGGGAGGCCAAGGTGGGCAGATGGCTTGAGCTCAGGACTTTGAGACCAGCCTAGACAACAATCCCGTTTCTACAAACAAACAAAAATTAGCTAAGCATGGTGACAGAAGCCTGTAGTCCCAGCTAGTTGGGAGGATGAGGTGTGAAGATGGCTTGAACCCGGGAGGTGGAGGTTGCAGTGAGCCGAGATCGTGCCACTGCACTCTAGCCTGGGCAACAGAGTGAGACTCTGTCTCAAAAAATAAAAATAAAAATTTTAAAAAAATGTTGATTGAAAAAAATGAACCAAAAAATTGAATCAGCAAAGTAAACGTAAGTGCCATTTCCCTGTATGCTCTGGTCCCTTCAGTGTCGAAGCCAGGAATCTAATTGGGAAGCATGTGGTGGAGCCAGGTCCTCTGTCTTCCCCAGCTTCAGTATTTTGCTCCATCTTTTAACGAGGAAGCTTAAGGCTGCGTGTGGTGGCTCATGCCTGTAATCCCAGCACTTTGGGAGGCCGAGGCAGGAGGATTGTTTGAGCCTAGGAGTGTGAGGCCAGCCGGGGCAACACAGCAAGACCCCATCTCTACAAAAAATTTTAAAATTAGCTAGACATAGTGGTGCATGCCTGTAGTCCTAGCTACTCTGGAGGCTGAGGCAGGAGGATAGCTTGAGCCTAGGAGTTCGAGGCTACAGTGAGCCGTGATTGTGCCACTGCACTCCAGTCTGAGTGACAGAGTGAGGCCCTATCTCCAAATAATAATAATAATAATAAAGACTGAGGAGCCTTGAAATACAACTTTTTCCCAATTTCAAATACAAATTTAAGACTCCTTATGGGTTTTTTTTTTAGATGGAGTCTCACTTTGTCACCCAGGCTGGAGTGCAGTGGTGTGATCTCGGCTCACTGCAACCTCCACCTCCTCGGTTCAAGTGATTCTCCTGCCTTTGCCTCCTGAGTAGCTGGGATTACAGGCATGCACCATCATGCCCAGCTAATTTTTGCATTTTTAGTAGAGATGGGGTTTCACCACATTGGTCAGGCTGGTCTCGAACTCCTGACCTCGTGATCCGCCCACCTTGGCCTCCCGAAGTGCTGGGATTACAGGCATGAGCCACCGTGCCTGGCCTGCCTCATGAGCTTTTATCTCCATTTTCACTCCCCAAGAATGGGTTGTTCGATACTCGTAGCAATAGTGTGTGACAAACAGGAAAAAAAACTGCACATTTTATTGTCCAAATCACCTGGCTGCATAGGTCTCTTTAATTGTTAGTGGAACTATGGGATGTCTAATCCTGTTCAATGGAAGTCAAGGTCTAGCAGTAAAATTCTTTCTGGAACTGCTGTGCCTGGTGCTTTGCACCAAGTAAGCCACTAGAAAATTAATGCTATAAGTACATATAACGAGGAAAGTGAGGCAGGCCAGGAAGAGACGCTGCGGGGTCTGCTGCTATCACATGCCATTCTTGACACAGCAGAAACCTCAACCAAGGAATGAACCTGGAGACCCTCAGATCTTTGCAATCCTCAGTCATGCTGTTAGGGAAGGAGAATCAGAGTGACATCATTTTAAAATCAATTCCATCTTTTTTTTTTTTTTTAATTGAGACAGAGTCTCACTCTGTCACCCAGAGTACAGTGGCACAATCTGGAGTGCAGTGGCACGATCTCAGCTCACTGTAACCTCTGCCTCCCGGGTTCAAGCGATTCTCCTGCCTCCTGAGTAGCTGGGATTACAGGCATATGCCACCATGCCTGGCTAATTTTTGTAGTTTTAGTAGCAATGAGGTTTCACCATGTTGGCCAGTCTGGTCTTGAACCCCTGACCTCAGGTGATCCACCCACCTTGGCCTTCCAAAATGCTGGGATTACAGGCGTGAGCCACCGTGCCTGGCCTAAACTCCATCTTAAAACTAGCCAAGGCACATTCCTTGCCACTCACGACCCATGATCACAAGCTGTTTACAGTTGAGGAAACAGCTTAAAGATACCTGCAACGACATACTCCTACAACAACTAGAAGTCCAGATGTCTCAATACCCATAACAATATATGCTTTCAAGATAATTATAATGGCCAGATGCAGTGGCTCATGCCTGTAATCCCAGCATTTTGGGAGGCCAAGGCGGGAGCATTCCTTGAGCCCAAGAGTTTGAGACTAGCCTGGGCAACATAGCGAGACCCCATCTACGAAAGTAAACAAAAATTAGCCAGGCATGGTGGTGTGCACCTGTGGTCCCAGCTACTCAGGAGGCTGAGGTGGGAGGATCACTTGAGCCCAGGAGGTGAAGGTTGCAGCGAGCTGAGATTGTGCCACTGCATTCCCAGGCTGGGTGAGAGAATGAGACCCTGTCCCCCAAAAAAAAAAAAAAAAAAAAAAACCCAAAATATAATTATAGTTATACTTTGAGGTACTTACACACTAGAATGTCAAGGACAGCTTTCTTTAAATCAACAGAATAATAAATTTTGTGATGCTGCAACCTACTCTCATGTAGACACATCTTAGCCTAGCTTTTATGTAGACAAGACCTCTATATAAGAAAAACTTAAAGATGAGGTGTTCCTCCTCTTGCCTTCTGAGGATGTTCTAGTCTGTAACAGTAGCTTTCTTTTTCTTTTGAGATGGAGGCTCGCTCTGTCACCAGGCTGGAGTACAGTGGCACAATCTCAGCTCACTTCAACCTCTGCCTCCTGGGTTCAACCAATTCTCCTGTCTCAGCCTCCCAAGTAGCTGGGACTATAGGCGCATGCCACCACGCCCGGCTAATTTTTGTATTTTTTAGTAGAAACAGGGTTTCACCATATTGGTCAGGCTGGTCTCGAACTTCTGACCTCAGATGATCCACCTGCCTCAGCCTCCCAAAGTGCTGGGATCACAGGCATGAGCCACCGCTCCCAGCCGACAGTAGCTTTCAATAAACTATCTCTTCTCACTGCACTCTGTGAACTCACTTTGAATTCCTTCCTACACAAGATCTAAGAACCCTCTCTTGGGGTCTGGATCAAGACCCATTTTTCTGGCAACAATACAGTATCTAGATGATTTAACTCATGGCTACAAGTTTAGAAAAATATGTTGCATTAGGCAAGCTCTTTTCATTTCAAGCAACTGACTCACCTTAAAATAGCTTAAGCCAAAAGAGGAATATGTATAGGCTCATAGAACCCAACCAAGATTGGCTTCAGGGACTCCGATGTTCTCAGATCTTGCCCTCCTCATTTCTCAATTCTGCTTCTGTGTTGGTTCATTCACTTCACCTGCAAATCAGCTTTTGCTATGCAGCTTGGCCTCCTTATCTTTGCCAGCAACGGGAGCATCTGCAAGGTTCCAGGAGAAACTCCATTTGGTCCAGCCCAGATCATATAGGTGCCCCTGTATTCAAGGGAGTGGTGCCCATTATTAGAAATTTGTGGGGGCAGTAGAGGATGATTATTGGACAAATCTTTGCAAGCCAGGTGACTTGCTCAATTTCTATTGACTGCATATGTTAATAACTTTTTGTTTGTTTGTTTGTTTGTGTCTGTGTGTGTGAGAGACAGGGTATTGCTCTGACATCCAGGCTGGAGTGCAGATCTTGGCTCACTGCAACTGCCGCCTCCTGGGCTCAGGTGATCCTCCCAACCTCAGCCTCCCAAGTAGCTGAGACTACAGGTGCATGCCATCACGCCTGGCTAATTTTTGTATTTTTAGTAGAGATGGGGGTTTCACTATGTTGCCCAAGCTAGTCTTGAACTCTTGAGCTCGAGTTTTTTTTTGAGATGGAGTTTCGCTCTTATTGTCCAGGCTGGAGTGCAATGGCATCATCTCAGCTCACTGCAACCTCCACCTCCAGGGTTCAAGCGATTCTCCTGCCTCAGTCTCCACAGTAGCTGGGATTACAGGCATGCACCACCATGCCCAGCTAATTTTGTATTTTGAGTAGAGACGGGGGTTTCTCCATGTTGGTCAGGCTGGTCTCAAACTCCCGACCTCAGGTGATCCGCTCACCTTGGCCTCCCAGAGTGCTGGGATTACAGGCGTAAGCCACGGCGCCCGGCCCCGGCCTCAAATATTTTTTAAAAGGAAAAAAGAGTGGGAAAGCTTCAGTAATCCCACCAGTCACGTAAATGACAGCTGTTGTTGGCCTTCATTCTTTTAATGCTTTAACAACAATCCCATGTGTACAATTTTGTTTGCTGTTTTTTTTCTTACTTTATTATAACACATAAATTTCTCTAATCATAAAAACTTCTTGAAACGCTGCTTTAAATATCTATATAGTATACTCTAAAGACTCACCCAGGCTGGAGTGCAGTGGCATATTCTCAGCTCACCGAAACCTACAGCTCCCAGGTTCAGGTGATTCTTCTGTCTCAGCCTCCCAAGTAGCTGGAATTACAGCACCTGCCACCACACCTGGCTAATTTTTGTATTTTTAGTAGAGGCGGGATTTCACCATGTTGGCCAGGCTGGCCTTGAACTCCTGACCTCAAATGATCCACCCATCTCGGCCTCCCAAAGTGCTGGGATTACAGGCGTGAGCCACCGCTCCTGGCCCTCTGAAGACTTTTAGCCACTTCATCCAGAAGGAAAGAAGGCAGCAGCAGCAGAGTGAGGAGGCATTCCTTCTATACATGTGCCTCTGTCCTCAGTCCCCTGAGGCACTTTCAGTTCCTGGGACACAATTCCAACTTCAGAGGAGAGAGCATTAAACTGGAATTCCCCTCCCCATTTCCTGCACTTCCCAAAACTTGTCTCATTCACACTTATTCTTCCTCCGCTCCAAACTCAGAGAACTTGCTACAAATTTGGCTAGTGGTTCAGCCAAACACTTTAGGTTTGAATCCTGATGCTGTAGCTTCGTATCCTGATGCTGTAGCTTTGTAATTGGGGAAACATTTTACCTCTCTTAAAAACCATTTGAAAAATGGGGATTTTGTCACAGAGTTCTTATGAGGATTAAATGTCATTATGTATGTAAAACACTTAGCACGTAGATGATAAATAATACCAAAATCAGCAAAACCCAGGCCAGGTGCAGTGGCTCGCACCTGTAATCCTAGCACTTTGGGAGGCCTAGTCGGGCAGATCACTTGAGCCCAGGAGTTTGAGACCAGCCTGGGCAACATGGCAAAACCCTGGCTCTACCAAAAATACACAAATTAGCCAGGAGTGGTAGTGCACACTTGTGTCGCCAGCTACTTGAAAGACTGAGGCAGGAAGATCATTTGAGCCTGGGAGGTCGAGCCTGTGGTGAGCCAAAATTGGGCCACTGTACTCCAGTCTGGGCTACAAAGTGAGACCCTATCTCAGCAAAACAAAACAAAACAAAACACCCCAGCAAAACCCAAAGAAGATTCCCCTCTAATTATAGCTCTCTCCTCCCTTCCCCTTCTCTTTCAGCCATGCTTCTTGCAAATGATCTGTGCTTGCTATCTCTATTTCCTCATCTCCCATTTACATCTCAACCCATTGTAATCTGGCTGTTTCCCCTGTACTGACACCGCTCACCAAATATCTTCTAATGAACTCTAGATACCTTCACAGAGCTTTGAGTCATTGTTCAATCTTTTCTGTATTAGTCACAGTTAATCAATTTCTCCTTCAAAATTCTCTTATTCTCTGTCAGATTCCATCCAGTTTTCCTAATTCTCAGCCTGCACCTTCTTACTCTCCTTTGCTGCCTGAACACTGTCTTTTAACTCAGGGGTTCTCAACCCCTGAATTAATGGCAAAACCCCCATGGTACCAGTTCGTGCCCTGTTAGGAACCGGGCCGCACAGCGGGAGGTGAGCAGCGGGCAAGCCAGAGAAGCTTCATCTGTATTTACAGCTGCTCCCGATTGCTTGCATTATCACCTGAGCTCCACCTCCCATCAGATCAGCCGTGGCATTAGATTCTCCTAGGAGCACGAACTCTACTGTGAACTGCACAAGCGAGGGCTCTAGGTTGCATGCTTCTTGTAAAAACCTAATCCGTGATGATGTGTCACTGTCTCTCATCACCCCAAGACAGGACCATCTAGTTGCAGGAAAACAAGGTCAGGGCTCCCACTGACTTACATTATGGTGAGTTGTATAATTATTTCATTACATATTATAATGTAATAATAATAGAAATAAAGTGCACAATAAATGTAATGTGCTTGAATCACCTTGAAACCATTCCCCTGCAACACCCCAACCCCAGTGAAAAAATTACCTTCCACAAAACCGGTCCCTGGTGCCCAAAAGATTGGAGATCGCCTCTTTAATTAGTATTTGTCTTCAACCTTCATATGTCTAGAAAAAGCATGATTCTTTGCTATGAGATCTGAGTTGGAATTCTGACTCTGCTACCTACTAAATTGATTTCCTAAATTATTTTACTCCCTTGAGCCTTCATACTCTCACCTGCAAAAAAGTTCCTCCTCTCCTGGATAATCATCCTAAATTGAATTGTATACCAAACCTATATTTCCAAGCTGGGTGCGGTGGCTCACACCTGTAATCCCAGCACTTTGGGAGGCTGAGGTGGGCAGATCACAAGGTCAGGAGTTCCAGACAAGCCTGGCCAACATAGTGAAACCTTGTCTCTACTAAAAATACAAAAATCAGCCGGGCATGGTGGCGGGTGCCTGTAGTCCCAGCTACTTGGGAGGCTGAGGCAGGAGAATTGCTTGAACCCAGCAGGTGGAGGTTGTGGTGAGCCAAGATTGCGCCACTGCACTGGAGCCTGGGCAACAGATCAAGACCCCGTCTCAAAAACAAAAAAACAAAATCAAGCAAAAAAACCCTGTATTTCCCATTGGCATAATGAATTAGTAAGCATAAATTGGAATTCCAGGCCTGGAAACCTATTTCATGCCACAACTATGTCAAAAATCAGAACAAGTATATGCTCTTCAAAATGTTTATTAACCATATAAAACTAAACAATGTGAACTGTGATGTAAATGTTCCTTTGAGGTATTTTTCTTCATGGGCTGGACTGGCCGAAGTTTCTTTGACTCTTAGTTTAATGAAGTTTGGACACAACATGCCATCTTTTCCTGGTGAATCTTCCTAGGGCATACATAGATATTTTTCCTTACTCCAGAGACCTTTGAATTTGCACTGAAAATTAGGGTCATCTGCCACAAAGGAAAAAAAAAGTTCAGTAATGTTCAGATGAATGCCTCTCAAAAGTTTTTGAATGCTAAATGTTGGGAGAGGGACAGTTGCAATGACGTCTTATTCTTCCATTTTTATAAAAATCTACTTTGCTGAGCTTCCGAGAAATGTCTAGCAATATTATCAGTTTGCAAGAGAAATTTCTAGATTCACTTACTCTGCAGTGTCTCTCAGTTTCAGTGATGCTTTTTACAGTTATACAAATACCTTCAAAAATACTGAATGAGGCAGTTGCCTCCAGATTCCTAGTTCCAGGCTTCACTTAAGATTTACATAATATCCAAAACACTTCCAAAATTCTTTTTTGATCTATCCTCCTTGTTGATTGCTTTAATTGGCCTTTGCAAATTTCACAAATAAAGATACCTTAAGAAAGCAACAAATTCTGTAGCAAGCCGACTCAGAAAAAAAAATGCAACAATTTATTTGCTCTGTTGGTCAAAAGTCAGTGAGATGCTTTGTAAAGATGAATTGGGGAAGAAGGAAAATTACTCTATTGTCAGGATGCTGCTGCTTAAGAACTGGGAGACAGCCTGGAGCATCCCAGGACAGTTGGCATTAAACCTAGCTCTTATGAACTTTTAAAAAAATGCCATAGTTTTTTTGTTTGTTTGTTTTTTGTTTTTTATTGAGACAGAGTTTCACTCGAGTTGCCCAGGCTGGAGTACAATGGCACGATCTCGGCTCACTGCAACCTCCCCCTCACGGGTTCAAGCAATTCTCCTGCCTCAGCCTCCCGAGTAGCTGGGATTACAGGCATGGGCCACCATGCCCAGCTAGTTTTGTATTTTTAGTAGAGACGGGGTTTCTCCATGTTGGTCAGGCTGGTCTCAAACTCCTGAACTCAGGTGATCCGCCCGCCTCGGCCTCCCAAAGTGCTGGGATTACAGGTGTGAGCCACCGTGCCCGGATTTTTTTTTTTTTTTTTTTTTTGAGAAGGAGTCTCGCTCTGTTGCCCAGGCTGGAGTGCGGTGGTGTGTTCTCAGCTCACTGCAACATCCACCTCCCGAGTTCAAGCAATTCTCTGCCTCAGCCTCCCAAGTAGCTGGAATTACAGGTATGCACCACCACGCCTGGCTAATTTTCATAGTTTTAGTAGAGATGGGGTTTTGCCATCTTGGCCAGGCTAGTCTTGAACTCCTGACCTCGTGATCCGCCCACCTTAGCCTCCCAAAGTGCTGGGATTACAGGCTCGAGCCACCGCGCCTGGCCTCAAAAAAATGCCATAGTTTCTTGACTTCCGGAACAAAGCGGAGTGAAAATCAAAGCTTGATAATGGACTCTTCAAAATACATTAGTTCATTAATTAAAGCCTACTGCTCTTGTATTCTTGGCAGGATAAAGTTAAGGCAAAAGTTTCAATTTGCAGTCAATCACAATATGTAATACCTCCTACCCAACCGCATAGTCAACATTTAAAATTTTTCTACCTTACCAAAGTCAGCTTTCCAAAAAAGAAAACTTTTATCGATGGCGAATACCTGTCTCAAATAGTAACATACCCCTGCATTTTAGTTAAGTTTTCTGGAAAAATCTTCAATGCTTCAATCTTACCAACAAACAGAAACTGTTCAAAGTTTCAAACTGTTCAAAGAAAATCCCTATCCTCTTATTTTCTATCCACAGCAAGGTCCTAGTTCAGGCCCTCCTTTCTTGTACGGTGATTATTATACAATAATCTTGAAACTAGTCTGAACATAATTCCCTGGATCTATTCTCCAATCTACCACCAGTATCTTCATAAGGTACATATAGTCTTTTGAACCTTCATTCTACCTTGCACAATCCCTCCAGCATTAGCATTTATTACATTTTATTGTCATTATATATTTACAAAAGTCTCCTCTATTTTATCCTGATTTCCTAGTGGGCAAAACCAAATTCTTACTGGTCTTTGGTCTACTACATAGTCAGCACATAGCACTCAACAAAAGTACCTTTAGTTAAATGAGTCTAACTCTCCTATCAGCTTTTAGATGGCCTAAGAATTCCCTCTTCAAACACCAGATATCAGTTTTCCTTCTTAATCCAATATTCTTATGTGAAAATTTTACTGCAAATATTGATGAAAAACACCTGAGTGTGTCTTTGAAGCTAGTGCACTGGAAAAATGCACCTTAGTGACTTAAAATGATCATAAATTAACACCATTATATATATATATATATACATACATACTTTTTTTTTTTTTTTAAGAGACAGGCTCTTACTCTGTAACCCAGGCTGGAATGCAATGGCGGCATCGTAGGTTACTGGGATTATCGGTGCAAGCCACAGCACCCAGCCCAATTATTGTGATCTTTTTATAGCTTTGTCATCAGTAGCTACTAAAAGGTGTGAGTTGCATGCTCCAGTTCCTATGGCTTTTTAGGTTTTATCACCCATACTCACCGGCTTTTATATCTAATTCTCCTGTCTGCACCAATTCATCTCACACCTCTAAATTTTAAGATACCATAGACTAGAAAGCTAATATAATCAAGTTTGTTAGAAATATTTATGGCAGAGGTTGGACATGATTACACACACTCATAGTCCCAGTTACTCCAGAGGCAAGAGGATCTCTTGGGCTCAGGGGCTCAAGACCAGCCTAAGCAACAATGAGACTCCATCTCTGGTTCTAATCAACATCAGAAAACGATGCCATAGAAATAACATTATCACTTCAATTTGCACTCAATTCTTTTTTGTTTTTTGTAGAGATAGGGTCTCACTGTGTTGCCCAGGTTGGTCTCAAACTCCTGGCCCCAAGCAATCCTCCTGCCTTGGCCTCCCAAAGTGGTGGGGATTACAGGCGTGAGCCAAGACGCCTGGCCTCAAATCTTAAAACCCAGCCTAGTTTAGTGAGAATTAAAATCCTCCCCACTTTAAGGGCCAGGCGCCTGTAATCCCAGCACTTTGGGAGGCCAAGGCAGGCAGATCACCTGAGGTCAGGAGTTCGAGACCAGCCTGGCCAACTTAGTGAAACCCCGTCTCTACTAAAAATACAAAAAATTAGCTGGGTGTGGTGGTGCATGCCTGCAGTCCCAGCTACACAGGAGGCTGAGGCAGGAGAATCGCTTGATCCCAGGGGGCGGAGGTTGCATTGAGCCGAGATCGCGCCACTGTACTCCAGCCTGGGTAACAGAGCAAGACTCCATCTTAAAAACAAAAACAAAACCTCCCCACTTTAAAGTTTTCTGTGACTCAGTACAAATCAGAAAGTTATGAATCATATTATATTCACTTAATAATTTGAAGATATTTTAAATTACATCATGCTACATTTCTAGCAAGTCACATGCATAACATGCAATGTGATATTCATATTCAATCAAAATGTGCCCTCTGCTTTTATAATAGTACATTATACACACTATACATTTTATAGTATAGCAATAATAGAGATAAAATATTAGAAAACAGGCATCACAAGGATTTAGACAATTAAGGTAAGCTCAGAGTGACTTTTAATATGCCAATCAATGTTAATAAAACACAAGTCAAAGACAAGTGCAAACATGTTTTAGACCAAAATTAATGAGAAAACAAACAGACAATTTTTTTCAACATCTGTTAGCCAGTATTATTAGTCAAATGGCTAATCACAGATAAAATATATTTTGTGAAAAACTTGGAATGTCAGAAGTCATTCTGGCATTTCAAACAGCTATGTACAGTATCACGAAGATCGGTTTATATACACAAATATTGAAGAGAAAAACCGGGCAAAACATTTAAAAACAGACTAATAATACAATCAAGTATAAAACTTAGGGGGAGACATTTAAAAAGAGTCCGGGAAGGACATTACCAGAACAAGTTACAAAACCAGTAATTATTATACTACATTAATACAGCATTCCAAAGGAGGGAAAGGGTGCATTTTTCCAATGCACTAGCTTCAAAGTTCAAAGGAAAAAAAAAAAAAGGCAAATAGCTGCTTTTCATCAAAAGCAGCTATACATTTCACATAATTGTTTCAAAAAGAAGACCTATTAACAACAATGATTGTTTAATGCTACAAGTTTACAGCAAAGACAAAACTAAAATAGCAGCAAATTCACAAGGCAATACCTCCACAGAATCATCATCCCATGGTTCATGCAATGCCTACAAAGTGCTCCCAGTGGGATATACAAGTCTAATTCACAATTAAAAAAAAAAGAAATATAAGATGGACACACAGGTACATTGAAGGCTGAGTAGTAATGAGTCTTTTAGCATGTCCCTTTTCAAAGGGAGGGTATGTCTGTAATAAAGCCCTTGAGTACTTTTTACAGGTCACTACAGGGAAAGACACCTTTTATTACAATGCAACAGCAAACTATAAGCAGCACACCACCACAGTGGTTAACCCTGGAAAGGCTGGTGTAACATCCAACAGTGACACATCCTACAGAAGACAGACTGGTAAGATTAGATGAAAGCCTGACATAGCAATCATCAAAATACAGCTTTCAACTGTAATTCACAATAAAAGTCCTAATCAGTAAAACTACTGACACCAATCGAGAAAGTAATTGCAAACTGGATTCTATCAGTGATTTCAACCTAGCTTCCTCTTGTCACAGTGTTCAGGGGGAGGTGGGAAAGGAGTAGCTCAGTATATAGTAAGGCTGACAGAGCGGTTCATTTTCTTTCCAATAAGTCGAGATGTTCTATTACTCTGGGTGGTGGACCTAGTGGCCATCCGGTCAGTGAAGAGTGCTCTTTCCTCAGCTGCAGCTTTTGCCATCTGTGCTTTCTTGAGTTCTCTGACATAAAAATAGAAAACAAGGTATTATTCCTAGGAAGAGATTCTAAGAAACTAACACAAACTATATTGTCGATTGGGAGATATTTGCATGCCATCATTATTCTAAGATGTAATTGAAAAATAAAACAGGAAACTGAAGCTTCTATTAAAACAACTTAAATTTATGAAATTATTTTATTTTATGCTTTTTGAATTACAGTATCACACATACTTGAAAACAAGTAGTAAAGATGCTAGTAATGACTTTGGTTCTTATAAAATAATTTGAGCTGGATGTGGTGACTCACACCTGTAGTCTCAGCTACTCGGGAAGCTGAGGCTGGAGGATCGCTTGGGCCCAGGAGTTTGAGGCTGCAGTGAGCTATGATAGTGCCACTGCACTCCAGCCTGGGTGACAGAGCAAGACCCCATCTTTTTAAATAAATAATAATAAACAATTTCCAGACAAACCTATCCCCAATAAAAAAAAAATTAAAAATAAATAATAATTTCAAAAACTCCAATTTATATTGCGAATCTATCCTTACATAAGAGAGATGAAAGGAACACTTTATTTCCTATTTGTATGAACTATGATGGATATCAAACTAGTGGCAAGTAAACCTCTTAATATACAATTCTTATAATTTAAATATTAAATGTTAATATTAATTGTTAACATAACCTTTTCAAGTCAGTTTTATTAGGTTAAAAGCAAAATGGCTGCAATAAATCAAAAGAATTAGAAATGTGATCTGTGGTAACTTAATATTCTCCAATATTCTCTTTTTAATAACCTTTACCATTGCAACCAGCTTTTTGAAAATATCAAGTCATTAAGTCCAATATGAGAATCTTCATTCAGTATATAAAGATTTAGCCAGAAATTAAAAACATATATATGAGAATCATCTCCTAACCAAATTGACATTAATTTCATCCTTTCATAAAATAAGAACAGAATGTTTCAAGGACAACGTTAACTTTTGGTGAGAGTCTGGGAAGAAAAGATTGGTATAGGCTCGCTTAGCTTTTACTACCATTTATGGCTTGGGGACTATCACCACTTGCAAATATATGTTAGTCTCAACATTTTTAAAGTTCGTAATTTGAAAGTTTAGAAACAACACAAATTTAATAGGCCAAATACTAATTCATGGCAGAAGTCCCCAAGCTTTCACCGTATAACAACATATCGAACTACTGGAGCCGGGTGAGGTGGCTCACTCCTATAATCCCAGCACTTTGGGAGGCCAAGACAGGTGGATGGTTTGAGCCCAGGAGTTCAAGACCAGCCTGGGCAACATGGCAAAAACCCCATCTCTACAAAAAATATAAAAATTAGCTGGGTGTTGTGGCATGCATCTGTGGCTCAGCTACTCAGGAGGCTGACACGGGAGGATAGCTTGAGCCCAGGAGGTGGAGGTTGCAATGAGTCATGATAGCACCAGTGCACTCCAGCCTGATGACAGTGAGACCCTGTCTCAAAAAACAAAAAACACAAAAAACCACTACATCCTTTGTTGACAGAAAGCTTAAATCATCTCTCATTAAAATTTGAGAATTAAAGTGAATGAAAAAGCAAAAAGAAAACATAAAACCCTCACTTACTTTTGTAAAAGTGAATTTTTGAACTTTTCGGCATTCAATTCTATTCGTAATTGTTCTGCACTCTTTCTAGAAGCGGACAGCAATACTGAATGCTTTACCAGTGCCATTGCTGAAGGTCTTCTCTCTGGATCTGGATGAATCATAACCTTAAAAAGAAAAGTAAAATGAAGGTAAAGACATGCATTTAATAAAATATAGAACCATGTCAATAAAGGGCTTCATATATAAAATGCTCACTTTTAGCAACTCTGTAAATTCTTGGGAAAGCACTTGTGGTATCCGAGGTAATCTACCCTGTCTGATTTCATGCCATTGATCTCCATTTCTCGGAAGAGGTTCAGCACCAGCAGCACATACCACTGTGAGGGCAAGCGCAAAAATATCTGCTTTTGGTAGATGGGTATAATTCTGTAAAATTAAAACAATTTTTTAAAGGAATGTAAACATGGTCAAAATAAAACAAGATTACACCTCAAAGATGACTTAGGTGAAAAATAGGACTTAATCAAAGTGTCTAATACCACATTTAAGTTTGGGACCTATTCAGAGAATAAACTGCTAAATTTGAGGATGTTTATTTTTTAAATTACAAAGTAATACACACTCTTGGGGGAAAAATGCAAACACATAGATAAGAGTAAATGCCTCTTCTTTATCAACAGCCCAATTCAACTCTCAAAAGAAATCCCTCTACCTCTAGGCATTCATATGCAAACACAAAACACGTAGAAACACACTGACAAGTTACAAATACACATATACGTGATAAAGCAAACATATATATACACATATTTACAAAGAGCAATGGGATCAGACAATTACACTTTATATTTTTCTACTTATTCTATTTTCATTCAAAATTTTTATCAAGAAATACTGTCACACTCTTTTGAAACTATAGGCCATACTAATAACTATGTGCCATAATTTACTTAATCATTCTCTTATTAGTAAACACTTATTTACACTGTTCTCAACTTGTATTTGTATATGAATAGTTCTATAGGAAAAACTCCTAGAAGTGAAAATTATGAGTCAATGGGTACATGATTTTTAAATATTAATGCAATACTAATACTCTGATCTCCAAAAAGGATATGCCATTATAAAGTTCCACCAGTGGTGTATGAGAACATATTTTTTACGACAACTCCATTATAAATCTTTGCCTTCATGACTTTTTGCTTATTAAATGCCCTCAGATGACGGTTTAGATTTTATTTCCATTCTATTAGTTAACTTCAAAGTTTAATATATCTGAATTTATATTCTTCTATCAACTGCTAAGTGTTACAAAGCAAACTATGATTAAGGGAGAAGAAAAATTACCTCCTGTAAAACTTCATTTGCAAGAAAACGACTATCGCCCTCTTCAACTTGTGGACTGGAGATCCTTGTTACATGCCCAAGATCACCTAGAAGTATTGAAAAACTTACAGTGAAGAGCAAAAACAAAACAGCCTTCTCTTTATCTGAAGGTAATAATCTGATTACCTTTCTTACCTATTTTAAACATAACTTTGTTGGATGCCCAATCATCTTCGTCTCCTTCTTCAGAGGCAGCATTTGGGATTGAGGTTCGAGATATGAAAATATTACCTGTCAAACAGTTAATTATGTAAGCCAAACTAATAATAATAAAACCAGAGTTCATAAACAAGATCATATACCAGAATCATCCATAATGCTTTTTAAAATGCCGATTCTCAAGTTCTAGCCCAAACCCATGGAATAAGCATCTCAGGGGACAGAAACCAGGGTTATAGTTGCTGGGAATTTTTTTTGTTTTTTTTTGAGACAGTGTGCTCTGTCACCCAAGCTGGAGTGCAGTGGCATGATCTTGGCTCACTGCAACAAGGTTCAAGCAATTCTCATGCTTCATTCAACCTCCTGAGTAGCTGGGACTACAGGCACATGCCACATCTAGCTAACTTTTATATTTTTAGTAGAGACGGGGTTTCACTATGTTGGCCAGGCTGATCAAACTCCTGGCCTCAAGTGATCCTCCAGCTTCAGCCTCCCAAAGTGCTGGGATTACAGGCATGAGCCACCACTCTGGGCCTCTGGGAATATATTTTCCAGCCTAGCACTGATCCTAAACACTTTAAACTGGATGAGGCCCTTGTCTTCTAGCACATTACCCTTCAGCAAAAAAGGTAGTATCAGTAATTTGTGAAATTCTGTGAAAGCACAAGTTTTAATGTAGCGCTATAAGGCTGGTGTGAGCAGAATGAGTCATTTAGCCAGTGAGTCTGGCTGACCATATAGCATCTACCTTGCAATATGGCTTTGTGATTCACTATTTCCTATTGTATACACATTACCTTTTTTCTTCAAATTCAGGTAAGATCATAATTAACATGAGCTTTTAGTGGCAGATTCTATTTTAATAGTTTTATCAGTATAGTATTGGCCAGGTATGGTGGCTCAAGCCTGTAATCCCAGTGCTTTGAAAGGCTGAGGTAGGAGGATTACCTAAGACTTGGAATTCGAGACCAGCCTGGGCAAGATAGTGAGACCCTGTCTCTACAAAAAGAAAAAGAAAAAAATTAAAATAGCTGGGAATGGTGGTGCATGCCTGTAGTCCCAGCTACTTGTGAGTCTGAGGCAGGAGGTTCATTTGAGCCCAGGAATTCAAAGCTGCAGTGAGCTATAATTGCACCACTGCATTCTAGCCTGGGCAACAGAGTGAGACTATCTCTAAAAAATAAGGCCGGGAGTGGTGGCTCACACCTGTAATCCCAGCACTTTGGGAGGCCAAGGTGGGCGGATCACTTGAGGTCAGAAGTTCAAGACCAGCATGGCCAGCATGACAAAACCCCATCTCTACTAAAAATACAAAAATTAACTAGGCATGGTGGTGCACGCCTGTAATACCAGCCACTAGGGAGGCTGAGGCAGGAGAATCGCTTGAACCCAGGAGGCAGAGGTTGCAGTGAGCCGAGATCGCACTACTGCACTCCAGCCTGGGCAACAGAGCAAGACCCTGTCTCAAAAGAAAAAAAAAAGTATATATATATATATATATATATATATATATATATATATATATATGTGTGTGTGTGTGTGTGTGTGTGTGTGTGTGTGTGTGTGTGCGCGCGCGTGCACGCACACACACGCACAAATATTTAGTATTAAATTTATGTTACATTTACTGGAGTCATCTATACGTTTTACTTTCTTTATAGGACAACTTATTTTGTGATGGTATTTGTAAATTGGAAGGTTTTTTTTTTTTTTTTTTGAGACAGTCTCGCTCTGTCGCCCAGGCTGGAGTGCAGTGGTGCGATCTCAGCTCACTTCAACTTCCTCCTCCCGGGTTCAAGCAATTCTCCTGCCTCAGCCTCCAGAGTAGCTGGGACTACAGGTGCCTGCCACCACACCCAGCTAATTTTTTGTATTTTAGTAGAGACGAGGTTTCACCGTGTTGTCCAGGCTGGTGGTGAACTCCCAAGCTTAGGCAATCCACCCGCCTCAGCCTCCCAAAGTGCTGGGATTACAGGCGTGAGGCACCACGCCCGGCGAATTTTTTTTTTCTTTTTTTGAGACGGAGTCTCACTTTGTTGCCTAGGATGGAGTGCAATGGTGCAATCTCGGCTCACTGCAACCTCCGCCTCCCGGGTTCAAGCAATTCTTCTGCCTCAGCCTCCCGAGTAACTAGGACTATAGGTGCGCACCACTACACCTGGCTAATTTTTGTAATTTTAGTAGAGACGGGGTTTCATCATATTGGCCAGGCTGGTCTCGAACTCCTGCCTCGTGATCTGCCTGCCTTGGCCTGCCAGAGTGCTGGGATTACAGGCGTCAGCCACTGCACCTGGTCTAAATTTGAAGATTTTTAAACTTCACATCCCTTAATATTTTCAACTTTTATACCTTATAAGGGTCTATTATATTTGTCTAACACTTTATATGAGTACAGCTATTCCTTAAGAATTCACATTTACTGCCTTAAATCCAAATATATTTTTGTCTTTTGAAAATAAAAAACATGCTGGGCACGGTGGCTTACGCCTGTAATCTCAGCACTTTGGGAGGCCATGGTGGGCAGATCACAAGGTCAATAGTTCAAGACCAGCTTAGCCAACATGGTGAAACCCGTCTCTACTAAAAATACAAAAAATTAGCCGGGCATGGTGGTGTATGCCTGTAATCCCAGCTACTCGGGAGGCGGAGGCAGGAGAATCGCTTGAACGTGGGAGGCAGAGGTTACAGAGAGCTGAGACTGTGCCACTGCACTCCAGCCTGGGCAACAGAGCGAGACTCCATCTCAAAAAAAGAAAAAAAGAAAGAAGAAACTTTAGTGACTTGTTAACATACGCATATGAAATTCTAGCATATAACTCATAAAGTTGTACAAAATGACTGAAATTCTCACAAATCAACAGGTTTCCAAAGATTAATAAAACCTCACTAAATTCATCTAGCCTAAGATGCTTAACTTGAATCCATAATCCTTAGTTATAACTTCCAATTTATAGGAAATATAGGAGAAAAAGGAACAAGCTAAATGATACAAGAAGCAACTAGTCAAATCCAGAAAAAGGGATAGCTTGCAAGATAAGTGTATATTATTTTTACAAAGCAGAGGATGGGTTCTGAAAAAGAAAAACTGATATAACCAGATGCAATGCATGATCCTTAAGTAGATACTAATTTGAACAAATCAACTATTAAGGACTTGAGTCAACTGGGGAAATTTTAATATGGTCTGGCCTAGTGGAAGAGTGGGGCTTTAAACACAGATTTTTAGTGCCCTCATTAGTATCCCACCTGTAGTTCCTGTAAGATGCAGCAAAAATTTCTGGCTTTTAATAAAAATGAATTTATCTGGGCATGGTGGCACATGCCTATAGTCCCGGCTACTCGGAAGACTGAGGTGGGATGACTGCTTGAGCACGGGATGGGGAAGTTGCAGTGAGCGGAGATGGTGCCACTGCATTCCGGCCTGGGCCACAGAATGAGACACTGTCTCAAAAAAGTTTATCTCAAATTTTGGGGATTAACAAGGGAAGAGATGAATAGAAATCATAAAACAATATTGGTAAGTGGATCTAAGGCCTTTTAAAACTAACAATGAGAAAACAGAAGATATATATTTTTTCAATGTTGTCATAATGAAGTAATTTATTCTCTATAACCCCAAAGAACACAGGTCAGAAGATCTGCAATACTTACTAGGTTTTATATCCATGTGAACCAAAGACATTGAATGAATATACCTCAAGCCTCGGCCAACTTGCAAAAGGAGATCCTTCAACTCTGCTTCTTTAAAGTAACTCATGATTCTGTAGTTTTCACTTATAGCATCAGCTAAACTTCCACCTAACAAAGATAGAAAATATTAGCATTTTCTTCTTTCTGAAATATTTTCTTTCTTCCATCTTTACCAAATGAGTCTCAACCAACCAATCTCAACCAAGAAAGTGTTATTTTATAGGACCTTCTCCCTTCAACCTGCTTGTGAAATCAAAATTTTATTGTTTTTTCAATAGGTAATACATTTGCATGGGTACAAAATAAAATGTAAAGTCTCTCTCTCAATCATACACCTCAGCAATCCACCTGTTTCTTTCTCAGAGTAAACCAGTATTATCAGGTTGGCTTTTTTTTTGTTTGTTTTTGTTTTTAATTTATAAGAGACAGGGTCTATCTATGTTGCCCAGCTGGAATCCAGTGGCTATTCACAGGCTTGATCCCACTACTTATCAGCATAGGAGTTTTGACTTGTGCTGTTTCCAACTTAGGCCAGTTTACCCCTCTTTAGGCAACCTGGTGGTGCCCCACTCCACAGAGGTCACCATACTGATGCTCAACTTAGATCGGCATAGATCGGCATAGATGCTCAACATAGATCGGCACTACAGCCTAGAATTCCCAAACCCAAATTCAAATTCCCTGCTTCAGACTCCCAAGCAGCTGGGACTACAGGCACTGCCACCACGCCCAGCTCAGGTCTATGTATTCTTTTCAACTTTTTGCATAAATAACAGCATATGTTCATTATCTTAAAGATCACTCTATACCAATATACAAAGACAACCCATTTCTTCTTGTCTTTATAGAATTCCATTGTATAATTGAGTAGAAATGCATTTATTGGCTGGGCACAGTGGCTCACGCCTGTAATCCCAGCACTATGGGAGGCCGAGGCAGGTAGATCACGAGGTCAGGAGTTCGAGACCATGCAGGCCAACATGGCGAAACCCCGTTTCTACTAAAAATACAAAAATTAGCTGGGTGTGGTGGCGTGCACCTGTAATCCCAGCTACTCAGAAGGCAGGAGAATTGCTTGAACCTGGGAGGCGGAGGTTGCAGTGAGCCGATATCGGGCCATTGCACTCCAGCCTGGTGGCAGAGTGAGACTCAGTCCCCCGAAAAAAAAAAAAAAAAAGAAAGAAAGAAAGAAATGCATTTATCAGTCCCTCATTTGATGGACATTTTAAAATTATTTCCAAGCCTTTGCTATTACATACTATGGCCTAATAAATAACCTTGTACATTGGTAATTTCACGTACATTTAGTATATCACCTAGAAGCCAAATTGCTGGGTTAAAGGGTATGCACATTTGTAATATATGGAGATGGTGTGTTTTACACACACACACACACACACACACACACTCTTCTCCACAGAGAAGGCTGTACCAATATATATGCCCATTGTCAATGCATGAGCATACCTGTTTCCCCATACCCTTGACAAGTCTATAAATGTTATAGGTAAAAAGACAGTATTTTAGTATAGTTATAATTTATACTACTCTTACTATGAATGAGACCATAACCTGCTTTTATAGAATTAGTTAAATCAATCAGTTAATTTGTTTATATTTTTTCAAACTTTTAAAGTTTGTATTTCATCTCAAAGGCAATGAGGAATTGTTTTAAATATCTCCTGTTTAAGGCTTAGGAATAAAAAAATCAGAGCTGGGTACTAAAATTAGGAAGGTCAATGATGTATTAGTCAGAAAAGGAGGTCCTATAATTTAAATAAGAAAATAACATAACGTCAAATGTGTTTTTAAAATAAATTATACATCTCGGTATCTTAGTCTTAAGTATGTTCTCCTTACTTGTACAAATCTTGAACTGAGGGAGGGGAAAGAGTGCTCTAGAAGGGAGCAAACCAATAACGCTGTCAGACAAGATAGGCTAAGTCCTAGATCAAATGTGCTAAGAAAGAATATGGCTAATTCTCTTTTTTAGCAGGTCCAGCAACCATAGCTGTGCCCATTTCTTCTCTTATTGCTAGAAGGGCAAGAAAGGTGATGAGAGCAAAACAGGTTCTGACATTTCAGGTTCTCTTTCCCTATCCATCAATATTTTTCTACACTTGTTTATACAGGTTAATTCCAATCTATCACCAAACCAAGATAAAAGGCTTATAATGCAAATGAATAAGATAATAAGGAAATTAAATCACAATAAAGGGAATCAGTTACTCATGTACAAATAAATATCAGAATCCTTTTCCAGTGAAACTGTGGAAAAGATGTGAAGATGAGCCCTATTGGTATATTCAAAGCTTTATGTGGAGAGAGGAACGGTGGACACAGGAAACAAAAGAGATCACAAATGCATCCAGATAGTCGTATTTTCTTTTATCTAAGTAGGACAAATAGCCACACAAAGAGGCAGTCCTGTTTCATGCAGGACTATTTATTTTCTTCAAGAGTTTTATATTGCTTTAAGAGGCCGAGGCAGGTGGATCACGAGGTCAGGGTTCAAGACCAGCCTGGCCAACATGGTGAAACCCCATCTCTACTAAAAATACAAAAATTAGCTGGGAGTGGTGGCGCGCATCTGTAATCCCAGCTACTCAAAAGGCTGAGGCAGGAGAATCGCTTGAACCCTGGAGGCAAAGGTTGCAGTGAGCAGAGATTGCGCCACTGCACTCCAGCCTGGGCGACAGAGCAAGGCTCTGTCTCAAAAATAAATAAATAAATAAATAAATAAATAAATAAATAAATAAAAACTTATTTTCAATAGATTATTTTATAATCTAACATTACAGGACAAGGTTTTTGTAATCTGAGAGGGTAGCAAGACTACTCACTCAGTTCCCTATCTCCCAGGCCCACGTGAGTTTTCTCAGAATCATCTGATTTACACAACCATGTATTGGTAGGTTGCTACATATTTGACATTCCTGGACTACTAATGAACTATTCTGTTAAGAGAATTATTCACATCAAGAAGGTGAGAAAGAGAAAGAAGGAAACTGAAAAGAGATGGTGTCTAACAAATATCAAATGGAGACGACATTGTGGTCAAGTTGTTCTAGGTTAAATGCAATACCTGAAAAATGAAGGTTAAGAAATAGAATAATCCATAAGGTTGTGATAGTTACATAAATATTTTGATGGTATGAATAGAAACATTTCAAGAGCTGTGTGAAAAAAACTAGCAGCAAGGCTGTATACTAGACACTCAAGTTCTTTCAAGTGTGGAGAACTTTATTAAATAATGAGGAATCAGGTTTGAAAAATGGATCTTTTACTTCTGTTTTGTTCACTGTTTTTAAATATGGGGAACCTGAATCCATACCTACACCACTTATTTATTTACAAGTTATGAGATAACTGGTCTTGTTTATTTAAGGAATAATAAGAATCAACAAAAATAAATTTTGTTATCTCCTCTCAAGTGTTCACTAAACTCTAAATTGTCTATATTCACAGAAGATATACAGAAATAGAAACAAACTACAGATATTTTTCATTTCAGACTGGTAATGTGCTGATGTCGTAACAAGGTTTGAGGGAGGCACATTTCACACTTGAGTATGAAAACCCAATCATCACACTTATAAACTACAAAAGTGTTGAGAAATAATCCATAAAAGATTTGGTATATAATAATGACAGACGTCCATAAGAACCAGAATTCTGACCAAGACTTTGGTAAAGGTTTTTAATAGAAAAGGAGAGACATAAGTCGGCCCTTGAAGGACTTACCGAAACTGAAAGCTATACAAGACATCCAAACTTGAATCTATACATGCCTGTTTTGTTTCATCCTTAGGGGAGAGGAGGGAGAGACGACAAGCTAGAGAACTAAAAGAATGTAACATAATAAAGCGTTAGTGGATTCTAGGGTAGACTAGGTTGGATACGTGGGAGTAGGGCCGGACTACAGAATGCTTAAAGAAACAGCTGAATTTAGATCAACAGAGACTCAGTGACTAACAAACATCAGTTTTAGCAGCACCTCACATGAAATGGAAATCAAAGACCAGACACAGGAAGAATCTATTCAACTTAACACTTCATAATACTATATGCTTCACACACTACGCTAGGTACTACGGACACCAAAATATATGTGTCGAGGCCATAGTCTTGTCAAAAAGCTCAGTTGGAGCGACAAGCACATAAATAGTATGCGAAGTTCTACTACTGAGATATGTACAAGGTGCTTCAGAAAGGACAAGGTTTTTAACCTTGTACTTGAAATTTATGTTAGGTCTCTGATCTTTAAATTTATAAAAGATAAAAGTGACAGAAATAGAGCAAGATTTTAGATAACCATAAATATTTCCTCGATGTTCATTTTCTCAAGCTCACAAGAAAACCATTACATCACTCACCATTACAATATTCATTCTGTATAAGCATATGATCATCTTCTGCCCACGCAGAGAAATATCGAACTACATGAGAATGCTGTCCAAGCACTGCATGAGCATATACTTCTCTCAAAGCGTTCTGCCTAGAAGAAATTTGAGATTAATAGAATGGTAAATAATTTTCACTCAAGCTTAAACTGAATTAATTTATCTGAAACTTCATACAATAAATTTTTGGTATCTATTGTTATGCTAAAAAGCAACTTGCTTAAGAGAGAAGGGGTTTAGACTTGTAAGAGATTTTTCCAAAGGCAGATTCCATTAAAGATTTATCAGAAAGAAGAAATGTTGCTTGCCCTAGGACTCAGGTAAGAATAAACTCCATTTTACTGTGAATTCATGGATGCTGACTAGAAATAAGAAATTTAAGTTAGGTTCCAAAATCAGACTCATATTATTCAACAAGTCCAATAAGAACTGATGGTATTAAGTGAAAAGGACCTGATTAAATCATTACAGCTTCTCAAAAGTTAGAGATGGAATTCAGTGTTTGACCAGCTGAAACCTTAATGTTAGTAACACCATAGGGGACAAAAGAGCAAAAGACAAAATGTTTAATACATACTCATCAACAGAGCCCGCCAATGGCTTTTTTGATCGCTTAATGGCATAAATGCATCCATCCAGCCTCTTCACACACTTAAATACAGAACCAAATTCTCCAGAGCCGATTTTCTCTAGCTCATGAAATTCTGTTGTATACCGGGACTTCATATTGCTTTCAGTAATTGTAATTCTCTGTAATAAAAAGTGTTTCCATATATGTAATACAAATATACGAAAACAGTTATTTCTTGCTATGGTGATAGGGCTATGTGTGAAATTTAAAAACCATTCTACCTTATGTGTTAATGCTTATTAACATATTCATAGCATGCTTTAAGTGGCAGAAAAGTAAATTTCAAAAAAATAAAAATAAAAAGCTATTTACCTTAGCAGGTCTTGTTTCATCTTCAAGCTCATAATCACTGGCTTCCATGTCTTCACCACAGGAACTAAAAAAAATGTTATTTTTCTATCAATATATCTGACAGATACATCCATGCCATTAAATAGGAACTAAATTTTGATAAGTATACCAAACCAATCTTAGGTTATTTGGAGAACCAAACTGTTAAATAAACGACTTACTCATTCCAATACGTTCTCTTTCTACGACGACACTGTCCTGAGGAATGAAGCAACAAAGAATCCGGAGTAAAAGGATTAATATTCACTTGAGGAGTCTGTCGCACATCAAATTCCCTTTTTCCTGATTTTTCTGTATCCATGAAGAGAGAACTACCCCGGAGTTTAACAGAGCTGGAATCAATTCCCCGAGCTTTGGAGAGCAAACTCTAGGGAAAGAAAAATACAAATACAATTTTTAGGATCCAAGTCCTATAGTCAGCCTTCTCAACCTAACCTTCAACGAGCCTTTCATAGGGCTGAATGCGTAGGTGAAAGCAACACACAAGCCTTTGTTAGAGTTCAAGCAAAATAAATTGTGGCTAATTTAGGAAGACTGAAGCTGGATATTAACTATCTTTTCTTGAAAAAAATAGCCAAGTAAAATCTGCCTCTAACCCTAAAAAGAATATAAATGCTGCCTAAAACTAAGTTCATTCTAGTGGCTAAAAGTTAACAAATTCTTTCAACCCATCCAAAAATAGAAAGCAGTCCGAGAGCCCCATAAAATCTCCCCTCCCCCATCTAGATAGGGCTTCCATAGCCACCTCCGCTGGACTCCTCCCCTCACTTCCAGAGGGATTTTGCCTTGAGCAAGTCGGCCAATAAACAGTACAGCTCGAAAGCACACAGATTGCCTAGGCTGATGACAAACAGTACATTGAAAACAAAACAAACTCACTTTAAAAGGTGCATCTTCCCTGTTAACCTTACAAATGCGAGGCTTGTCTTAATCTCTGGAAGTATCAGCTTTAAAATCTGCAGTTTTAAAAGTGGTCATCTGCGCAGTACTCGAAGGCCTTTCAAAACACAGGTGCTGAACACCTCCTTCTTTAAGATACCTTATCTACGGTAGGATGTTCCTAATCACACGGAGGCCGGCCAAACTCTGGGCACCGCAAACCCACGATAAAAACAAATGCTGGGCCAAGACCTTGTCCAGAAACAGGCCTCAGTACTGCCTGGACTTAGGATGAGTCTGTAGGACTGTAAATGCTTGGAAGGCCAGCCTTTACTCCCAAGTCCAAGCGTAGTCTCCCTGCATGCCCCAGACCTTTCCCCCATCCACGCCACACGACACGACACGATCAGGGCGGGACAATTATTTTTCTTTAAACTCCTTCTGCCCGCGCCGCCCAAATTACAGGCCCGATCGCCGCGTTTAAAAGGCATCCTATGGCTCGGGAGTGTCAGGTGGCCGGGCCGGCACCCTCCAGCATCCTCGCGAACCGCGTTATCGGTGCCGCACTCGGGGCTGACACGCTCGGGGCGGCCCGGACTCAACGGGCGGCAAATCCTTGGCCACCCGGACGGGCCGATCGGCCCCTTTGTAAGATGAAGTTCCAGACGAGGCCCATTGTTCAGTTACATAATCTCAACGGACAACCTCGGGGCAGGGCCAAACACAAGGGCTGCCAACTTTGGGGGGCGGCGCAGGAAAGCGAGGGGGGAGCGGCCGGCCGCTTCTGTAACCGAACCCAGGCAGCGGCGCTGGCCCCTCCGGCGCCGCGGCCCCGGCCGCCGGGTGCCCGCGCCCGCCGCTCTCACCTTGGGCGTGTGCGGGGTGTCGAAGAGTCGCAGCTTGCGGAAGGTCTTGTGTGGCGGGGTGCCCGGGTGGTCCGGCCGCGGCGAGCGGCGGCCTTCGCCCGCCCGGCGCGCCCCGCAACCCCGCGGCGACGCATCTCCTGGGCCGCCGCAGCGCACCGGCGAGAAAGAGCTACCCAGGAAGTAGGGGGCCGCCGGCGACTTGACCGGCGACGAGGAGCCGAAGCCCTCCTCCTCCCACGAGTCGCCCTCCGCCCCACCGCCCGCCTCGTCCGCGCCCGGGCAGGCGCCGGGCAGCAACAGGTCCTCCTCCAGCTCGCCGGGGCTGCCGGGGGCCGGCCCGGGCGAGCGGCGGCGCTCGGGCCCGGGCTCCGTGGGGCTCCGCGCGGGCGGCAGCGGCGAGTCGGGCTCTTGAAAGGCCGAGTCCTCCCCGGTGCTGTGGCCGCTGCCCTCCTCCTCCTCCTCTTCTTCCTCCTCCTCACAGTCGCTGCAGGGCGAGAAGATCAGCTTCTGCCGCAAGGTGCAGGCCGCCCCGGCGCGGCGGGGTGGCGGCGGCTGCTGTCGGCTCAGGAAGCTCATCGCGGCCCTGGGGACGGGGCCGAGGACAGGAGAGCGGAGGCCTGCGGGGTCCAGGACACTGCGGGCCTGGGGGCGGGTCCGCCACGTGCGGCTGGGCGCGCCTAGTCGCAGCCGCGGCGTCTCTGCGCGGCGGCGGCCTGCGGCTCCGGGGCGCTCGGGCTGCGGACGGTGGCGGCAGCGGCGGCGCGGACTTTCCGGCAGAGGCGGGGCGGCCCGAGCACCGAGGCTGAGGTCTCCTCAGGTCCAGTCTCAGGTTCGGGCTCCGCGGCTTCCCGCGACCGTTAACCACGTGAGTGCCCAGTCCACCAATCCCAGTGCAGCTCCGGGTTTGAAAAAAAAAGGAGGGCGCGACGTAGCCCGCGGGGGAAGGACCAGCTACGCGATTTTGGCGGGAACCCGCTGGCTCCACCCCCGGCTCGGCGCCAGCCAAGTCTGGGCGGGCTGTGGTGTTCCGGGCCTATGAGCGAGCCTGGGGCGGCGGGGGGCCCGGCCCGGCGCCGCCCGAACACCGCCCGGACGGGGCTGGGCCTTCTGGGAGGGGCAAAAGAGAGCTGGATTCGCCTAAGCCGACCCGAAAGCCGGCCTGGACGCACCCCCCTCGCTGCTCCTCCGGTGCTGGGGGATCTGAAGAGGGGCAGGCGGCCGGGCAGCGCCTCCGGGTCTCTGCGAGCTGGGAAGAGCCAGGGACCGAATGGCCTTCGGCCGCTGCCCTCGGAGGCCGCTTCTTGCCCCTCGTCCCCTGGGGCGAGCCACTGGGGCGTAGTGGGCGTGGCAGTGGGCAGCCACGTTCAGGGTCGAGGTCTGAGCCGGAAATGGTGACTCGGGCCTCGGGACCTTTCTGAACTGCGGGAGCCGATGTGCTTAGGCTGGACACTGGCTGGGAGGAGGCCTCCGAGCCCCATTATTTCCCCGGGGTGGGTGACTGTTAGGGGCGGGTGTCAGCACAGCGAGAAGAGCTCTCCCAAGCAGGGGTCCACCTCTGCCGACCTTGTCCGCGGCCAAAAGAAACAGCAGCACAGTTGCCCACCACGAAACCAAGTGCCCGGCACACGATCTCCGTGTTTACATTTGTTCGCCAGCACGTGGGCATGCGTTGGCAAAACCGATTGGCCCGGCTCGCGGCAAACTCAAACGCAATTTTAAAAAATTTCCCTAGTGCTTCGTTAAACTGATTTAATCTGTCCCTTAATGCACTTACACGTTTCTTCCAGTTTTCTTTTTTCTTTCTTTGTTTATTTATTTTTTTTTTTTTTTCTGAGACGGGGTCTTGCTCTGTCACCCAGGCTGGAGTGCAGTGGCACGATCTCGGCTCACTACAACCTGCAACCTCCGCCTTTAGAGTTCAAGCGATTCTCATGCCTCAGCCACCCGAGTAGCTGGGATTACAGGCGGCTGCCACCACACCTGGCTAATTTTTGTATTTTTAGTAGAGACGAACTTCCCAATGTTGGCCAGGCTGGTCTCCAACTCCTGATCTCAAGTGATCCGCCCGCCTCGGCCTCTCAAAGTGCTGGAATTACAGACGTGAACCACCGCTCCCGGCCTCTTCCAGTTTTCTGTTGTAAACAACCCCGTGGTGTATATGCTTCCTTCTCCATGTTTTTTGTTTGGTTTGGTTTTTTTCGACACGGAGTCTCGCTCTGTCGCCCCAGGCTGGAGTGCAGTGGCGCGATCTCGGCTCACTGCAGCCCCCACCTCCCGGGTTCTCGGGTTCCAGCGATTCTCCTGTCTCCCGGGTAGCTGGTATTACAAGCACATACCAGGCCTGGCCAATTTTTGTATTTTTACAAAATGCAAAATACGGAGTTTCACCATGTTGGCAGGCTGGTCTCAAACTCCTGACCTCAGGTGATCTGCCCGCCTCGGCCTCCCAAAGTGCTAGGATTACAGGCGTGAGCCACCGCGCCTGGCCTTTTTAAAATACTCTTTTGGATACCTCCCTGGAGTTAGAATTCCTCAGTCAAAGGATATAAACTGGCAAACTCCCCCTCCAGAAACACAATACATTCTCACTAGCAGTGGATTAGAGCACACTCTGTGAATTCAGGACATCAGTGGATGTTCGTTGATGTGGTTTTGTTGTTTTGATTCATATTGTTGAACAGTTGTCATGGGTTTAATGATAATTTACATTTATCTCTATTGCCTATTTTTCTTATTGTTAGCACTTTATGCATATTAACACTTTGTCATATATGTTGTTCTAATGCTTTTCAAAGGCTAAATAAACTCAAGCTGAATTTTTCTTGAAACACACGGTAGTACTTAACACATCAAATCGGGAATTTCCTGAGATCACACAACTGAAGACACAGTGAAGGATCAACAGCTGTCTTTTCTCCTAACATTTGCTAACTGGTGTATAAATGTGTTTTTTATATGGTCATGCAAACTTAATTTTAAGCTCTTGGAGGACAAGAATTCTAGACTTGTATAAGGAGAGTTAGTCAATGATCCACAGTGGCCAAAGCCAAGGAGTGATTTTCAGAACCCTTGCTCCAACACTTCCCCTCCTGCCACTCCTTTTTTTTAAATTTTTATTTTTCGAGACAGGGTCTCACTCTGTCCACCCTGTCTCAAAGTGGAGTACAGTGGTGCAATCACGGCTCTGTAGCCTCGATCTCCCCAGGCTCAAGAGATCCTCCCACCTCACCCTCCCAAATAGCTGGGACTAATGATGTGTGCTACCACGCCCAGCTAATATTTGCATTTTTAGTAGAGACTCTGTTTCACCATGTTGCCCAGGCTGGTCTAGAACTCCTGGGCTCAAGCAATCTGCCCGTCTCCGTCTCCCAAAGTGCTGGAATTACAGGCATGAGCCACCATATTGCCCAGGCTGTGGGCCCCCTCCTGCCACTCCTGATGACAAATATAATTATTTGATATAATTGACATTTTCTCAATTTATTATGAAGCATAAATAAAAATAGAGAACCCTACTTTTATCGATCTGTAACATAAACTGCATGTGAAAATAGTGTGCTTTCTAAGTAAATGGGACTTTAAAGCCCTTTAGTTGCCTCTCCACAACTAGACTGATGCTCCTAAACTCCTCCTATGTAAGAATTCCGTATCTCTGTTCTCACGTCCCCTCCCTCACTCTTTGCTCTTTCACAACACCTGGCTTTATTTCCTTAGCAGGCTTATTTCTATCTCAAAGTACGTTGTTAGTTTATTACTATCTCCTTCTAGAAAAATAAGGTCCCCGAGGGTAGGGGACCCTTGTTTATTGCAGTATTCTAACGTGGATTAGGCGTTCACTCCCTTGTGAGTGATAAAAGAGCCCTTATTTAAATAATTGTTGGTTTATTCGCTTCCTAAATTGGCACATTTGCAGATAAGTTTGCCTATTTAAGATTTTGAATCGGGTGTGGTAGTTGTTCACACCTGCAATCCCAACACTTTGGGAGGTCAAGACAGGAGGATCACTTGAGGCCAGGAGTTCAAGACCAGCCTGGACAACATAGTGAGACCTCACCTCTACTAAAAATTTAAAAATTAGCTGGGCATGGTGTCACATGCCTGTGGTCCCAGCTACTCAGGAGGCTGAAGTGGGAGGATCCCTTGAGCCTGAGAGATGAAGGCTGCAGTGAGCTGTGATTGTGCCACTGCACTCCAGCCTAGGCAGCAGACCGAGAACTATCTCAGGAAAAAAAAAAAAAAATTGAACAGAGATCACCACTCTAGTACTCTATTTAATGCAAGATTGTAGAGGTAGCAGCCATCACACTTCCTATTTTTCCCCATGGTTTTTCCCCACTCCAGTAACAAAAACTTAAATGGTACAAAATTCTCCCACCTATCCCTTCAAATCCCAGCCCAGTTCCCCTTCCTGAAGGTAAACACTCTTAACAATGTTTTGTTTTGTTTTGTCAACTCCTACTTTGCCACCTGTCTGCGTCCCTAAATGGGAGGTCTTTGAAGTAGGCTAAGGCAGGCAGAAGGGCTTGGGTTGTGGATGGGAAGGGAAGAGTTCTTGGTCCACAGACCCAGGACTTTGAAGTCCTCACACAGAATCGAAGAGGTAAGTTCACAATAAATGTGTAGAATGATTGGGGGAAATAATTTTTTTTTTTTTTTTCCTTGAGACAAGGGTTTGCTCTATTGCCCAGGCTGGAGTGCAGTGGTGCGTTCACGGCTCACTGCAACCTCCCCTTCTGGGCTCAAGCAATTCTCCCACCTCAGCCTCTTGAGTAGCCAGGACTACAGGCAAGTGCCACTACACCTGGTGAATTTTTGTATTTTTTGTAGAGACCGGGTCTCACCATGTTGCCCAGGCTGGTCTTGAACTCCTGAGCTCAAGTGATCTGCCTACCTCAGCCTCTCACAGGGTTGGGATTACAGGTGTGAGCCACTGCACCTGGCTGAAGGAATTTTTTTTTTAAGTTGAAACCAAGACTCAGTGCTAGAGCCATTTCCTCTGTGAAGCCTTTCCTGACTCTCCATTCCCTACTCCAGACTTTCCACCGCACCCAGCACGGACTATGTAACACTCTTACTTTGTTTACTTGTCTGGTTTTCACACTGCCCAGGGCAGGGTCCAAACTGTGTTTGTCTTCAGAGCTCCAGCAACCAGCACTGTGCCTTGGCCCCTGAGAAAGTGCTTAATAAATGTTTCTAGAATAATTTAATGAAAATCCAGTGATCTTTAAAACAAAAGTGCCAAAATAACAAAACAAAACAAAAGTGAGAAACCCAGGCCCTGCCTCTTCAAGCTGAGAACATGGCACAATATTATGGTTTAACTGTAGCAACATCCTAACTGAAATTTTAAGTGACTGTTCTGATTTTTAAAATTTCACGCTCCTCTGAGTAAAGCACACACTGTACTGGAGAGATGGGTTACACCCGCCTGCCCCAGGCCGTATCTAATTCAAATTTCCAGTTCCTTTCTCCACCCAATGTTGTTTCTAACTAATGTTGCTAGGCAACTTTTGCAGAATCCACATGCTTGTGGTAATGTTGAAAGAACTGAGTAAAAATCTTGCCTCTAGCTTCTGGGATAACAAACCTAACCTGTTTATCCTCTTTAGATTCATGACTTCGCACGTAAAGGGCTTTAAAACTATTTTCAACCCATTCACCTTCCTTGGCAACAAAACAAGCAAGATTCTTCCCATGAAGATTTAAAACTGAGATTTCTAAATCACCTTCTCAAGTATTTTTAATACATATAGCACATGAATATGCATGCATATTCCTATTAACATGAGCCTTGCACTTTGAATGAAATCCTTCAGAACTAGGAACTAACTTTTCTCAGTGATGCAAAGCCTTTAGGAATGTTTCGTTAAGACTAGTCAGCCGTTAGCGAAAGCTGAATCTTTTCTATTAATATGCTCTTTATTCTGGAGAAATAATCAGTTTCTCTAAGGACCCTACTCTGATAGATTTCTAACTTTAAAAAAAAGACACATTAGTCAAATGTCAGTTTTTCACTTAAAAGACAAATAATACGCTTAAAGAGTTCAACTTTCTTCACCTTCCTTGTTATCTTTACCTTTCTCCTTATGCTTGTTCTCACAGCAAGTCTCAATTTATTTCAACCCAGCTCTGTTACCAGCTGCCTATTGGCCTCAGGAATACAAATCTCAGGCTAGAACGTGGTAGCTCCTAGATTGCTCCTGTTTGACTTCCCAGCTATAAATTAGATTTCTCTACTTCATCACGTGCCTTAATAACCTCTGATGGATGTGATTATTTGACCATTTCACCGCATGTTCATCAGCATACCCTGAGAGTACAGTACCGTCAAACTCAATTCTTCTCTAATTGTTCAGTGTTTTTGTTTTTGTTTTTGTTTTGAGACGGAGTCTCGCTCTGTCGCCCAGGCTGGAGTGCAGTGGCACGAGCTCAGCTCACTGCAAGCTCCGCCTCCCAGGTTCACGCCATTCTCCTGCCTCAGCCTCCCGAGTAGCTGGGACTACAGGGGCCCGCCACCATCCCTGGCTAATTTTTTGTATTTTTAGTAGAGACAGGGTTTCACCGTGTTAGCCAGGATGGTCTCAATCTCCTGACCTCGTGATCCGCCCGCCTCGGCCTCCCAAAGTGCTGGGATTACAGGCGTGAGCCTCCGCGCCTGGCCAATTGTTCAGTTTATTAAATGTGAGACTAGCATTATCTCTTGTGAATAGTGTTCAATAAATATAAGTGTGCTTTCTGGCTTGGCATGGTGGCTCATGCCTGTAATCTCAGCACTTTGGGAGGCCGAGGTAGGAGGATTCCTTGGGCGCAGGAGTTTGAGACCAGCCTGGGCAACATAGGGAGACTCCCTCTCTACAAAAAATTTAAAAAATTAGCCGGGCATGGTGCGCCTGTGGTCCCAGCTGCTCTGGAGGCTGAGGTGGGAGGATTGCTTGGGCCTGGGAGGTAGAGGCTGCAGTGAGCCGTGAGCACATCACTGCATTCCAGCCTAGGCAACAGAGCAACACCCTGTCTGGGGAAAAAAAAAAAAGTTATAAGTATGCTTTCAATTATAGCAATGTTGTTTGAGAAAAATTCATAGTTGTTAATGGCTTTATAGTCAGTAATTGCAATATGTGACTCCTGATGTCCCCAAAATTAATTTACTTAATATGGATGGGCTCAAGTTTATGCACAACCAGCTAGGAAGATCAAATCAGAACACAGTATCTATGTAATAAGAACTTGAGAAGCATAACCCAGGAAAAACAACCAGTTAAGAGCTTGTATTTATTTTAATAAAATAAACATTTCTTGTCGTGCCAAATTAATCTTTAAGGACTACTAACATGCAATTTCCATGCATCGTTCTGATATTTATTTAAGATAGATCAAGGGTAGATCATTATATCCTTTGGATATGGGTATATCAATTGTATGGATTCTATATAAAATGTCTGAAGATCTAAGATTTTCATTCAGGTTTTCCTTGGGGTCTCCAGCTAGGAAAGACCATGCTAGGGTACTTAAAGGTTGTATCTGTTCATGTATGAAACAGCTGTAACCAGCCTTATTTATGAAAGGAGCCCTTAGGCCTACTCCTAGTTATCTCAGCAGTTCTCAGCCTTACACAGGCCCCCTAATCTTGAAACACTTCATAGTCCACTGCAATAGGTCAGGCAGTGGTACTAACGCAAGACTTTTCCCAAGAGAAAATACCACTGACCATTTCATTCCTAGATAAGAGAGTAGTTCTCAACCAAGATATTTTAAAATTATAGCTCTCTGAAGCATTTAGCCAAAACATTAGCAAATAACCCCTTCCTATTTGCTATTTTATAATTCTTTTCTATTGGAATGGAACTGAATAGTCCCATTTTCTCCAATATTCCTTTTTTTATTTCCTTTACAGAGGCACAAAGGTTGCTGTTCTAATGTGGTCCCTCCGTTTGGGGTCCCTGACTTCCCGCAACACTGTTCTCTATATTTTTAATGAGTTTCAATAACTGAAAAGTTCACTTCACAGAAATGTCATAAACAGAGGGAACTGTGAGTGCCCAACAGAATGCAGGCACTTATTAAATATTCAGGTGATTGATTAATTGCCTCTCCTTTTGGGTTAGTGACATACACAGGAAATGACCTGAATGACCACAGGGACTGCCAGTTGTTTGCTGGCCACATTGTGATTATTTAAACTGGCTTCGTTCAGATTACTGCAGCACAAAAGACGTGATGACTCTTCTCCAGTGAGTCAAGGGGCCGTGTCTCATTAGGGGAGGGAAAGGAGGTAAGACAGACATCCCATGCTGGTCTTTTGTTAGCAACAGGAGCGTGTTTAGGTATTGCTGTGTTTTGATGACTCAGTGGTGAGTCAACTTTAAAGTTCCATAAAAGGCCTTGTTCAGCTCAGACAGGATTGAGAGATGACCTCATCCAGTATCTAGTTGGGTAGAGAGTAACCAGTTGTGTGTGACATGATAAGCCGATAAGCCGATTGGGAGTGTATACAAGAAAAAAAAAATTACTGGTAAGGATGAACTAGTTTCTAACTACAGAAATCAACTCTGCTTGGCAGTCCTCTATTGAGTGTCTACTACGTTCAAGCATCTTATCCTACCAGCTGCACATTTGCTTAATACAGGTCAGAATATGAGAAAGGCCCTAAGTGCTGCAAAGAGCTGGGGTGCCTTTGCAGGAGCTGGGAGAGGGGAGAATATTTTGGTGCCAACTATATGATAGGCACTGACCCAGATGCTTTACATACTTATTTAATCTTTACGGGAACTCTGTAAGAGAGTTATTTTTATTCACATTTCACAGATGAAAATGAAACACAGGTTAAAAAATGCCTTCATCATACAATCATAGAACTAGTATTACTGAGACTATATTTCTGAAACTTTATTTTTAATTTTAAAATTTAAAAAAAATTTTACATTTACCCATCCAATGACCTATCAATATTTTTTATTTTAGTATTATTTTTTTGAGACAGGGTCTTCATCACCCAGGCTGGAGTGCAGTGGCACAATCATGGCTCACTGCAGCCTCAACCTCCTGGGACCAAGCAATCTTCCCACCTCAGCCTCCTGAGTAGCTGGGACTACAGGCACATGCCACCATACCTGGCTAATTTAAAAACAATTTTTTTTTGTAGAGACGTGGCCTCACTATGTTGCCCAGACCAGTCTCAAACTCCAAGGGATCCTCCCACCTCAGCCTCTCAAAATGTGGGGATTACAGGTGTAAGCCACCATGCCCAGCCTTCTGAGACTTTATTGCTGCTGACTTAAAGCCTGGTTCTTCCTACCCCAGTAAGAAGGGCATAAGGTGAAGGGTGAAACAGGGAGATTTGATGAAGGCAGGGTCACACTGGACCCAGCTGGGAGGCCAGGCTAGTTGAGCAGTGTGATGTCTAGAGTCATCCTTCCAGGTATGCCGGCACACAACTTGATGGTGTGAATGTGGACAATGGGATCCAGGGGGAGTCAGACTTGTACCTTATTTTTTTGTTTCATCATAAAATCCAAATGTATTTTAAACTCTAAAATCAAGAGGAAAAATTACAAAGATTGATATCAGAAAGTAAAGTAAGGGATGAAGAAGTGGTAGAGGGTTGGAGGAAAGTGCTAGTTTAAAATAGTGAAATCAAGGAATGCTTTTCTGAGGAAGTGGCATTTGAGCAGGAACCTGAATGGAGTGAGAAAATCAGCCACAGAGAGATCTGGGGGAAAGTTTACAAAACCAAATATTGGCATTGTTTATTATACTCCATATTGGAAACCACCCAAATTTCCGTTAAATGCTAAAAAACTATAGCTTGCAAAATAATGAGCTGGAACTATATGTACAAAATGAAAAGATGTCTATAAGATAATGGAGAAAAGGGCCAGGTACAGTGGCTCACACCTGTAATCCCAGCACTTTGGGAGGCCAAGGCAGGTGGATCACTTTAGGTCAGGAGTTCTAGACCAGCCTGATCAACACGGTGAAACCCAGACCGTACTAAAAATACAAAAATTAGCCAGGTGTGGTGGTGCATGCCTGTAATCCCAGCTACTTGGGGGGCTGAGGTGAGAGAATCACCTGAACCCTGGAGGCGGAGGTTGCAATGAGCTGAGATTTTACCACTGCACTCCAGCTTGGGTGACAGAGCAAGACTGTGTCTCAAAAAACAAACAAAAACATATAATGGAGAACTGTATAATGATTCAATTAAAAACAAACAAACGAGAAAATTAACCTAAAGCAAACATATTTATCACAGGGAAAACATCTGAAGAAATACAAAAAATTGAAAATTGGGCTGGGCACGGTGGCTCACATCTGTAATGCCAGCACTTTGGGAGGCCAAGGCAGGTGGATCACTTGAGGTCAGGAGTTCCAGACCAGCCTGGCTAACATGGTGAAACCCTGTCTGTAACAAAAATACAAAAATTAGCTGGGTGTGGTGGTGCACGCCTGTAATTCCAGCTAGCTAGTCGAGAGGCTGAGGCACAAGAATCGCTTGAATCCGGGAGGTAGAGGTTGAAGTGAGCCAAGATCATGCCACTGCACTCCAGCCTGGGCGAAAGAGCTAGACTGTCTAAAAACAAAACAAAAATTGAAAATTGGATGGTTGGAAGCAAGATGGCTGAATGGAAGCCTCCATCAATCGTCATCCCTGCAGGAACACCAAACTGAATGATTTTCTACACAAAAAAGCACCATCATAAGAACCAAAAATCAGGTGAGCGATCATAGTGCCTGGTTTTAACTTCCTATCACTGAAAGAGCCACTGAAGAGGGTAGGAAATACAGTCTTGAATTGTACAGCCTTGACAGACCCTTCCCCCACTCCCCAGCAGCTGCTGCATGGCACAGAGAGAGAATCTGTGTGCTTCAGGGAGGGCAAGTGCAGCTATTGTGGGATTTTGCATTGGAACACAGTGCTGCCAACACTGGGCAGAACTCAACCGGTGCCCATAAGGGCAGCATTGGACCAGCCTTACCCAGAGGGGAATCACTCATCCCAGTGGTCAGGACTTGAGTTTTGGCAAGCCTTGCCACCACAGGCTAATGTCCTCTAGGGTCCTAAATAAACTTGGAAGGCTATCTAGGCCACAAGGACTGCAACTCCTAGGCAAGGCTTAGTCCTGTGTTGGGCCCAGAGCCAGTGGACTTGGGAGCCACACAGCCTAGTGAGACACTAGCTGGGGCAGTCAAGGGAGTACTTGTGCCACCCCTCCTTCAAGTTCAGGCAGTGCAGTTTGCAAATCCAAAAGAGACCCCTTCCTTCCACTTGAGGAGAGAGAAGAGTAAAGAAAACTTTGTCTTGCAACTTGGATACCAGCTCAGCCACATTAGGAAAGGGCGCCGGGTAGAGTTGTGAGGCCCCCATTCTAGAACCTAGTCCTAGATGACATTTCTAGACACAACCTGGGCCAGAAGGGAACCTGCTGCCTTGAAGGGAAGGACCCAGTCCTGGCAAGATTTATCACCTGCTAATTAAAGAACCCTATATAAGCAGCAGTGGTAACCAAGTAGTACATGCTGTGAGCCTTCAGTGAGACTGAGATGTGCCAGCTTCAGGTGTGACCCATCACATTCACAGCCAGTGCTGTGCTGGCTTCAGATCTGACTCAGCACAGGAGCAGGGGTGGTGGCCACAGGGGTGCTTGTTTAACCTCTCCCCCATCTCCAGGCAGCTCAGCACAGAGAGAGAGAGAGATGCTCTTTGTTTGGGAGAAAGTATGGGGCCAGGTGCAGTGGCTCATTCCTGTAATCTCAGCATTTTGGGAGGCTGAGGCAGGTGGATCACTTAAGGCCAGGAGTTCAAGACCAGCCTGGGCAACATAGCAAAAACCTGTCTCTACTAAAAATACAAAAATTAGCTAGGCATGGTGGCACATGCCTATAATTCCAGCTACTCAGGTGCCTGAGGCATGAGAATTGCTTGACCCCAGGAGGTGGAGGTGGCAGTGAGCCAAGATTGCACCACTGCACTCCACCCTGGGTGACAGAATGAGACCCTGAGAAAGAAAGAAAGATAGAAAGAAAGAGAGAGAGAGAGAGAAGGAAGGAAGGAAAGAAGGAAGGAAGGAAGAAAAAAAAGAAAAGAAAAGAAGGAATATATTGTATGAGAAAAGAATAAGAGTCTCTGCCTGATACTCCAGAGACTTCTTCCAGGCCTTATCCAAGGTAACCAAGGTGGTACCTCTATGAGCCTGCAAGAACCATGGCGTTACTGGGTTACATTGTGGGTTACCCACCAATGGCCCACTAATGACCAAAAGCTTAAATCACAACACTGAAGTCTCTTCAAATACCTGGAAAGCCTTCCAAAAAGGACAGGTACAAACAAGCCCAGATTGTGAAGGATGCAATAAATACCTAGCTCTTCAATGCCCAGACACTGATAAACATCCGCAAGCATCAAGACCATCCAGGGAAATAGACACCAGGGATTAATCCCAGAGAGAGAGAGAGAAATTTGACCTTTCAGACACAGAATTCAAAATAGCTGTCTTGAAGAAACTCAAAGAAATTCAAGATAACACAGAGAAGGAATTCAGAATCCATTAGATAAATTTAACAAAGAAATAGAAATAATTAAAAAGAATTAAGCAGAAATCCTAGAGTTGAAAAATGCAATTGACATACTGAAGAACTCATCAGAGTCTTTTAATAGCAGAATTGGTCAAGCAGAAGAGTTAGTGAACTTGGGCTGTTTGAAAATACAAAGTCAGAGGAGACAAAAGAAAAAAGAAAAAAAAGAATGAAGCATGCCTACAAGATCTAGAAAACAGCCTCAAAAGGGCAAATTCTAAGAGTTATTGGCTTTAAAGAGGAGGTAGAGAGAGAGGTGGGGTTCATTCAAAGGAATAATAATAGATAACTTTCCAAACCTAGAGAAAGATATCAATATTCAAGGATAAGAAGGTTATGGAACACCAAGCAGGTTTAACCCAAAGAAGACTACTTCAAGGCATTTAATATTCAGACTCCCAAAGGTCAAGGATAAAGAAAGGATTCTAAAACCAGCAAGAGAAAAGAAACAAATAACATACAATGGAGCTCCAATAGGTCTGGCAGCAGACTTCTCGATGGAAACCTTACAGGTCAGGAGAGAGTGGCATGACAATATTTAAAATGCTGAAGGAAAAAAAAACTTTTACCCTAGAATAGTATTACTATATCTGATGAAAATATCCTTCAAACGTGAAGGAGAAGTAAAGACTTTCCTGGACAAGCAAAAGCTGAAGGATTTCATCAACACAAGATCTATCCTACAAGAAATGCTAAAAAGAGTTCTTCAATCTGAAAGAAAATGATGTTAATGAGCAACAAGAAATCATCTGGGCCAAGGTGGGAGAATTGCTTGAACCCAAGAGTTTGAGGTCAGCCTGGGCAATGCAGTGAGACTCCACCTCTACAAAAAAAAAAATTGTTTTAATTGGCTGGGCATAGAGGCTCATGCCTGTGATCCCAGCACTTTGGGAGGCTGAGGCAGGAGGATCGCTTGAGCCTGGGAGGCTACAGTGAGCTATAATCAAGCAACTGGACTGTAGCCTGGGTGACAAAGTGAGACCTTGTCAAAAAAAATTAAAAAAAAAAAAATCATCTGAAGGTACAAAACTTACTGGTAATAATAAGTACTACACAGAAAAACACAGACTATTCTAACACTGTCATTGTGGTATGTAAACTACTCATATTTTAAGTAGAAAAACAAAAAGACGAACCAATCAAAAATAATAATTACAGGCTGGGTGCAGTGGCTCACACTTGTAATCCTAGCACTTTGGGAGTCCGAGGTGGGCGGATCACGAGGTCAGGAGATGGAGACTAACCTGGTTAACACGGTGAAACCCCATCTCTACTAAAAATACAAAAATTAGCTGGGCATGGTGGCACATGCCTATAATCCCAGCTACTCGGGAGCCTGAGGCAGGAGAATCACTTGAACCCAGGAGGCAGAGTTTGCAGCGAGCTGAGATCGTGCCACTGCACTTCAGCCTGGGCAACAGAGCAAGACTCCATCTCAAAATAATAATAATAATAATAATAATAATAATAATAATAATTACAACAACTTTTCAAGACATAGTACAATAAGATAGAAACAACAAAAAATTAAAATGTGGGGAGACAAAGTTAAAGTTTGTATTAGTTTTTATTAGTTTCCTTTTTGTTTATTAGTTAGTTTACACAATTAGTGTTACATTGTCATCAGTTTAAAATAATGGGTTATAAGATATTATTTGCAAGCCTCATGGTAACCTCAAATCTAAAAATATACAATGGATACACAAAAAATAAAAAACAAGAAATTAAAACATACCACCAGAGAAAATCACCTTCACTAAAAGGAAGACAGGAAGGAAGGAAAGAAGGAAGAGAAGACCAAAAACAACCAGAAGACAAATAACAAAATGGCAGGAGTAAGTCCTTACTTATCAATAATAACATTGAATGTAAATGGACTAAGCTCTCTAATCAAAAGATGCAGAGTGGCTGAATGGATTTTTTTTAAAAAAGACTCAATGATCTGTTGCCTACAAGAAACACACTTCACCTATAAAGACACACATAAACTGAAAATAAAGGGATGGAAAAAGATGCTTTATGCAGATGGAAACTAAAAAAAGAGCAGAAGTAGCTGTGCTTATAACAGACAAAACAGATTTCAAGACAAAATCAAGGCTGGGTGTGGTGGCTCACACCTGTAATCCCAGCACTTTGGGAGGCCGAGGCGGGCAGATCACCTGAGGTCAGGAGTTCGAGACCAGCCTGGCCAACATAGTGAAACCCCATCTCTACTAAAAATACAAAAATTAGCCTGGCATGGTGGCACACACCTGTAATCCCAGCTACTCAGGAGGCTGAGGCAGGAAAACTGCTTGAACCCAGGAGGTGGAGGTTGCAGTGAGCTGAGATTGCACCACTGCACTCCAACCTGGGTGACAGAGTGAGACTCCGTCTCAAGAAAAAAAGACAAAAACTATAAAAAGAGACAAAGAAGGTCATTACATAATGATAAAGGGGTCAATTCAGCAAGAGAATATAACAATTGTAAATATATATGCACCCAACACTGAAGCACCCAGATATATAAAGCAAATATTATTAGAGATAAAGAGAGAGACAGACTCCACTACAATAATAGCACAAGATTTCAACACCCCACTTTCAGCATTGGACAGATCATCCAGACAGAAAATCAACAAAGAAACATCAGACTTAATCTGCACTATGGATCAAATGGACCTAATAGATATTTATAGGACATTTCACACAATGGTCACAGAATAGACATTCTTCTCCTCAGCACATGGATCATTCCCAAGGACAGATCATATGTGAGGCCACAAAACAAGTCTTAAAGCATAAAAAAAAAAAATAATATCAAGGATCTTCTCTGACCACAATGAAATAAAACTAGAAATCAATAACGAGGAATTTTAGAAACTATACAAACACATGAAAATTAAACAATATGCTCCTGAATAACCAGTGGGTGAACTAAGAAATTAATAAGAAAATTTAAAAATTTCTTGAAACAATAATGGAAACACAACATATCAAAACCTGTGGGATACAGTGAAAGCAGTACTAAGAGGGAAGTTTATGGCTATAAGTGCCTACATCAAAAAAGATAAAAAGTCTGGGTGTAGTCGCTCATGCCTGTAACTCCAGCACTTTGGGAGGCCAAGCTGAGCAGATTGTTTGAGCTCAGGAGTTTGAGACCAGCCTGGGCAACATGGCAAAACCCCATCTCTACTAAAAATACCAAAAAAATTAGCCAGGCACGGTGGCACATGTCTATAGTCCCAGCTACTTGGGCGGCTGAGGCATGCGAATTGCTTGGACCTGGGAGGCGGAGGTTGCAGTGAGCCAAGATTGGCCACTGCGCTCCGGCCTGGGTGACTGAGTGAGACTCTGTCTCAAACAAACAAATGAACAAACATACAAACTTCAGGTAAACAACCTAATGGTGTCTCTTAAAGAACTAGAAAAGCAAGCACAAACCAAACCCAAAGTCAGTAGAAGAAAAGAAATAATAAAGACCAGAGCAGAAATAAATGAAATTGAAACAAATAATACAAAGGATGAAAACAAAAAAATCATTTTTTGAAAAGACAAATAAGGCCGGGCGTGATGGCTCACACCTGTAATCCCAGCACTTTGGGAGGCTGAGGTGGGGGGGATCACAAGGTCAGGAGATCGAAACCACGGTGAAACCCCGTCTCTACTAAAAAATACAAAAAATTAGCTGGGCCTGGTGGTGGGCGCCTGTAGTCCCAGCTACTCGGGAGGCTGAGGCAGGAGAATGGCGTGAACCTGGGAGGCGGGGCTTGCAGTGAGCCAAGATCGTGCCACTGCACTCCAGCCTGGGTGACAGAGCGAGACTCCGTCTCAAAAAAAAAAAGAAAGAAAGAAAAGATAAACAAAATGACAAACCTTTAGCCAGACTAAGAAAAAAAGAGAGAAGACCGAAATAAATAAAATGAGAGGTTTTGAAAAGGGAGACGTTACAACTGATACCAAGAAATTCAAAGGATCTTAGGTACTACTATGAGTAAGTATATGCCAACAAATTGGAAAACCTAGAAAAAAATAGATAAATTTCTAGATACATGAAACCTACTGAGTTGAACCATGAAGAAATTCAAAACTTTAACAGACCAATAGTAAGTAACAATTTCAAAGCCAAAATAAAAAGTCTGCTGGCAAAGAATAGCCTGGGGCTCAATAGTTTCACTGATGAATTTTACCAAACATTTAAATAACTAATACCAATCCTACTCAAACTATTCAAAAAAATTGAGGAGGAGGGAATACTTTCAAACTCATTCCATGAGGCCATTATTACCCTGATAGCAAAACCAGACAAAGACACATCAAAAAAAAAAAAAAAAAAGAAAGAAAGAAAAGAAAAAAGAAAGAAAACAACAGGCCAATATCCCTGATGAACATTGATGCAAAAATCCTCAACCAAATACTATTAGGTTGCTGCAAAAGTAATTGCGGTTTCAGACTGTAAATTTTAAATCATTATAACTAGGCTCAAACACATCTTTATTAATCAAAACAGGAAACATTACAATCAACACATTTTTGCCAGTGAGAAATCTTTATTCCTATGGTGTAAAAATCCATGCTTCAGGATTCAACAAACTCTTGGAAATCATTTTCTGCATCCTGCTGGTTGTGGAAGCGTTTTCCGTACAAAAAGTTGTTGAGATGCTTGTAGAAGTGGTAGTCAGTTGGTGAGAGGTCAGGTGAGTATGGCAGATGAGGCAAAACTTCATAGCCCAATTTGCTCAACTTTTGAAGCGTTGGTTGTGTGACGTGTGTTTGGGTGTTGTCCTGGAGAAGAATTGGGCCCTTTCTGTTGACCAATGCTGGCTGCAGTTGTTGCAGTTTTTGGTGCATCTCGTCCGTTTGCTGAGCATAGTTCTCAGATGTAATGGTTTTGCCAGGATTCAGAAAGCTATACTGGATCAGACCAGCAGCAGACCACCAAACAGTGGCCATGACCTTTTTTGGTGCAAGTTTGGCTTTGGGAAGTGCTTCGGAGCTTCTTCTCAGTCCAACCACTAAGCTGGTCGTCACCAGTTGTTGTATAAAATCCACTTTTTGTCACATGTCACAATCCGATCAAGAAATGGTTCACTGTTATTGCATAGAATAAGAGAAAACAACACTTCAAGACAACATTTTTTAAAATTTTTGCTCAGCTCATGAAGCACCCACTTATCAAGACACCTTTTTTTCACCTTTTTTTCCCACCTTTTTCACCTTTTCAATTTGCTTCAAATGCCACATGACCATAGAATGGTCGAGGTGGAGTTCTTTGGCAATTTCTCATGTAGTTGTAAGAGGATCAGCTTTGATGATTGCTGTCAATTGGTCATTGTCAACTTCTGATGGCTGGCCATACACTCCTCATCTTCAAGGCTCTTGTCTCCTTTGCAAAACTTCTTGAACCACCACTGTACTGTACATTCATTAGCAGTTCCTGGGCCAAATGCCTTATTGATGTTATGAGTTTTCTTGCTGCTTTATGACCCATTTTGAACCCAAATAAGAAAATTGCTCTAATTTGCTTTTTGTCTAACATAATTTCCGTAGTCTAAAATAAACATAAAATAAACAACAAATAATAAGTCATTAGCAAGAAAACATAAAGCGAGAAATGTCCATTAAAATGATGTATGACCTAACCACATTTATTGAAGAATGTATTCCAACATCAAACGGCAAATTCCAACAATGCAAAAACTGCAATAGTTTTGCACTCACCTTAATAGCAAACTGAATTCAACAACACATTAAAAAGATGATTCATCATGACCAAGTGAGATTTATCCCAGGGATGCAAGGACGCAAGGATGCAAGGATGTCATATGCAAATCAATCAATGCAATACATCATATCTACAGAATGAGGGACAAAACTATACTATCATTTCAATTCACACTGAAAAAGCATTTGATAAAATTCAACATCCCTTCATTATAAAAACCCTAAAAAAACCTGGGTGTAGAAGGAACATGTTTTGGCCGGGCGCGGTGGCTCACACCTGAAATCCCAGCACTTTGGGAGGCCAAGGTAGGTGGATCACTTGAGGTCAGGAATTCGAGACCGGCCTGACCAACATGGTGAAACCCCATCTCTACTAAAAATACAAAAAAATTAGCCAAGCATGGTGGCGCACACCTGTGATCCCAGCTACTCAGGAGGCTGAGGCAGGAGAATCACTTGAACCCAGGAGGCGGAGGTTGCAGTGAGCCGAGATTGCACCATTGCACTCCAGCCTCGGTGACAAGAGTGAAACTCTGTCTGGAAAAAAAAAAAAATAAGAACATACTTCAACATAGCCCTACATGACAGACCCACAGCTAGTGTCATACTCAATGGTGAAAAACTGAAAGTCTTTCTTCTAAGATCTAGAGCATGACAAGGATGCCCACTTTCATCACTGTTATGCAACATGGTACTGGAAGTCCCAGCTAGAGCAATCAGACAAGAAAGAGAAAGAAAGGGCATCCAAATTGGAAAGGAAGAAATCAAATTATCCTTGTTTGCAGATGATATGATCTTATATTTAGAAAAACCTAAAGACACCACTAAAAAATTATTAGAACAGATATACAAATTCAGTAAACTTGCAGGAAATAAAACAATATACAAAAGTCAACATGCAAAATCAACATATATCAGTACACACAGCTATTATTGGGTTAAAAAAAAAGAGAACATAACATATAAAAATCATTTCTAGGCCAGGCATGGTGGCTCAAGCCTGTAATCCCAGCACTTTGGGAGGCAGAGGCGGGTGGATCACAAGGTCAGGCGTTCAAGACCAGCCTGGCCAACATGGTGAAACCCTGTGTCTACTAAATATACAAAAATTGTCCAAGCATGGTGGTGCGCACCTATAGTCCCAGCTACTCAGGAGGCCGAGGCAAGAGAATCACTTGAACCTGGGAGGCAGAGATTGCGGTCAGCTGAGATCGCACCACTGCACTCCAGCCTAGGCAACAGAGTAAGACTTCATCCTCCCCCAAAAAAATAAAAAATAAAAAATAAATTAAAATAAATTTTAAAATCGGCCTGTAATCCCAGCACTTTCAGAGGCTGAGGTGGGCAGATCACGAGGTCAGGAGATCAAGACCATCCTGGCCAATGTGGTGAAACCCCCATCTCTACTAAAAGTACAAAAATTAGCTGGGGATGGCGGTGTGTGCCTGTAATCCCAGCTACTTGGGAGGCTGAGGCAGGAAAATTGCTTGAACCCGGGAGGCGGAGGTTACAGTGAGCTGAGATCACGCCACTGCACTCCAGCCTGGTGACAGAGCTAGACTCCGTCTCAAAAAATAACTAACTAAAAATTAAAATTAAAAATTAAAAAATAATAAAAAATGTTTCTATATGCCAACAGTAAACAATGTGAAAAATCATAAAAGTAATCCCATTTACAATAGCTACAAATAAAATAACATACCTAGGAATTAATTTAACCAAAGAAGTGGAAGATTTCTACAATGAAAACTATAAAACATTATTGAAAGAAATTGAAGAGGACATTAAAAAAGGAAAAATAGTCCATGTTCATGGATTGGAAGAATCCATATTGTTAAAATGTCCATACTATCCAAAGTAATCTATGTATTCAATACAATACCTATCAAAATACTAAAGACATTCTCCACAGAAAGAGAAAACACAATCCTAAAATTTATATGGAACTGCAAAAGATCCAAAATAGCCAAAGCTATCCTGAGAAAAAAAACAAAAACAAAAACAAAAAAACTGGAGGAATCACATTACCTGACTTCAAATTATACTACAGAACTGTGGTAACCAAAACAGCATAGTACAGGCATAAAAGCAGACACATGGACTAATGGAACAGAATAGAGAACCCAGAAACAAATCCATACATCTAAGGTGAACTCATTTCTCAACAAAGGGGCCAAGAGCATACAATGGAGAAAAGACAGCGTCTTCAACAAATGGTGCTGAGAAAACTGGATATCCATATGCAGAAGAATGAAACTAGACCCCTGTCTTTCACTATATACAAAACTCAAATCAAAATGGATTAACGACTTAAATCTCAGACCTCAAACTATGAAACTACTAAAGAATATATTGAGGAAACGCTCCAGGACATTAGACTGGGCAAAGGTTTCTTGAATAATGCCCCACAAGCACAGGCAACCAAAGCAAAAATGGACAAATGAGATCACATCAAGTTTAAAAGCTTCTGCACAGCAAAGGAAACAGCAAAGTGAAGAGACAACCCACAGCATAGGAGAAAATATTTGCAAACTATCCTTCTGACAAGGAATTAATAACCAGAATATATAAGGAGCTCAAACAACTCTATAGGAAAAAATCTAATAATCTAATTTTATTTATTTATTTATTTATTTATTGAGATGGAGTCTCGATGTCGCCCAGGCTGGAGTGCAGTGGTGCCATCTCAGCTCACTGCAAGCTCTGCCTCCCGGGTTCATGCCATTCTCCTGCCTCAGCCTCTTGAGTAGCTGGGACTACAGGCGCCCGCCACCATGCCCGGCTAATTTTTTTGTATTTTTAGTAGAGACAGGGTTTCACCGTGTTAGCCAGAATGGTCTTGATCTCCTGACCTCGTGATCTGCCTGCCTCGGCCTCCCAAAGTGCTGGGATTACAGGTGTGAGCCACCGTGCCCGGCCTCATTTATTTATTATTATTTATTTTGAGATGAAGTCTTGCTCTGTAGCCCAGGCTGAAGTGCAGTGGTGCAATCTCGGCTCACTGCAACCTCCCCCTCCTGGGTTCAATCAATTCTCCTGCCTCAGCTTCCCAAGTACCTGGGATTACAAGCATGCACCACCATGCCCAGCTAACTTTTTGTGTAGAGACAGGGTTTCACCATGTTGGTCAGGCTGGTCTCGAACTCCTGACCTCAGGTGATCCACCCGCCTCGGCCTCCCAAAGTCCTGAGATTACAGGCATGAGCCACTGTGCCTGATCTGTATGTCTCCTTTTGATAAATGTCTATTCAGATCTTTTGCCCATTTTAAAACTGGATTGGCCGGGCACAGTGGCTCACCAAATATCTGAATAGACATTTATCAAAAGGAGACATACAGGTCAGGCGCAGTGGCTCATGCCTGTAATCCCAGGACTTTGGGAGGCCGAGGGGGGAGGATCACCTGATGTCAGGAGTTTGAGACCAGCCTGACCAACATGGTGAAACCCCGTCTTTATTGAAAATACAAAAATTAACTAGGCATGGTGGTGCATGCCTGTAATCCCAGCTACTTGGGAGGCTGAGGTAGAAGAATTGCTTGAACCTGAGAGGCAGAGTTTGCAGTGAGCCAAGATCGTGCCACTGCACTCCAGCCTGAGTGACAGAGCAAGACTCCATCTCTAAAAAAAAAAAAACTAAAAGAGTATAATTGGATTATTTATAACACAAAGGATAAATGCTTGAGGGGATGGATGCCTCATTTCCCCTGATGTGATTATTACACATTGTATGGCTGTATCAAAATATCCCATATGCCCCATAAACATATATACCTACTACATACCCTCGAAAATTAAAAATAAATTTTTATAAGTAAATTTTAAAAACTGTCAAAAAATCTGACTTCTAAGAGTTGTTGCATGGATTGAATGAGAGAACAATAAGTCAAAGTGCTTAGGTGCCTACTAAAGAGAGAGCCAGGAGGAAGGCCTTGTCATCTCTGAAACAGGATAGGGCAGACAGAATTACGACATGAGTCCTGAAGAGCCATCCCCTTGCCTTTTCTGATATACTTAGAGCTCTCCTCTCTTTCAAGCCACATATGCCTGACCCTTCCTCATTTCCTCACGTGGCTTTGTCCCTCCTCTAGCTTTGCTCTTGGGAAAGGAGCCTGTGCTTCTGTTTTTTAATCTGGTTTCTTCATCTGGAATGACCTTCCCGCCACCGTCAGACAAACAGCTTTCTGCTCTGCCTGCAGTCCGTGGAGAGGTGCTGATAAGGAAGAGGGCTTCCTGGATCCCTCTGGTTCATTGTAGCCTCACTTCAATGTGGTGCAGTGCAATGTCAAGAGCAGCGTTAAAGGCTCTGTTGTGTCTCCTCCACCAACCCCATTCTAGCCTCAGAACATTAGGATTGCTCACACACACTCTGGCTGATGTTGACTGCCATCGCCTGCCTTCCATTTAAGGTTTTTGTTTTGTTTTGTTTTTCTGAGACAAGGTTTTGCTCTGTCCCCTAGGCTGGAGTGCAGTGGCACGATCTTGGCTCACTGCAGCCTCCACCTCCCAGGTTCAAGTGATTCTCATGCCTCGGCCTCCCACGTAGCTGGGATTACAGGCACAGCCACCACGCCCAGCTAATTTTTGTATTTTTAGTAGAGATGGGGTTTCACCATGTTGGCCAGGCTGGCCTCGAACTCCTGGCCTCAAGTGATCTGCCCACCTCGGCCTCCCAAAGTGCTGGGATTACAGGCGTGAGCCACTGCACCCAGCCCCATTTAAGGTTTTTGAGGGATCCAAGCTGTAACTGTTTCTGCCCATCCCATCCCCACTCTCAGCCTCCACTACCAAGCTCTGCTGACTTTCAGGGTCCTGTGTGCTTGAAACCAATTGTTAGAAACAATTGGCTCTGTCAGTATGCTTGTCAGCCAATTGTTAGAAACAACACAGCACAGAAAAATAACCATTATAAAATAAGTGCAAATAAAAGAAATATAGAAAGAATATTCTGTGCTCTTGTATTTATTTATTTATTTATTTATTTATTTATTTATTTTGAGACAGAGTCTCCCTCTGTCGCCCAGGCTGGAGTGCAGTGGCGTGATCTCGGCTCACTGCAACCTCTGCCTCCCGGGTTCACGCCATTCTCCTGCCTCAGCCTCCCGAGTGGCAGGGACTACAGGCACCCGCCACCATGCCCGGCTAATTTTTTATATTTTTTAGTAGAGACAGGGTTTCACCGTGTTAGCCAGGATGGTCTCGATCTCCTGACCTCGTGATCCGCCCGCCTCGGCCTCCCAAAGTGCTGGGATTACAGGCGTGAGCCACCACGCTCGGCCTCTCTTGTATTAGTTCTAACAACTATTCATTTGATCATTTTGGATTTCTAGGCCGACAATCAGGTAATTGATAATAATGCTCTCATCCACTTTAGTATTTTGACTTTTATTCCATTGTCTAATTGCATTAACTAGCACTTCCAGAACAACATTAAATAACAGAGGTGGTGAGAATCCTTGTCTAGCTCCTGACTTTAATGGGGATATTAATAATAATATTGATTGGGCCGGGCGCAGTGGCTCACACCTGTAATCCCAGCACTTTGGGAGGCTGAGGCGGGTGGATCACCTGAGGTCAGAAGTTCGAGAACAACCTGGCCAACATGGTGAAACCCCCATCTCTATAAAAATACAAAAATTAGCCAGGCGTGGTGGCGGGCACCTGTAATTCCAGCTACTGGGGAGGCTGAGTGGGGAGAATCACTTGAACCCGGGAGGCGGAGGTTGCAGTGAGCTGACATCACACCATTGTACTCCAGCCTGGGCGACAGAGACTTCCTCTCAAAAAAAAAAAGGGAGGGAATTAGGGCCTTGCGTTGGCCTAAGGGAATGTTGTGGCCGGTTTGATCTATCCAGACCATTCAAACATCCTCCATATCAGCAATAAGGCTGTTCTGCTTTCTTATCTCATTTGTGTATTCACTGGAGTAGCACTTTTAATCTCCTTCAAAAGCTTTTCCCTTGCATTTACAACTTAGCTAACTAACTTTCAGCCTGTCCCAGCTTTCGACATGACTTCCTAACTAAGCTTAATTATTTCTAGCTTTTGAGAATGAGAGATGTGTGACTCTTTCTTTCATTTGAACACTTAGAAGCCACTGTAGGGTTCCAGCTGGCCTAATTTTAGTATTTTTGTGTCTCAGGAAATGAGGAGGTTGCAGTAGAGGGAGAGAGACAGAGGAACACCCAGTCCATGCAGTAGTCAGAACACACACAACATTTATAGATTAAATTCACCATCTTGTATGGGCACGGTTTGTGGCACCCTGAAACAGTTACAGTTGTAACATCAAAGATCAGAGATCAACATAATAGACATAATAATAATAAAAAAGTTTGAAATATTGCAAAAATTACTAAAATATGACAAAGAAACACGAAATGAGCATATGCTGTTGGGAAAATGGCCTGACAGACTTGCTAAATATAGGGTTGCCACAAACCTTCAATTTGTAAAAATGCAGTATTTGGCTAGGCACAATGGCTCATGCCTGTAATCCCAGCATTTTGGGAAGCTGAGGCAGGTGGATCACTTGAGGCCAAGAGTTCGAGATCAGCCTGGGCAACATGGCAAAAAACCGTATCTACTAAAAATACAAAAAATGAGTGGGATGTGGTGGTACACACCTGTAATCTCAGCTACTCAGGAGGCTGAGGCAGAAGAATCACTTGAACCTGGGAAGTGGAGGCTGCAGTGAGCCAAGATCACTCCACTGCACTCCAGCCTGAGCAACAGAGCGAGACTCTGTCTCAAAAAATAAAAAAATAAAATAAAGAAGACGTCCAAGCACAGGGCGCCCCATTTTATAACAAAATCAGTCCCTGCTTATCTGTGGTTTCAGTTTCTGCAGTTTCAGTTACCTGCGGTCTGAAAAATAAAATATTTTTTTAAACGAAGTATCTGCAAAGCCTAATGAAGCAGAGCAATAAAATGAGATGTGCCTGAGTTTTACATTTTGTTTTTCCTTTTTAATGTTTTTAATTTTAATTTTTTGATTGTTTTAATTTAAAAAAATGTTTTTTGAGACACAGTCTTGCTCTGTTGCCCAGGTTGGAGTGCAGGGCACCATCTTAGCTCACTGCAACCTTCACCTCCCAGGCTCAAGCGATTCTCCTGCCTCAGTCTCCCCAGTAGCTGGGATTACAGGCATGCGCCACCAGACCTGGCTAATTTTTGTATTTTTAGTAGAGACGGGGTTTCACCATGTTGGCCAGGCTGATCTCAAGCTCCTGACCTCAGGTGATCCGCCTGCCTCAGCCTCCCAAAGTGCTAGGATTACAGGCATGAGCCACTGTGCCCAGCCTTAATTTTTAATTATACTTTTCTATTTCATAATCTAGTCCCAAGATGTGCCTGTGTTTTTTAAGGTGTTCTAAATCTACATTTATAAATGAGACTGGTCCATAGTTTTCCTGCTGTATGATGTAAAATTTTGGCTTTATGGAACACTGAGATGTTTATCTATCCTTTGGAATATGAGTATGATTGATTACCTGAATATTTGAAAGAAGTTGCTCATTAACCTATCTAGTTTTAGCTTAGGTCCTTAAGTATATCTTTTGACAGCTTTTATCCATCATTATTTATCTGTTTAGATTTTTGAGTCCCAATTGGTAATTTTATATTTCCTCAAATATTATCTATTTCATTCAGATTTTATATTGTATTAGTATTGGGTTGGGCAAGGTATTCCCTTGTAATTCTCATTTCCTCTGTACTGATGGCTATAAACCCTTTTTCATTCCTGATGTGTATATTTATGTCATTTCTTTTTTAGTTTGTTTTGTTAGCTAGTGGTTTATCAAATTTGTTGCTTGCTTCTTGCCAAATAACCAGATCTTAGAGTTATTCATCAACTATATTGTCTTAATTTTTTTTTTTTTTTTTGAGACGGAATTTCCCTCGTCACCTAGGCTGGAGTGCAGTGGCGCAATCTCGGCTCACTGCAACCTCCGCCTCCCGGGTTCAAGTGATTCTCCTGCCTCAGCCTCCCAAGTAGCTGGGATTACAGGTGCCTGCCACCATGCCTGGCTAATTTTTGTATTTTTAGTAGAGACAGGGTTTTACCATGTTGGCCAGACTGGTCTCAAACTCCTGACCTCGTGATCCGCCCACCTCGGCCTCCCAAAGTGCTGGGATTACAGGCGTGAGCCACCGTGCCCGGCCCCCAAAATTTTTTTTTAGAGACAGAGTCTTTCCCTGTCATCCAGGCTGGAGCGCAGTGGTGTGATCATAGCTGACTATAATCTCCAGTTCCTGGGCTCAAGTAACCCTCCTGCCTCAGCCTCTGAGCAGCTAGAACTACAGGCATGCACCACCATGCCGGGCTAATTTTGTTGTTGTTGTAGAGACAAGGTCTTGCTGTGTTACCTGGGCCAGTCTTGAACTCCTGGCCTCAAATGATCCTCCTCCCTTGGCCTCCCAAAGCACTGGGATTACAGGCATGAGCCACCACACCGGGCCAATTATATTGTTTTTCTGGTTTTGAAATAATTCAGTTTGCTTTTATCCTTAATTTTTTCCTTTTGCTTTCTTTAGATTTTACCTTACTGTGACATTTTCCCCTTTTAATTTCCTGCATTGTCTACTTTGTTAATGAACTTTTATTCTCACTAAGCAATAACAGTGTTTACAGCCATGCATTTTCTTGTGAATACTACTTTGGCTGCATTTCATAAGTAGTGTTTCATGAGTTATTTTTAAAATAGCCTATAGTTCTGTTTTTAAGCTTTGTATTGAAGTATGATACACATACAGAAAAGCAAACATATCAAAATATGTTCAGTTTGGTGAATATTCACAAATTCAACACCCAGACTGAGAAACAGAACATTGCCAGTACCAATGACATAATTTGCAGGACCTAGTGCAAAATGAAAATGCTCAGCCCTTTGGTCAAATATCATTAACGACTTTGGCTGGGTGCAGTGGCTCACGCCTGTAATCCCAGAACTTTGGGAGGCCGAGGCGGGTGGATCACCTGAGGTCAGGAGTTCAAGACCAGCCTGGCCAACATGGTGAAACCCCATCTCTACTAAAAATACAAAAATTAGCCAGGCATGGTGGCACATGCCTGTAATCCCAGCTACTCGGGAGGCTGAGGCAAGAGAATCGCTTGAACCCGGGAGGTGGAGGTTGCAGTGAGCCAAGATCGCGCCATTGCACTCCAGCCTGGGCAATAGAGTGAGACTCCATCTCAAATAATAATAATAATAATAATTTTGAAATGGTGACAGCAGAGTGTTAGCCAAACGCTGAGCCTAAGTGCAGGGCCTTGTGCGCATGCTCATGAAGCTGGTTGGCCCTGGCAACTCATCCTTGGACTTCCTTCTACTCCCTAACTTGGCCTCCCTACCAAGTGTAACCACTACCTGACTTCAGATGGCAGAGAATTGTTAGTCTGTACCCTTGTGTCTAGTTTCTTTTGCTTAGCATTATGTTTGTGAGGATCATTCATACTTCTATGTGTAATTGAAGAGCATACATTCTCATCGTTGTATAGTTTAAAATAGTCCGGCCAGTTACAGTGGCTCACCCCTGTAATCCCAGCACTTTGGGAGGCTGAGGCAGGCAGACTGCTTAAGGTCAGGAGTTTGAGAGCAGCCTGGCCAACATGATGAAACCCCATCTCTACTAAAAATACAAAACTTAGCCTGGCATGGTGGCACACACATATAGTCTCAGCTAGTTGGGAGGCTGAGACACAAGAATTGCTTGAGCCCGGGAGGCGGACAGTGCAGTGAGCTGAGATCACACCATTGCATGCCACCCTGGGCGACAGGGCAAGACTCCATCTCAAAAAAAAAATAAAAGTCTGTAATTCAGTTTTGGTTTGTCACTGATTAAAGAGTTGTTTAGAACTTAAAAATTTCGGCGGGAGGAGCCAAGATGGCCGAATAGGAACAGCTCCAGTCTACAGCTCCCAGTGTGAGCCACGCAGAAGACGGGTGATTTCTGCATTTCCATCTGAGGTACCGGGTTCATCTCACTAGAGAGTGCCAGACAGTGGGTGCAGGTCAGTGAGTGCGCGCACCGTGTGCGAGCCGAAGCAGGGCGAGGCATTGCCTCACTCGGGAAGCGCAAGGGGTCAGGGAGTTCCCTTTCCTAGTCAAACAAAGTGGTGACAGATGGCACCTGGAAAATCGGGTCACTCCCACCCGAATACTGCGCTTTTCCGACGGGCTTAAAAAACGGCACACCAGGAGATTATATCCCGCACCTGGCTCGGAGGGTCCTAGGCCCACGGAGTCTCGCTGATTGCTAGCACAGCACTCTGAGATCAAACTGCAAGGTGGCAGCGAGGCTGGGGGAGGGGCACCCGCCATTGCCCAGGCTTGCTTAGGTAAACAAAGCAGCCGGGAAGCTCGAATTGGGTGGAGCCCACCACAGCTCAAGGAGGCCTGCCTGCCTCTGTAGGCTCCACCTCTGGGGGCAGGGCACAGACAAACAAAAAGACAGCAGTAACCTCTGCAGACTTAAATGTCTCTGTCTGACAGCTTTGAAGAGAGCAGTGGTTCTCCCAGCATGCAGCTGGAGATCTGAGAACGGGCAGACTGCCTCCTCAAGTGGGTCCCTGACCCCTGACCCCCCAGCAGCCTAACTGGGAGGCACCCCCTAGCAGGGGCAGACTGACACCTCACACGGCCGGGCACTCCAACAGACCTGCAGCTGAGGGTCCTGTCTGTTAGAAGGAAAACTAACAAACAGAAAGGACATCCACACCAACAACCCATCTGTACATCACCATCATCAAAGACCAAAAGTAGATAAAACCACAAAGATGGGGAAAAAACAGAACAGAAAAACTGGAAGCTCTAAAAAGCAGAGCGCCTCTCCTCCTCCAAAGGAATGCAGTTCCTCACCAGCAATGGAACAAAGCTGGACGGAGAATGACTTTGACGAGCTGAGAGAAGAAGGCTTCAGACGATCAAATTACTCTGAGCTACGGGAGGACATTCAAACCAAAGGCAAAGAAGTTGAAAACTTTGAAAAAAATTTAGGAGAATGTATAACTAGAATAATCAATACAGAGAAGTGCTTAAAGGAGCTGATGGAGCTGAAAACCAAGGCTTGAGAACTAAGTGAAGAATGCAGAAGACTCAGGAGCCGATGTGATCAACTGGAAGAAAGGGTATCAGCGATGGAAGATGAAATGTATGAAATGAAGTGAGAAGGGAAGTTTAGAGAAAAAAGAATAAAAAGAAACGAGCAAAGCCTCCAAGAAATATGGGACTATGTGAAAAGACCAAATCTATGTCTGATTGGTGTACCTGAAAGTGATGGGGAGAATGGAACCAAGTTGGAAAACACTCTGTAGGATATTATCCAGGAGAACTTCCCCAGTCTAGCAAGGCAGGCCACCATTCAGATTCAGGAAATACAGAGAATGCCACAAAGATACTCCTTGAGAAGAGCAACACCAAGACACGTAATTGTCAGATTCACCAAAGTTGAAATGAAGGAAAAAATGTTAAGGGCAGCCAGAGAGAAAGGTCGGGTTACCCACAAAACGAAGCCCATCAGACTAACAGCTGATCTCTCAGCAGAAACTCTACAAGCCAGAAGAGAGTGAGGGCCAATATTCAACATTCTTAAAGAAAAGAATTTTCAACCCAGAATTTCATATCCAGCCAAACTAAGCTTCATAAGTGAAGGAGAAATAAAATACTTTACAGACAAGCAAATGCTGAGAGATTTTGTCACCACCAGGCCTGCCCTAAAAGAGCTCCTGAAGGAAGCGCTAAACATGGAAAGGAACAACCGGTACCAGCCACTGCAAAATCATGCCAAAATGTAAAGACCATCGAGACTAGGAAGAAACTGCATCAACTAACGAGCAAAATCACCAGCTAACATCATAATGACAGGATCAAATTCACACATAACAATATTAACTTTAAATGTAAATGGACTAAATGCTCCAATTAAAAGACACAGACTGGCAAATTGGATAAACAGTCAAGACCCATCAGTGTGCTGTATTCAGGAAACCCATCTCACGTGCAGAGACACACATAGGCTCAAAATAAAGGATGGAGGAAGATCTACCAAGCAAATGGAAAACAAAAAAAGGCAGGGGTTGCAATCCTAGTCTCTGATAAAACAGACTTTAAACCAACAAAGATCAAAAGAGACAAAGAAGGCCATTACTTAATGGTAAAGGGATCAATTCAACAAGAAGAGCTAACTATCCTCAATATATATGCACCCAATACAGGAGCACCCAGATTCATAAAGCAAGTCCTGAGTGACCTACAAAGAGACTTAGACTCCCACACATTAATAATGGGAGACTTTAACACCCCACTGTCAACATTAGACAGATCAACCAGACAGAAAGTCAACAAGGATACCCAGGAATTGAACTCAGCTCTGCACCAAGCAGACCTAATAGACTTCTACAGAACTCTCCACCCCAAATCAACAGAATATACATTTTTTTCAGCACCACACCACACCTATTCCAAAATTGACCACATAGTTGGAAGTAAAGCTCCCCTCAGCAAACGTAAAAGAACAGAAATTATAACAAACTATCTCTCAGACCACAGTGCAATCAAACTAGAACTCAGGATTAAGAATCTCACTCAAAACCGCTCAACTACATGGAAACTAAACAACCTGCTCCTGAATGACTACTGGGTACATAACGAAATGAAGGCAGAAATAAAGATGTTCTTTGAAACCAATGAGAACAAAGACACAACATACCAGAATCTCTGGGACACATTCAAAGCAGTGTGTAGAGGGAAATTTATAGCACTAAATGCCCACAAGAGAAAGCAGGAAAGATCCAAAACTGACACCCTAACATCACAATTAAAAGAACTAGAAAAGCAAGAGCAAACACATTCAAAAGCTAGCAGAAGGCAAGAAATAACTAAAATCAGAGCAGAACTGAAGGAAATAGAGACACAAAAAACCCTTCAAAAAATTAACGAATCCAAGAGCTGGTTTTTTGAAAGGATCAACAAAATTGATAGACCACTAGCAAGACTAATAAAGAAAAAAAGAGAGAAGAATCAAATAGACGCAATAAAAAATGATAAAGGGGATATCACCACCGATCCCACAGAAATACAAACTACCATCAGAGAATGCTACAAACATGTCTACGCAAATAAACTAGAAAATCTAGAAGAAATGGATAAATTCCTCGACACATACACCCTCCCAAGACTAAACCAGGAAGAAGTTGAATCTCTGAATAGACCAATAACAGGAGCTGAAATTGTGGCAATAATCAATAGCTTACCAACCAAAAAGAGTCCAGGACCAGATGGATTCACAGCCGAATTCTACCAGAGGTACAAGGAGGAACTGGTACCATTCCTTCTGGAACTATTCCAATCAATAGAAAAAGAGGGAATCCTCCCTAACTCATTTTATGAGGCCAGCATCATCCTGATACCAAAGCTGGGCAGAGACACAACCAAAAAAGAGAATTTTAGACCAATATCCTTGATGAACATTGATGCAAAAATCCTCAATAAAATACTGGCAAACCGAATCCAGCAGCACATGAAAAAGCTTATCCACCATGATCAAGTGGGCTTCATCCCTGGGATGCAAGGCTGGTTCAATATACGCAAATCAATAAATGTAATCCAGCATATAAACAGAACCAAAGACAAAAACCACATGATTATCTCAATAGATGCAGAAAAGGCCTTTGACAAAATTTAACAACACTTCATGCTAAAAACTCTCAATAAATTAGGTATTGATGGGATGTATCTCAAAATAATAAGAGCTATCTATGACAAACCCACAGCCAATATCATACTGAATAGGCAAAAACTGGAAGCATTCCCTTTGAAAACTGGAACAAGACAGGGATGCCCTCTCTCACCACTCCTATTCAACATAGTGTTGGAAGTTCTGGCCAGGGCAATTAGGCAGGAGAAGGAAATAAAGGGTATTCAATTAGGAAAAGAGGAAGTCAAATTGTCCCTGTTTGCAGACGACATGATTGTATATCTAGAAAACCCCATTGTCTCAGCCCAAAATCTCCTTAAGCTGATAAGCAACTTCAGCAAAGTCTCAGGATACAAAATCAATGTACAAAAATCACAAGCATTCTTATACACCAACAACAGACAAACAGAGAGCCAAATCATGAGTGAACTCCCATTCACAATTGCTTCAAAGAGAATAAAATACCTAGGAATCCAACTTACAAGGGATGTGAAGGACCTCTTCAAGGAGAACTACAAACCACTGCTCAATGAAATAAAAGAGGATACAAACAAATGGAAGAACATTCCATGCTCATGGGTAGGAAGAATCAATATCGTGAAAATGGCCATACTGCCCAAGGTAATTTACAGATTCAATGCCATCCCCATTAAGCTACCAATGACTTTCTTCATAGAATTGGAAAAAACTACTTTAAAGTTCATATGGAACCAAAAAAGATCCCGCATCGCCAAGTCAATCCTGAGCCAAAAGAACAAAGCTGGAGGCATCACACTACCTGACTTCAAACTATACTACAAGGCTACAGTAACCAAAACAGCATGGTACTGGTACCAAAACAGAGATATAGATCAATGGAACAGAACAGAGCCCTCAGAAATAATGCCGCATATCTACAACTATCTGATCTTTGACAAACCTGAGAAAAACAAGAAATGGGGAAAGGATTCCCTATTTAATAAATGGTGCTGGGAAAACTAGCTAGCCATATGTAGAAAGCTGAAACTGGATCCCTTCCTTACATCTTATACAAAAATCAATTCAAGATGGATTAAAGACTTAAATGTTAGACCTAAAACCATAAAAACCCTAGAAGAAAACCTAGGCATTACCATTCAAGACATAGGCATGGGCAAGGACTTCATGTCTAAAACACCAAAAGCAATGGCAACAAAAGCGAAAATTGACAAATGGGATCTAATTAAACTAAAGAGCTTCTGCACAGCAAAAGAAACTACCATCAGAGTGAACAGGCAACCTACAAAATGGGAGAAAATTTTTGCAACCTACTCATCTGACAAAGGGCTAATATCCAGAATCTACAATGAACTCCAACAAATTTACAAGAAAAAAACCAACAACCCCATCAAAAAGTGGGCAAAGGACATGAACAGACACTTCTCAAAAGAAGACATTTATGCAGCCAAAAAACACATGAAAAAATGCTCACCATCACTGGCCATCAGAGAAATGCAAATCAAAACCACAATGAGATACCATCTCACACCAGTTAGAATGGCGATCATTAAAAAGTCAGGAAACAACAGGTGCTGGAGAGGATGTGGAGAAATAGGAACACTTTTACACTGTTGGTGGGACTGTAAACTAGTTCAACCATTGTGGAAGTCAGTGTGGCGATTCCTCAGGGATCTAGAACTAGAAATACCATTTGACCCAGCCATTCCATTACTGGGTATATAACCAAAGGACTATAAATCATGCTGCTATAAAGACACATGCACACGTAGGTTTATTGCGGCATTATTCACAATAGCAAAGACTTGGAACCAACCCAAATGTCCAACAATGATAGACTGGATTAAGAAAATGTGGCACATATACACCATGGAATACTATGCAGCCATAAAAAATGATGAGTTCACGTCCTTTGTAGGGACATGGATGAAATTGGAAATCATCATTCTCAGTAAACTATCGCAAGAACAAAAAACCAAACACCACATATTCTCACTCATAGGTGGGAATTGAACAATGAGAACACCTGGACACAGGAAGGGGAACATCACACTCTGGGGACTGTTGTGGGGTGGGGGGAGGCGGGAGGGATAGCATTGGGAGATATACCTAATGCTAGATGATGAGTTAGTGGGTGCAGCGCATCAGCATGGCACATGTATACATATGTAACTAACCTGCACATTGTGCACATGTACCCTAAAACTTAAAGTATAATAATAAAAAATAAATAAATAAAAAAGAACTTAAAAATTTCTCCAAGAGGTTGACTTCATCAGGCTAAGGACCAACTTCCTAGTTTCAGGAGTGGAGCTAGAAACAGATTGGTTTTCTTTGAATGAGTGGGTCTTTACTCATAGAATAACAGTATGGGTAAGAAACTAGCAAGCTTTATTTTCTCCTCTTGGTCTTCTGATACTCAGTGAGGAAGAGAAGAGCCAGTGAGGGTAGTTAAGGATAACAGGTTTTTCCTCTCCAGGCAAAGTATAATAGCACACACTGTGGACATAGGGGCTGAAGTTGTTTTGTCACCTGTGAGTTCTCGAGGAAACTGGGAAGAAATTGGCTCCTTCTTTATCAAGTCAAGGGAGGCACAGCACTTCTTTCATGGATCTGAACAGGGGCAAGGTCCTTGTGCATGTCCACTACCTTGCTGTCCTGGAGAAGTGGCCAGTGGGTCCTTTCTGTTTATGGGTACCTCTGAGTGGAGTCCTGACAATGAGAATAGTTGGATATTCAGAGGATAAAGATAAGTAACCCAAACAAGAAGTCCACCCATCCTGAAAGAAAACATTGCTACAGAGTGAGACTCCGTCTCAAAAAAAAAAAAAAAAAAAAAGTTGCTGAAAACCAATCCTACTTTTCCACTTCAAACCTAACATTGGAGCCTAAATTCAAACTACTTTATTATAATCAACTTATATGAGCCTTATATTTAAGAACTGTAGTTCAAATTTGATGACCAAAGATAGAAAATCTTTTTCAAACTGTTATTTGCTTGAGGTGGAGGGCTTGTCATTTTATTTCTTTAAAACAAATAATAATTTTATTTACTCAAAAACAGATCAGGCCGGGCGCAGTGGCTTACGCCTGTAATCCTAACACTTTGGAAGGCTAAGGTGGGAGGATCATTTGGGCCCAGGAGTTTGAGACCAGCCTGAGCAAGATGGTGAGACCTTGTCTCTAAAAAAATTTTAAAAATTAGCCTGGCATGGTGGCATGAACCTGTGGTCCCAGCTATTCAGGAGGCTGGGGGAAGATCACTTGAGCCCAGGAGGTGGAGGCTGCAGTGAGCCGGGTTTGTGCCACTGCACTTCAGCCTGGGTGACGGAGTGAGATCCTGTGTCAAAAAACCCATCTCTATGAAAAATACAAAAATTAGTCAGATGTGGTGGCATGTGCCTGTAGTCCCAGCTACTCCAGAGGCTGAGGCAGGAGAACCGCTTGAACCTGGGAGGTGGAGGTTGCAGTGAGCTGAGATCACGCCACTGCACTACAGCCTGGGCAACAGAGAAAGACTCTGTCTCAAAAACAAACAAACAAACAAAAAATAAGCTGGGCATGTTAGTGTGCACCTATAGTCCCAGCTACTTAGGTGGCTGAGCCAGAGGATTGCTTGAGCCCGGGAGGTCAAGGCTGCAGTGATCTATGATCAAGCCACTGCACTCCAGCCTGGGTTATAGAGCAAGAAGACACTGTCTCTAATCAAAAATAAAAATAAAATAAGATTCACAGCTTCTGGGGATTAGAATATGGACATATTTGGTGGGGGCATTATTCAGCCTACTACACCTTGCACCCAAGAGCAACTTACCCAGCAGCTTCCCACACAGTGCTGAGCTCCAGAAGAGCCTGGGGCAGCACGACTTTTCCCATGATTTATCTAAACAGCTCTCCATTAGGCTGTTTTCAAACTTTTGCTATTATGAGCAATGCTGCTCATATATCCTTAGAATACAGTATTAGAAGAAGAATTGCCAAATTAAAGGATATATGCAATTTAAATCTATTTTTGGCCGGGTGCAGTGGCTCACATCTATAATCCCAGCACTTTGGGAGACCGAGCTGGGAGGATCAATTGAGCCCAGCAGGTTTTGAGACCAGCTTGCCAACATGGTGAAACGCCATCTCTACCAAATATACAACAACAACAAAAAAAATTTAGCAGAGCTTGGTGGCACGTACCAGTAGTCCCAGCTACTCAGGAGGCTGAGATGGTAGGATGGTTTGAGCGCAGGAGGCAGAGGTTGCAGTGAGCCCAGATCACGCCATTATGCTGCAGCCTGGGAGACAGAGCCTGACCCTGTCTCAGACAAAACAATCATTTTCCTGGTCAGGCATGGTGGCTCAAACCTGTGATCCCAGCATTTTGGGAAGCTGAGGCAGGAGGATGGCTTGAGCCCAGGATTTCGAGACCAAATACAAAAATTAGCTCGGTGTGATGGCAAATGCCTGTAATCCCATCTACTTGGGAGGCTGAGGCAGGAGAATCACTTGAACCTGGGAAGTGGAGGTTGCAGTGAGTGGAGATTGCACCACTGCACTCCAGCCTGGGCAACAGAGCGAGATTCCGTCTAAAAAAAAAAAAAAAAAAAGAAAATTTAAAAATCAGTTGGGTGTGGTTGTTTGTACCTATAGTCCCAGCCACTCAGGAGGATGAGGTGGGGAAATCACTTGAACTTGGGAGGTTGAGGCTGCAGGGAGCCGTGATCGCACCACTGCACTCCAACCTGGGCAATAAACTGTCTCAAAAAAACAAAACAAAACAAAAACCTATTTTCCTGCATCTTTGCCAACAACATTATCAACTTTTTTGATATTTACCGATTCTATGGGTGAAAAATGGGATTTCATATAAGTTTTTTCTTTTTTCTTTTTTTTTTTTTTTTGAGATGGAGTCTCGCTTTGTCACCCAGGCTGGAGTGCAGTGGCACCATCTCGGCTCACTGCAAGCTCCACCTCCCAGGTTCATGCCATTCTCCTGCCTCAGCCTCCCGAGTAGCTGGGACTACAGGCACCTGCCACCACGCCCGACTAATTTTTTTGTATTTTTAGTAGAGACAGGGTTTCACCGTGTTAGCCAGGATGGTCTCGATCTCCTGACCTCGTGATCTGCCCACCTTGGCCTCCCAAAGTGCTGGGATTACAGGCGTGAGCCACTGCAGCCAGCCCAGTATAGGTTTTTTAAACTTTAAAAAACTTTTTGAAATAATTTTGGTATAGTTTTAATATTAATTTATCTTATTATAAGTGAGGTTATGCATTTTTTGATATGTTTAAACTGCCATTTCTATATCTTTCCTGTGATTTATTGGTCCCTCATGCAACACTGTGTATCTGAAGACATAGTCAACAGCGGCAGGCCAGGCACGGTGGCTCACGCCTGTAATCCCAACACTTTGAGAGGCCAAGGTGGGAAGATCACTTGAGGCCAGGAGTTTGAGACCAGTCTGGCCAACACGGCAAAACCTCGTCTCTACTAAAAATACAAAAATTAGCCGGGCATGGTGGCGCACGCCTGTAGTTCCAGCTACTCGGGAGGTTGAGGCATAAGAATCACTTGAACCCAGGAGGCAAAGGTTGCAGTGAGCAGAGATTGCACCACTGCACCCCAGCCTGTCTCAAATAAAAATAAAAATTAACAGTGGCAATCAGGCAAAAAAGTAGTGTCATAGGATTAAAATAAAATAAAATAAAACAAACAAAAAAAAGCTCCTCTGAAGGGTAGAGAATTCAGGGGCAGGAGGAGAGAGGAGTCATGGTAGGAATAAGACCCCTTGAATAAGACCCCTTGCTACCAGGCTGGATTTCAGTAACTCTGAGTCCTGTGGAGTTTTGCTGGGATAAACATAGCCACAGTTTAGCAAGTCTGGGGGCCAGGAGAGGTGATCAAGGCAGAGTCAATCCTCAAGAACAATGTCAGAGCCCACTTATTAGACTTGGGTCCAAGGGCAGGGCAGCAATGGGGCTTCTATCCCAAGTTCTTGGACAAGAATTTGGCATTTATCCTATAAGTTTGGCATTTATTCCAAAATTTCTTGTCCAAGAACTTGGGATAGAATCTATTGACAGCCTATTGTCTCCAGTCATGGTTGACACTGGAGCCCTGGACAGGGCTCTGCCTGTGGATGAGCAAGTGACTTTCCCTGTGGGGATGAAGGAAGGTGACCATGTAGACCTTCTCCTAAGACTGTAGAAGGCATGCAGAACGGCAAATACGGCAGCAGCCTGGCCTCACCTTAAGACTGGGTTTAAGAGTGTGGAATGGGCCGGGTGCAGTGGCTCATGCCTGTAATCCCAGCACTTTGGGAGGCCGAGGCAGGTGGATCACCTGAGGTCAGGAGTTCGAGACAGCCTAGCCAACATGGTGAAACCCTGTCTCTACTAAAAATACAAAAAATTAGGGGGTCATGGTGGCAGGCGCCTATAGTCCTAGCTACTCAGGAGGCTGAGGCAGGAGAATCGCTTGAACCCAGGAGGCGGAGGTTGCAGTGAGCCGAGATCGTGCCACTGTACTCCAGCCTGGGCAACAGGAGCGAAACTCCATCTCAAAAACAAACAGAAAAAAAAAAAAAGACCGGGACTGGTGGCTCATGCCTGTAATCCCAGCACTTTGGGAGGCTGAGGCAGGTGGATCACCTGAGGTCAGGAGTTCAAGACCAGCCTGGCCAACACGGTGAAGCCCCATCTCTACGAATAATACAAAAATTAGCTGGGCGTGGTGGCACATGCCTGTATTCCCAGCTACTCAGGAGGCTGAGGCAGGAGAATTGCTGGAACCTGGGAGGCAGAGGTTACAGTGAGCCGAGATCGTGCCACTGCACTTCCAGCCTGGGCAACACAGCGAGACTCCATCTCAAAAACAAAACAAAGAGTGTGGAATGTTGCTAGGAATGAGTGGCTGGGGCCGGAGACTCCTTAGGCCTGGCAGAGATTTGCCCTGGAAGTGCCTGTGTGAGAATGATTAGTTCTCAGCACCTTCTTGTCACAGGATTGCAACTGGCGTCTCAGGAAGCCAAATCTGAGCTACTCCTGGAAGTATCATCTTGGTCAACACTGGCTATAAAACCAAAAGAGGCTGCCAGATTGTGCAAGGAGACAAAACTAGTCTGGTGAGGGCATTTCCTCTTTAGTGATGTCCCAATGGCCTGAGGCTGTCAGGGTTCTTCTCATCACTTGCCTTGTTTTGACTGCCCCCATCAAGGCACAGCTGGCTCATTTGTCCCAGAAGGAAATGGTGAAGCAAGCAGATGGATTGCTCCCTGGACCTCCACAGCGCCTCCTGCTGGTGGTGGACCCCAAGGCCCACCATCCTGCCTTTAATTCATTAACCAGCTGCTTTTCTTTTTGGCTTTGAAATACCCAAAGGTTCCACCAGCTTTCCAACAGTGAAGCCCACCTTTGTAAAAAAAAAAAGAAGCGCTCCCATTTTTCTGTTGCCCCTGCTTTTTCGGTTAAAAGAACATGAAGCAATTTCAGGATATTAGAAAAGCCCTAAGGCAGTGGGGAAACATGCCTAATGAGTTTTAGCTGAATAAAACATCAGGTGAGTGTGGGAGCTGCCCTCAAGCGGGACCTACTGTGCTCCTAGGGCCCTCATCAGCACAAAAGCCCTGTCACTGGCTTGGAGTAAAGATTTCCTATTTAAAAAGATAAGCCAAACCCCTTGGGGCAGCAGAGATTTTTTTTTTTTTTTTTTTTACCACTTTGGGTTTTCTTTAGAATTTGCAGAATTTGTGTGAAGGGCACTGGCACTGAGTCTGCACCCAGATTAGAGCTGTTTTCCACATCCCTTTCCTAGGCTGGGGGGCTTTGGGGCAGATTAGTGATTAGGCTTGTGGGGGGCTTCTGTGTGCTGTGACCTGTGCGTGCCAGGGAACCCCTGCAGCAGTGAGGCAAAGTGGGAAGAAATCTGGAATTGACATTAGAGCTGGAATCTCATTTTCTTTCATCTTGTAAACCAAAACATGACCATGGCAGATCTCAACTGATTCAAAGTTTATTTTGCCAAGGCTGAGGACGTGCCTGGGAAAAAGAAACCCAAGTCACAATACGATCTGTGACCCGTGTTTTTCCAAAGAGGATTTGGGGAACTTCAATATTTCAAGAGGTGTAAACCAAAAAGTATCTGAGATAGGTAACAATTAATTTAGAAATTTATGTTGCCAGCGTTAAGGACGTGCACTTGGGAGACAGGTCTGTGCCTTTCTCCAAATATGGTTTTGAGGGCTTCAATATTTAAAAGTGGGAAAAGCAGGCTGGAGGGGAAAGACGGAGGGTATGGTCACATGACTGAATCCACATGTTGCAAGAGAAAAGGAGCAGGTAGGGGAATAGTCAATTATATATTCATCTTTGTAGCAGCTAAGGTGAACATAGAGTAGCTCTGTGGAGATACTTAACTTTTTATCTGTAGCTACTTGCTTAGGAACAAAAGGAAAAGTAACTTCTTGGATAATTCAGCTTTCAGCTTAATATTTTTCTTTTGGCATAGTGAAATTAGGGTCCCAAGTTTTTATTTTCCTTTCACAGAGGAAAGGGCAAGCAGGAGGGGAAGGGAAAAAAAAAAAAGGAGGGTGGGTAGGCAATGAGGCAAGTGGTTACATTCTTGTGAGGCTCCGGTTAGAGTTCAGTGAGTCTATGTTTTACATGTAAAAAGAAAGGGGTAGAGGAAAAGTCAATTATGCATTAGTCTCATGCTCAGTCAATCTACATTTTTTATAAGATAAGGTGAGCATGTGAAATTACAGCTCTTTGGGAACAAAAGAAAGGCCGTATTTTTGTTTTATTTTTGCTTTTTTGTTTGCATGACTCAGTTCCCAAGCTTTGGCCTAGTGAATTTGAGGTCCCAAGATTCTATTTTTGTTTCACAGTCTGAATGCAGAAAAGTGAGCAGAAAAAGCTTTTGCCAGGCAATTTTAACTATTCATGCAATTATCCTGAATTTTGAGCATTCTTCATTCTCAGCAAGATTTTCTGTCCTTGCAGTTTAGCCGTGCTCTAGAAGCAAAACGAAACTCCTGCATGGAGAATTGAGGAATCTCTCTGTACATCTCAAGCCACGTGAGTTTGGAACTGGAGGGAACAGCTAGAGGTGCCCTGCTACTCTGCAAGACCTCCAGGAGTTACCGGGAAATTTAAATCCCCAGCTGTCTTAAAGGAGCCCATAATCTAACAAGAGATAATATATTCCCAAAACACAGGTCACACATCTGCAGCAAAAACAGAAGGGCTAATAGAAGCGCACGCCTCAGCAGGACAGGCTACATAATCTGTGCGGCTCCGTGCAAAAATGAAAATACGCAACCTCTTGGTCAAAAGACAGGAAAAACTTGCTTTTAAAGGTACACATAAAGCCAGACACAAAAAGACAAATATAATATGAGGCGCCTACAACAGTCAAATTTATAGAGACAGAAAATAGAATGGTGGCTGGGCACGGTGGCTCACGCCTGTAATCCTAGCACTTTGTGAGGCCAAGGCAAGCAGATCACTTGAGGTCAGGAGTTCAAGACTAGCCTGGCCAACATGGCAAAACCCCGTCTCTATTAAAAATACAAAAGTTAGCCGGGCATGGTGGCACGTGCCTGTAGTCCCAGCTACTTGGGAGGCTGAGACAGGAGAATCGCATGAACCCAGGAGGGGGAGGTTGCAGTGAGCCGAGATCATGCCACTGTACTCTAGCCGAGATCATGCCACTGTACTCTAGCCTGGGTGACAGAGCAAGACCCTGTCTGAAAAAAATAAAAATAAAATAAAATAAAATAAAATGGTGGTTGTCAGGAACTGGAATGAGGAAGGATGTGGAATTATTGTTTAATGGGTACAATTTCAGTTTGGGGAGATGAAAAAGTTCTGGAGATGGATGGTGGTGATGGTTGCACAACAATGTGAATGTACAGTTGTCCTGCAGTATTGGAGGGGGATTCGTTCTAGGATTCATCAAGGACACCAAAATCCATGGATTCTCAAGTCCCTGATAATAAATGGTATAGTATTTGCATATAACCTACACACATCCTCCTGCATACTTTAATTCATCTCTAGATTACTTATAATACCCAATACAATGCCTACACATCATTCTTATGAATTCAACATAGTACTTGGTACCTTGCAAATTCAAGGCTTGCTTTTTGGAACTTAGTCTTTTTTTCCCTGAATATATTTTTTCTTTTTTTTGTAGAGACAGGGTCTCACTATGTTGCCCAGGCTGGCCTTGAACTTCTGGCCTCAAGTGATCCTCCTGCCTAGGTCTCCCAAAGTGCTGGGATTACAGGTGTCAGCCACCACACCAGCCTTTTTCCTGAATATTTTCGATCCATGGTTGGTTGACTCCATGGATGTGGAACCCAGGGATGTGGAACTGATGGATACAGAGGGTTGACTAAGTACCACTGCACACTCAAAAATAGTTAAAATGGTATATTTTATGTATATTTTATTACATACACAAAATGGTAGACATAAGCTTTTTCCTTCTTTTATAGTCTTTCTCTTGACTTGTCATGGTGCTTATTTGCTACTTAATGTCATTCTAAGAAAAACTACAGGACGGGCTCAGTGGCTCACACATGTAATCCCAGCACTTTGGGAGGCCGAGGCAGGTGGATCACCTGAGGTCAGGAGTTCGAGACCAGCCTGGTCAAATAGTGAAACCCTGTCTCTACAAAAATACCAAAAATTAGCCGGGCATGATGGCGGGTACCTGTAATCCCACTTACTCGGGAGGCTGAAGCGGGAGAATCACTTGAATCCAGGAGGCGGAGGTTACAGTGAGCCGAGATCGCGCCATTGCACTCCAGCCTGAGCAACAGAGCAAGACTCTGTCTCAAAAAAAGAAAAGAAAAACGACAAATTAAAAATTTTGGCATGCATTTTACCCTCCACTTTTATATCATACAATGCCAATTTTAAATGTGAATATCAGAATATTTATCTCATATTTGGAATCACTGAAATTATACAATTTGAATTTTGTGGTTCATCCCAGAAGGGTTATCTCCTGCTGGTTCAAAGGCACAACAAACACAAGCCAGGCTCAGGAAAGTTGGAAGGAGGAAGAGAGGATTCCTCCAGGCACAGAGCCTGCTGAGAAAGCCTCCAGGGCAGGGGACCTCACAGATGCCTGTGGGCAGGTGCTCTGTTGGGTCTGACAGGTTCCAGGTTCCCTTTCCTCCAGGTGTCTCCCCTTCCCACAGGCCTGCCACCTCAGCCTACAGCAAATGGGCTACCAGTGTCTTTAAAACTCAGAACTGGGACACTGTCAGTAAAGGGCTGGGCAAAAGTCTTGCCCCTTTCAAGGCTCAACTAAGGCTGATTGTCCACCAGGAGCACTGTGGTGCTGCCAGCCTGGAGTGGGGATGGCCACCACCACGCCCCAACCCTCCCTGAACTGGGATCAGACTCCTGCCAAGGTTAGAGGGTGGCAGCAGTTGCAGGGTGAGGGCAAGGAGGGAGAGGCCAGGTGGGGCAGTGGTGGTGAGAGCACTTCCAGGGAGGCAGCAGCCGGTGGAGCTGTGTGTAAGCTCAGGCGCTAAGCCCCCAGCACATGCTTTGTTGATGCATGAGACTTCATTTACAAAACACACACAAAGATAGACATCAAGACCGCAGCCGGGCGGGCGCAGTGGTTCATGCCTGTAATTCCGGTACTTTGGGAGGTGGATCACTTGAGCTCAAGAGTTTGAGAACAGCTTGGTCAACATGGTGAAACCCTATCTCTACCAAAAATACAAAAATTAGCTGGGCATGGTGGTGAGCACCTGTGGTCCCAGCTACTTGGGAGGCTGAAGTGAGAGGATAGCTGGGGCCCAGGAGGAGGTTGCAGTGAGCCCTGACCACGCCACTGCACTCAAGCCTAGGTGACAGAGCGAGACCCTGTCTCAAAAATAAATAAACAAAAAGAATTTCAAGACTGCAACCACAGTCCATTAAACCCCAAATCCAGGGCCCTTCTGAGTGCACTTTCTTGTTCAAACTGTACTGATCACATGCCCATGCAGGCGTGTCCTGTCCCTCAGGCAGAAGGGGAGTATTTGGCTGGAGTATTCCTTGAAAGCGTCATCCCTGAAGGAAACCTAGGTACAGAAAGTGCTTATCATGCAGGAGGCTGAGGCAGCTTTTCTCCCCTTCCAACACGCTCCCTTTTCCTCTTCGACACTAGACTTCAGCTCTGCCCCCTTCTTTTTCACATCCCACTCCTCGCTCGCTGCTGAGGTCTACCAATAGTTGACTAGTCTATAATCTTATCTGAGCCAGGAAATACTGGACGGTAAACTCCTTGGGTTGATAAATGGAGTCCAGTCAGTTTCAGCACTGAGACCACAGTTTCCCAAGTTGCTTACCTAGCCCCAGGGCTGTCACACGGGAAGGCAAGCAGCAAGCAAGAGACACTGTACAAAGTTAGTTTGCCCTGAAGGCCTGGGGGTGGGTAGGAGGGGAAGGAGAGATCTGGCTCTCTGGGCAGCTGTCACCTCTAGAGAATTAAGAAAGCCTCGTCCCTCCCTTAACTCTAAGTTCTTTTGAGTTCAGACTAGGGCACATTTTCTTTGTAGTGGCCTCAAGCTTTGTCTGGGGCAAAGCAGGGTGGTTTTTTTGGACGGAGAGGTTTTCCTTGAGCACTGTCTGGATCAAATTCCAGAGGGTTATGCCCCACCTGGTTCTGTTTGCTAGCGTTTACTCTTATTTCAAGTGTCTTTTTGGGATTTTTCAACCTTGGACGTTTCCATGTCCTGCACTGTGAAGAGACCCTATAGCAGCTTTCCTAGCAATTGTCAGCACACCAACTGCACCCTTCCCCTGGAGGAAACAGGCCACCTTGCCAGGCTCCTGAGGCCCCATTCCCAAGAAGGCAGGTCAGGTTAAACTAGCAGCGACCCTAGGCCCTTTTCTCTGGGTGCCAGAGGTCATTTTCTTTTGAGCTGAGGGATAATCAGGCTAACCAAAACAGTCCAGGTTAAGCCCTGCCCAATCCAACTGGCAAAGGTGCTGGGAGTAAAGAGAAACACCCTGGAATTTGAGCAAAGTCAGATCTAAGGGGCCATGGGAGGCTGACAGCTTGGTTTTTGGTCCTGGGAAGTACAGCAGCCTGGCTGGGCCCAGTGGGGAGGAGCTCCTGGCCAGCAGCCAGGACCAGCACTGGGAGGCTGGGCGCCACCCTGCCTGCGATTTTGCAGATTCTGGTCTTCTACCCCGCCCAACAGCCCCTTTCTGAGCCTCAGTGGGCTTCCGGGGGGAGTTCTGTGTGGGTCTGTGTCTCTGTCAAGAATGAAGACTCGATCGGTGGTTGACTAGGGCTTTTGCTAATGTTATGCATCTGTAAAGGGTTCTGCAGGAAAAGTTCTGCCCAACCCTGAAGGGCTTCCGATTTCAAGTAAGTCACCATCCTTTTTAGCAAGATCATAGAACCTGATCAAAGATAACATTTATGTAAAATCAAACAGCACAACGTTTTCCCCTTTCTACTGTAAAGCTTGAAATGAAAAAGCCACATTTCAGCTCTCTGCAAATAAAGCTCGCTGAACTACAGTGCAGGAGGGGCTGCTGCGGAACACACCATCTTTTTTTTTTTTTTTTTGACCTTGGTGAACGCTGATTTTCCAGCATTAGAAAATGGTTTTTATACTGCTCAATTCATTAGGCAATCAGAAATCACCAAAGTTCATCTTGATAATCTCTGCCACAAATGAGCATTTGAGGAGGTAACTGTGGTGCAGTGAAAACACACTAGACTTGGAGCCAGAAAGTCTGGGTTCTCGTCTTGGTCCTGCCTCTCCATAGCTGTGAGGGCTGGTACGACAGTCAGCCTCCCTCCTGGACTCTTGGTTTCCTCATGTAAAAAACGGAGGTAGTAAATCCCATATGTCTCACAAAATTGTTGTGAATATATAAAAATATATGGAAAAGCACTTACTCTGTACTTGATAAACAACATCCTTTCAATATGTGTATTAGGTTACATTCCATTACATTTGCGATATTTTCTGCACCATTTCCCCCCAACCCCCCACCAATATGATAAATAAATAAATATAAAAGTAACATTTTAAAAATTGCTGTATTCAAAATTAATAATAAACTTTGGGGTAAATAAGCTTTAAAACAAAAGTACATAAGCAAAAATAAATAATTTACACCAACCCACTAACCTAATTTTCAGAGTAAAGCCATTTCCAATTACAGTACTGTTATCCCGGGCACCAGCCTGTGGTTAAACTTTGATGATTCATTATTTTTAAAAAACAGTAATAAAAATTGAATACTAAGCAAAATCTTTAACAAAACCACTGGATTTAACTTTTTAATTTTAAATAACCAAATTTTATAATTTTGTACATAATTCAATGTAATGCCAATATAATTAGCATTTCAGCTTGAAGAGCTGGTTTTTAACAGGGATGGGAAACTATAAATTATTCAAACAGTCTGCAAACCATGAGATACAAATAAAAATGGACAAGCATATAGTAGAACAAAAACCGCAGACACTCTACTAACTGGGGAAATATCTGAAGGCTTTACACCCTTTATTATCCATAATGGCTTTTGGAATTACGATTGTGTGACATATAGAACCTTTGATATTTTAGATACAGCCTTTATTTTTTTTTCCACGGGAAGTTAAAAATCCATCATAAGACTCCATAAGACTTTACTAGTCTTGCATGTAGACTCTAGGAGTTTGTGATCTGATAAAAGAGTAACATGAAAATTTACTGTATTGCCCTAATTTCATACTTCCTTGTACACAATGAATCACTCTGAGAATCTATTCCAAGGGTTATATACACAAAAGTGTCAAGAATAAAATGTTCTCCACTCTCGCATAAAAATGTGTACAGTGTATCAGGAATGGAAAACTTCTAATTTTCCTGGGCCCGGGCTTCATGGATTTCTGCTGCCAGAAGATGAAAGACTCCTTCTGCTTTATTGCTCCATTGTTCTGAGGATTAATCATCCAACCCTGGCGTTTCTCCTTGTTGGATTCTAGACGCTATTCTGATGGCTTCTTCCAGAGATGGCTGTTCTCCAAGCTGAAACAGGAACACACACATCAAACGCTAACAATTCAAAAGCCACAGTCAAGAAAATGCCAAAGAAATGTTATATGCCAGAAGTGAAACTTCTCTCTGTAATTCTGACACTTGGGATTGTTAAAATACTACTGCTAACTCAAACATTAAGAGAACAAAACAATTTCCTGCAGGGGAGAATAATGCAATGCAATTTCTTTTTCTTTTTTGAATTTCAAATCCTATGTGCAGCCAGGCCTGGTGATATGATGAGGTCTCAGCGGGGCATGGTGGCCCATGCCTGTAATCCCAACACTTTGGGAGGTGGAGGCAGGCAGATTGCTTGAGCCCAGGAGTTCGAGACCAGCCTGAGCAACATGGCAAAACGCCCCATCTCTACTAAAAAAATACAAAAATTGGCTGGGCGCGGTGGCTCACGCCTGTAATCTCAGCACTTCGGGAGGCCGAGGCGGGCAGATCACGAGGTCAGGAGATTGAGACCATCCTGGCTAACACAGTGAAACCCCATTTCATTTCTACTAAAAAATACAAAAAAAAAATTGCTGGGCGTGGTGATGGGTGCCTGTAGTCCCAGCTACTGGGGAGGCTGAGGGAGGAGAATGGCATGAACCCAGGAGGCGGAGCTTGCAGTGAGCCAAGATGGTGCCACTGCACTCCAGCCTGGGTGACAGAGCGAGACTCCGTCTCAAAAAACAAAAATTAGCTGCGCATGGCAGCGTGCACCTGTACTCCCAGCCTGCCGTGCCTGGCCTGCAATTTACTTGGGATTTTGATAAAATCTTCATACAGTCTGGCCATGGTGGCTCATGACTATAATCGTAGCACTTTGGGAGGCTGAGGCAGGAGGATCACTTGAGCCCAGGAGTTCAAGACCAGCCTGAGCAACATAGTGAGACCCCATCTCTATTTATTTTTACATAAATAAAAACTAAAAAAAAAAAAAATTCATACATGCAAGAGACAAAAGATGCTTACCTCAGCCAACAAAAGAGAGCTTCTTGAGCCTTTAGCTTCTATACCCATAAACTACATAAAGCCAACAGCTGACATTTCCTGGAGTGTGTTCTAACTCTTTATCAAGTAAACACGTGGGCGGAAAAAAAATCTCCCTAAGGACAGGTAATCTGCACCTAGCCCCTAGGATTCTATTTTACTTTACATTCTAATTTTTTTTTTGAGACAGGGTCTCGCTCTGTTGCCCAGGCTGGAGTACAGTGGTGCGATCTTGGCTCACTGCAGCCTCAACCTCCCTTGCTCAAGTGATCCTTCCACCTCAGCCACCTGAGTAGCTGGGACTACAGGTGCACACCACCACACCTGGCTAATTTTTGTATTTTTGTAGAGATGGGGTTTCGTCATGTTGCCTGGGCTGGTCTCTTATTTTTTGAGATGGGGTCTCATTTGTTACCCAGGCGGGAGTGCAGTGGCACAATCTTGGCTCACTGCAGCCTCAAATCTCCTGGGTACAAGTAATCCTCCTGCCTCAGCACCCCCCAAGTAGCTGGGCACTACAGGCAGCCGTCACCACACCCAGCTAATTTTTGTGTTTTTTGTAGTGATGGTTTTCACCATGTTGCCCAGGCTGGTCTCTAATTCCTAAGCTCAAGCTACCTACCTGTCTCAGCCTCCCAAAGTGCTAGGATTATAGGGATGAGCCACCATGCCCGGCTGCACCTAAGATTCTAAATTCTCTGCTTCCCAGAGAATGATTCCTTCTAAGTCTTCTGACATTCCCCACTTTAAAATGGGGGCTGTGCAAGGATTCTCAGAGGACTTATTTAGGATTTGTGTTTCCACTAGGTTTTTCTCTAAGGAGTAGCTCTTAAGTGCTTTACAGACCCCTGCCTAATTAGACTTTTATTTTGAGAGTAAAGATGCCTGGGTGGGTGCACACAGGGATATATACCTGAAGGTTTTTTTTCTTGCTATAAATTCCCCTAGAATATGCAAAGATGGGTAGAGAACAAAGTGCTGGTCTTTTTGAGTCCACCTCAAATACACCGATTTCCTTAAAGTAGGCTAGGTGATAGAGATTATTCTACACCTTGCCTCCTGTAAAGGTTATACACGAAGCACAGTGTACAAAGTTGAAAGCTATGAGCAGCACTGCTGTCGACTGAGGACAGTATGCCTTGGTACTCACCTGAACTGCAATCTGGGTGCCATTGGATGTTGCTACTAAGGTCAGAGGTCTGGTTTCTGTGGTTACTAAGTGATGGCTATGCTGCTGGTGCCCCATTTCTGATGAGGCAGTATGGAATGCTGCCAAGTCTTGAGCTACAATTGCAACCTTAAGCAAAACAAAACAAACCATACACATAAAGAATTAAACCTGCGATTTAAATAGGTTAAAGTCCACTTAATACAATGGATTTCTTCAAATTGAAAAGGAAAAACTCCTCTGACCATAGACTTGTCAAAGCCTATATTGAAAGGAGGTTTATTTGAGGAAGTTGAGGCTCATTATCTAAGGTTATGAAGTGAGCCAACGGCAAAATAGGGTAGAGAACACTGGAGAAATGGATCTGCTATGCCAGGCCCCATTAGCCAGGGAGATGTGGCTGTACCTAGATTCTATTACCCCTAAGTGACTGCTTGGGAAGTTATGTATGTGGACTAATTTGCACCTCAAATGTCCATTTTTTTTTCCTGAGATTGGCTCATAGGAGAAAATAAATGATTTTTTTCCTCTTTACTTGTCGTATTTAAAATTAGATTTCCATTTAACTAGGAAAACTGAAAGGACCAGTGGTACTACTGACAAACAGCATCTCATCTCATACTCATTTCCCATTTTAGACTCCATGGAATCTTCCCATACTCCTCTTGCAGCATCTAGCCAGGAGGATTAAAAGGGCTTTTGTGGCTCTTATACCACAAGTACAACTTTTTAAAAAAATGCAGATAACATGGAAAATGGCAATTAACTATTTCTGTTAGATGATATTCTAAAATTTTACTCAGCCAAATTCAGAGAAAGAATAGATTAAAAATGAAAACTGCTGTTTTACTTGGCTATTCATCCACTAAAAATGCTACATTTTAAGCTAATAGATATTTAGCTTGGATCAATCCCAATAATGTTCCCTAATTCTATAAGAAAAACAGATTTCATTCCAGCAATGTCTAAGTAGCTTATATTGGGCTAACCTTCCTGCAGATAACAATTATAAACCCTTGACAAAAATATGAAAAAGCAACTATATGAAGGCTTTGAGGAGCAATGACAAGCAGGAAGAAACTAGAGGGGATTCTCAAAAGAAGGGAGTCACACTGTGTTATATCTGTGTTTAAATAGATTTCACACTGAGGGCACTACCCAGTTTGAGCAGCCTGGGGCAACTTAAGGTTAAAGATAATGGAGTCCAGGGCTGCCAGAATAGCAGTACAGAGAAGAATAGCCCAGAAAGCAAAGAATTTGAGTGGGAAGCCCCCAAATCTTTGTATAAACTGTCCTCAAATCCTTTTTTTTTTTTTTTTTTTTGAGGTAGTCTCGCTCTGTCGCCCAAGCTGGAATGCAATGGCTTGATCTCAGCTCACTGCAAACTCTGCCTCCCAGGTTCAAGCGATTCTTCTGCCTCAGCCTCCCGAGTAGCTGGGATTACAGGCATGCGGCACCTCACTCGGCTAATTTTTGTATTTTTAGTAGAAACAGGGTTTCTCCAAGTTGGTCAGGCTGGTCTCGAACTCCTGACCTCAGGCGATCCACCCGCCTCGGCCTCCCAAAGCGCTGGGATTACAGACGTGAGCCCCCGCGCCCAGCCAGAATAATAATTATTATTATTATATATTTTTTGAGACGGAGTCTCACTTTGTCGCCCAGGCTGGAGTGCAGTGGCGCCGTCTTGGCTCACTGCAAGCTCCGCCTCCCGGGTTCACGCCATTCTCCTGCCTCAGCCTCCCGAGTAGCTGGGACTACAGGCGCCCGCCATCACGCCCAGCTAATTTTTTGTATTTTTTAGTAGACACGGGGTTTCACCGTGTTAGCCAGGATGGTCTCGATCTCCTGACCTCGTGATCCGCCCGCCTCAGCCTCCCAAAGTGCTGGGATTACAGGCGTGAGCCACCGCGCCCGGCCTCAAATCCTTAAGACCCCTCAACACAAATATTTCCGGTTTCCAACAACATTCCAACAAGACTGGCAAAGCAGCATCTAGAAGGCTGAGAAACTAAGGAGAGCTTTCAGTGCAACTCACCAAAGAGAGACGGAATTTGAAGTTTCAATCTTACCAAGTTAGGAGGTAAGATTACGTCCCAGGACTAAATATTCACCCTAAGACCTTATAGCAACACTGAAACAGACCTGCCTTAACAAAGTACAAAACCCAGCCACAACACGTAATTTAACTAGCTAATAGAAAAAAAAAATCAATATTCTCCAGAGAAAGATAACAAAATTCAGAATCTCTATAATGTGTCATCCACAAGGTCCAGAATGCAATTTAAAAATTACAATTGCTTAGCCAGGCATGATGGCTCACGCTTGTAATCCTAGCACTTTGGGAGGCCGAGGTGGGTGGATCACCTGAGGTCAGGAGTTCGAGATCAGCCTGGCCAACATGGTGAAACCCCACCTCTACTAAAAAAAAAAATACAAAAAATTAGCTGGGCATGGTGGCGGGTGCCTGTAGTCCCAGCTACTCGGGAGGCTGAGGGAGGAGAACCAGGTCAAAGACAAATTAATATACATTCTCCATCTGAAGAACCTTGAGAAAGATTGTTAAAAACCCCAAATAGGCCAGGTGTGGTGGCTCACACCTGTAATCCCAACACTCTGGGAGGCCAAGGCGGGTGGATCACCTGAGGTCAGCAGTTCGAGACCAGCCTGACCAACATGGTGAGACCCCGTCTCTACTAAAATTACAAAAATTAGCCAGGTGTGGTGGCCGGTGCTTGTAATCCCAGCTACTTGGGAGGCTGAGGCAGGAGAATCGCTTGAACCCGGGAGGCGGAGGTTGCAGTGAGCCGAGAGCGTGCCATTGCACTCCGGCCTGGGCAACAAAAGCGAAAACTGTCTCAAAAAAACAAAAAACAAAAAAGCCAAATAGATTCCCAGCAACTTGTAAGACAACACCTAGTTAATATACATGTAACTAGAGTTCCAGAAGGGCAGTAGACAATTTAAATTTTTTTTTTTTTCCCCAGAAGCAGTGGCTTGTACCTGCAGTCCTAGCTTCTTGGGAGGCTGAGGCTGAGGGATCCCTGAAGCCCAGGAGTTTGAGGCCAGCCTGGGTCCCAGCTACTCGGGAACACTTGCCTCAGCCTCCCAAAGTGCTGAGATTACAGGTGTGAGCCACTGCGCCCAGTCCTTATTTCCTTCCATTTACTTTTTTTGTTTAATTTTTCTTAAGGTAGAAACTAAGATCATTCAATTTAAACCTTTTTTTTCCAATACAAGCATTTAAAAGAAATTTTCCTCTAAGAATTGCTTTACCTTCCACTGACTTTTTTTTTTTTTTTTTTTGAGACAGGGTCTCCCTCTGTCGCCCAGGCTGTAGTGTAGCTGTGCTACCTCAGTTCACTGCAACCTCTGCCTCCTGGGCTCAAATGATCCTCCCACCTCAGCCTCCTGAGTAGCTGGGACTACTGGCATGCGCCACCACACCTGGCTAATTTTGTATTTTTAGTAGAGATGGGGTTTCACCATGTTGCCCTGGGTTGGTCTTGAACTCCTGACCTCAGGTGATCCACCTGCCTCAGCCTCCCAAAGTGCTGGGATTACAGGCATGAGCCACCGCACCCGGCCCCCAGATCCTATGTATATTAAAGAGATAATAAGGAAATAGTATGAACATCTTTATATCAATAAATATGAAAACTTAGATGAAACAGACAAACTTACAAAAACAAAACTTAGCAAAATGGATACAAAAAAACATAGATAACTTGAATAGTATAGATCCACTTAAAAACTTGAATCCATAGTAAAAAACAACAACAACAACAACAAAAAAAAAACAAAAAAAAACCTCCGCAAAAAGAAAACTCTGGGCATAGATGGTGGTGTCCTAATTAACTCTATCAAGCTTTTATGGAGAAATAATACCAATCTTACACAACTATCAGAAAATAGTACAGAAGAGAACACTTCCCAACTTGTTTTATGAGGCAAGCCTAACCCTGATATTGAAACAGGAGATGAAACTTTTTCTTATAATTTCATAATAAATTATAGATCAATATGGTTCATAAACATTGACACCAAAATCCTTAACAAGATATTAGCAAATTGTCACAGAGGATTTTAAGGGCAGTAAAAATACTCTAATAGAGTATGATCCTCTATTGATAGATGTATGTCATCATACGTTTGTCCAAACCCATAGAATGTACAACACTAACAGTGAATCCTGATGTAAATGATGGACTCTGGGTGATTGTGATGTGTACGTGTAGGTTTCAACAGTAACAAACGTGTTCCTCTGGTGGGGGTGTTCATTATGCAGGAGGCTATGTATGTGTGGGGGCAGGGAGTGTAAGGGAAGTCTCTGTACCTACCTCTCAATTTTGTGGTGACCTATAACAGCTCTAAAAAATCATCTTTAAAAAATATTAGCTAATTGAATCCAGCAAAATACAAAAATACATCATAACCAAGTGATATATTAGCTTTTTTATATGTAAATTAAAACCACAATGATAGACCACTTAACATCCAGTAGAATGGCTAAAACTTTAAAACAACTCCAAATGTTGGTGATAATATGAAACAAACAGAATTCTTTTTTATTTTTTATTTTTTTGAGACGGAGTCTCGCTGTCACTCAGGCTGGAGTGCAATGGTGCAATCTCAGCTCACTGCAACCTCCACCTACCGGGTTCAAGCAATTCTCCTGCCTCAGCCTCCTGAGTAGCTGGGACTAAAGGTGCACACCACACCATGCTAATTTTTTGTATTTTTAGTAGAGCCAGGGTTTCACCATGCTGGCCAGGCTGGTCTCGAACTCCTGACCTTGTGATCCACCTGCCTCAGCCTCCCAAATTCCTGGGATTACAGGCATGAGCCACTGTGCCTGGCCTCTTTTTTATTTTTTTTAGAAGACAGGGTTTTGCTCTGTCATCCAGGCTGTAGTACAATGAACATGGCTCACCAAAGCCTCAACCTCCTGGGCTAAGTGATCCTCCCACTTCAGCTTCAAGAGTAGCTGGGACTACAGGCATATGCTGCCATGCTTTGCTAATTAAAAAAAAAAAAAAAAAAAAAAATTGGACAGGCACAGTGGCTCAGCACTTTGGGAAGCCGAGGCGGGTGGATCACCTGAGGTCAGGAGTTGGAGACCAGCCTGACCAACATGGTGAAACCCCCTCTCTACTAAAAATACAAAAATTAGCTGGGCATGCTGGTGGGTGCCTGTAATCCTGCTACTAAGGAGGCCGAGGCAGGAGAATCACTTGAACCCGGAAGGCGGAAGTTGCAGTGAGCCGAGATTGGGCCACTGCACTGCAGTCTGGGCGACAGAGGGAGATTCCGTCTCAAAAAAAAAAAAAAAAAAAAAAAAAAAAATTGGTGGAAACAGTGTCTTGCTACATTGCCCAGGTTGGTTTTAAAATCCTGGGCTCAAGCAATCCTCCGACCTTGGCCTCCCAAAGTGCTGGGATTACAGGTGTGAGCCACTGCGCCCAGCCTATTTTTTAAAAACGTTTTAACCACAAGAAGCAGCACTGAACAAATGGAACTCTTAGACATTGCTAGTGGGAGTGTATGACAGCCCAGCCACTTTGGAGAATTGTTTGGTACTATCATAGAAAGGTAAATATGCCTCTATTCTATGACCCAGCAATTCCACAAATAGGTATTTATCCAAGACAAATGAGAGTATATGTCTACAAACATATTTTTACTGCCATCTTATTCATAATAGTCAAAAACTGGAAGCATTTCAAATGTTCACCAAGGGGAGAATATATCAACAAGTTGTGGTATATTCTTACAATAGAACACTGCTCAGCAATAAAAAAGAATGAACTGTTATTACATGCCAACAATGTGAATAAATATCCAAAACGTTAAGTAGAAAAACCCAGACACAAAAGAGTTCATACTGTGGTTCCATTTATGTAATGTTCAAGAATAGGCAAAACCAAGCTGGGTGCGGTGGCTCACGCCTGTAATCCTAGCACTTTGGGAGGCCGAGGCGGGCAGATCACTTGAGGTCCGGAGTTCGAGACCAGCATGGCCAACATGCTAAAACCCCATCTCTACTAAAAATACAAAAAAATTAGCCAGGCGCGGGAGGTTGCAGTGAGCTGAGAACGTGCCACTGCACTCCAGCCAGGGTGACAGAGTGAGGCTCTGTCTCAAAAAAAAAAAAAATAGGCAAAACTAATTCAATCACAACAGTTTTTGCCTAAGGAGAGTGAGTACTGACTATAAAGGAATCACAAGGTAACTTTCTAGCGTGATAGAAATGTTCTACATTTTGTTTAGGATGTTAGTTATATGGGTGCATATTTAACATAACTCATTGAATTGTAAATTTAAGATCTGTGCATTTCATTGTTATGTAAATTTTACCTCAATTAAGAAAAAACCAGATTGCAGGCAAATATGAAAAACAGGCTTAACTTCACCAGTGGTCAAATGAAAATAAACAGAATTTAACTTTTGCTTGTTAATTCTGTAAATATTTTAAAAAATCCTCAATGCAAGAGTACAGTGAAAAAGAAAGCTTTTAGATCCATAACACGATTACTAAACCTTTCTGAAAAATAATTTGGCAATATGTAACAAGCAGCTTAAAATAGCTTAAACCGTTAATACAAAAATTTGTTTCCTATGAAAATAACCAGAAGCTTTTTTTTTTTTTTCTTTAAGACGGAGTCTCACTCTTTTTGCCTAGGCTGGAGTGCAGTGGTGCAATCTCGGCTGACTGCAACCTCTGCCTCCTGGGTTCAAGCGATTCTCCTGCCTCAGCCTCCTGAGTAGCTGTGATTACAGGCACCCTGCCACCACGCCTGGCTAATGTTTTTGTATTTTTATTAGAGACGGGGTTTCACCATGTTTGGCCACGCTGGTCTTGAATTCCTGACCTCAGGTGATCCACCCACCTCGGCCTCCCAAAGTGCTGGGATTACAGGCGTGAGCCACCGCACCCAGCCTGCATTTTCTTAATGACTAATGATGTTGAACATCTTTTCATGTGCTTATTGATCATTTTACATTCCCACTAGCAGTATATGAATATTCTAGTTGCTCCACATCTTTGCCAACATTTGGAGGTGGTGGTGGTGGTTGTTTCCTCACCAGTTTCTTAGGAGAAATCAACATTTGGTTTTGTTAGTCTTTGATTTTAGCCATCTTCTTGGGTTTGAAATGCTCTCTCATTGTGATGTTAATTTGCATTTCTTTGATGATAAAAGATGTGCACTTTTTGAGTTATGAATCTTTTGTGGGAGGTCTGTTCAATGAGCAACGGAATGATTTGTACATTTTAAAACACTTTTTTGGCTCATTTTTAACGGTTGTTCATCTTTTCATTGTTGATTTGTAGAAGTTTGTTGCACATTCTCAATACAGTCCGTTTTTAGACTTATATTCAATATAGTGTGTGTATATAGTGTGAATATCTTTTCCTCAGTCTGGGGGTTGTCTGATCTTTTTCTTAACAGTGTCTTTTGGTGAGCAGAATTAATTTTGATTAAGTCCAATTTATCAGTTTTTTCTTTCATTGTTAGTACATTTTGAATACAGTCCAAGTAATCTTTAAGGTTGCAGAAGTATTTGCCTCTCTTGTCTTCTAGAGGCTTTATGATTCTGAGTTTTGCATTTCAGGGTGTATGAGACCACCAACTTCATTCTTTTTTCAAGAGTGAGACTCAACATTGGCCTTTAGCACAGTACAAGAACAGTTTTTAAATATATTACATTATTTATTTTAAGGGAAATGAAAATTAAAACTACGAAAAATACATCAGATTGGCAAAAATTCAAAAGTTTGATACTATCATGGTGACTATGCTGAAGGAGAAGAGGCACTATCAAACCCTGCAGGTAAGAATGGAGACTGGCACAACCCTAGAAGGGAAGTTTGGCAACACTGATCACAATTACGAATACATGTATCTTTGCACCAGCAATCCTGCTCTAGGAATTTATCTAGCATATCTACTCACACATATATATGCAAAATCACATGTGCACAAGGTTATGTGTTGTTTGAAATAGCAAAAGACTTTAATTGCGGCACATCCATACAGTGGAATACAATGCAGCTTAAAAAAAAAACAGAATGAGGAAGTTCTCTATATAATGAAATAGAAAGATTTTGAAGATGTTAAGTTTAAAAGACAACAACAAGATGCAGAACAGACTAGTTTACTATCATTAAAAAAAAAATGGAGGCTGGGCATGGTGGCTCATGCCTGTAATCCCAGCACTTTGGGAGGCCAAGGCCTGGGCAACATAGTGAGACCCTTTCTCTACAAAAAATAAAAATAAAAAATAAAAATTAGCCAGGCATGGTGGTGCACACCTGTAGTCTCAGCTACTCGGGAGGCTGAGGTGGGAGGATTGTTTGAGCCTGGGAGGTTGAGGCTGCAGTGAGCCATGACGTGCCGCTGCACTCCAGCCTGTCTCAAAAACCAGAAGAGAGCTATTATGTTAGCTGTGGGCTAGTTAACAAAAAAGGTAGGGGGAGATGACTATTTACTTATTTGTATTTGTTTGTATATGCTTAATGACTGGAAGAATACACAAAAAACTGATAAAAGTTGATTATCTGTGGAGGCAAGAACAAGTTGATGAAGGCAGGGGTGGGATGAAGACTTTTCATTACATACCTGTATATATTTTTTGAGTTTTAAACCATATGAATATATGACATATTCAAAAAATTAAATAGTAAGTTTTGCAAGTATTTCCTAAGTATCTGATAATGATGATAATAGGAATAGCTACCACTACTGAACACTTAATATATATGTGGGCTGAGTACCTTATATACATTATCTCATTCAATCCTTATATCAACCTTATGGGGTACATGCAACTAGCACCCTACTTTACATATGAGGAAAAACAGGCTCTGAGGGTTAAGTAGCTAAGAAGTTACAAAATATTAGTCACTCCCAAGTTTGTGTGCTTAACTGTTGTACCACATTGCATACCTATGTAACTGTTTTGGTACTGATATATGTATTGATTGACATAACAGAAAAAAGTAATTACCTGTTCCCCTTCTGTACCCTCAGCAGTAACCATAGCAACAGAGTGCGTTCCTGCTGAGGAGATGACTGCATCATGGGCGGGGACTGTGATGGGCGTGCCATCCTGCGTTACCATTGTGATGGTGTTGCCAATGGCCTGCATGTCAGCTTGAGATATGTTGACCTGCAATACAGTGAATTTTACAAAGCAGTCAATGTTTCTTGTTATAGCTGACAATCTTCCATAAGGACCAGGACTAATCCTTGTATAAGTTTGCCCTGTGGATGTAAATAAGCCTTTTAGAATGAAATAAACTCATTCAGTCATCAGAAAAATCAATACAATATTTCTTTTAACAATTCTTATATTTTTATTATTTTTTTATTATTATTATTTTTGGAGACAAGGCCTCACTCTGTTGCCCAGGCTGGAGGGCAGTGATGCAATCATAAATCACTGAAGTCTAAAACTCCTGGGTTCAAGTGATCCTCTAGCCTCATCCTCTTAAGTAGCTCTGACTATAGGCATGACCCATTGCTCCCGACTAATTACTTGTCATTTTTTTTGTAGACATGGGGTCTCAACATGTTGCCCAGGCTGGTCTCAGACTCCTGGCCTCAAGTGATCCTACCACTTCAGCCTCCCAAAAGTGCTGGGATTACAGGTGTGAGCCACTGTGCCCGGCAATACAGTATTTCTTTTCTTTTTCTTTTTCTTTTTTTTTTTTTTTGAGACAGAGTCTCGCTCTGTTGCCCAGGCTGGAGTGCAGTGGCGCAATCTCTGCTTACTGGAAGCTCCGCCTCCCGGGTTCATGCCACTGTCCTGCCTCAGCCTCCCAAGTAGCTGAGACTACAGGAGCCCACCACCACGCCCAGCTAATTTTTTTTTGTGTGTTTTTAGTAGAGACGAGGTTTCACCGTGTTAGACAAGCCGGTCTCGATCTCCTGACCTTGTGATCCGCCCACCTCGGCCTCCCAAAGTGCTGGGATTACAGGCATGAGCCACCACACCCGGCAATACAGTATTTCTTAATTGCATTTCCTCCTCTCCATTCCTGTTGCTAATTTAGATCCTTATTTTTCTCCCATCTGAATTTCTACGAGAATCCAACTTCTCTCCAGGTATCCAGTCTAACCCTTCCCTAACCATCCTCTATGTTGACATCTTTCTAAAACAAAACAAAACAAAATCTTATTATGCTCTCTGCTGCTGAAATCCCCTGTGACTGCCCATCACCTATAGTTCAGACTTTTTTTTTGAGGAGTTTCACTCTTGTTGCCCAGGCTGGAGTGCAATGGCATGATCTCGGCTCACCGCAACCTCTGCTTCCTGGATTCAAGCAATTCTCCTGCCTCAGCCTCCCGAGTAGCTGGGATTACAGGCATGCACCACCACACCCGGCTAATTTTGTATTTTTAGTAGAGATGGGGTTTCTCCATGTTGGTCAGGCTGGTCTCAAACTCCTGACCTCAGGTGATCCGCCTGCCTTGGCCTCTCAAAGTGCTGGGATTACAGGCATGGGCCACTGTGCCCAGCCCAGACTTCTTACATAGCATTCCTGACCTTTCATGACCTGGCCTTTACCAACTTCCCCAGGCTCATCTTCCACTGCTTTTAAACTAGCAACTGACACTCCAGCCACAACTAGTCATTTGCAGTCCCAGAAAGTGTCATATTCTCTTGTATTTTTATGACTTTGCTCTTCCCTTCACTCTCTGGTGAGTTCATGAAAATCCTTCAAGACCCAACTGAACACCCATTCTCTTATTAGGATCTGCAAGATTACTTTAGGAAGAAAAATTTACTCTCTCCTCCAGGGTGCCACAGCACTTTCTGTATCTCTCAATTATATACACGTCATTATGAAAAATTATTCATTCTAAAAGGGTCTCTCTCCTACTAGACTGTGATACTGCCCTTCCTGTGATTCCAACACTAAGTCCACTGACCAAAATGTCTGGCATGGGGTAGGTGCTCTATAAATGTCTATCATTTGACTGATGAAAGGAATGGAATGGAAATCTAATTCCTGAAGGAAATGAGAAGGTTAAGTGTAGAGAAAGTACAACATTGGGATGGGAAAGATAGTTGTTTTGGAATATATGAAGAAGGATAAGACTTATTCTGTATGGTCGGAGAGGAGCCATGAGAGGATGATACAGGGGTGGGTTCTGGTCTGATAAATAGTAGAATTATGGTGGCTTATGCCTGAAATCCCAGCGCTCTGGGAGGCTGACGCAGGAGGATCACCTGAGGCCAGGAGTTCAAGACCAGCCTGGATAACACAGTGAGACCTCACCTCTGAAAAAAACATGTTTTTTTAATTAGCCAGGTGTGGTGGTACACACCTGTAGTCCTTTGAGCTATGATTCTGCCACTGCACTTTGCCCTGGGCAACAGAGTGGGACCATCTCTAAAACCACACAAACAAACACTAGAATTATCCAACAATGGAACAGATTGCCTCTTTTTAAAATGTATTTATTTATTTATTTTGAGACAGAGTCTCACTCCAATGTCCAGGCCGGAGTGTAGTGGCACAATGTTGTCTTACCCCGCCTCCTGGGTGCAAGTGATCCTCCCGCCTCAGCCTACCTAGTAGGTGGAACTACACGAGAGCGCCACCACACCAGCTAATTTTTGTATTTTTAGTAGAGATGGGGTTTCACCACATTGGCCAGGCTGGTCTCAAACTCCTGATCTCAAGTGATCCACCCGCTCTGGCCTCTCAAAGTGCTGTGATTATAGGCGTAAGCCTCCGCGCCTGGACCCAGATTGCCTAAGACAGAAATTGCCTAATCACTGGGGGTTTCTCAGTAGTGGCTATTTCAGACCTGCTATAGTGGGAATTTTTCCTGTATAGGGAACAGGGAGGTTATATAAAACAACCTCCAGAGGACCTCTGTATGTGATGATCTAATTCAAGAAAAAGTGTTAAGGCTGATGCAGAATTAAAACTTGGTTAATAATCTTGCATACCAGTCAGAGGACAGAGAGTATAGTGTGAAATTAGTGACGTCAAAGTGAGGAAGGAGATAAATGAGAAGGTGTAAGAGCTTTGTATTTTCTAATCCTGAGTATCAAAACAGAGCATATTAATCATTAAACTCTGAGAGATGGGTAAGGAGAGCGTTCTCCATGAAAGAGGAAGACACAGAAGGGTAAAGAAGCACATTGTGCATATTTCCACCAGGTATTAAGACAGTCTTTGCTAGAGCTTAAAAATGGAATCAAGGTGGAATAATTTTAGGCTAGTGACATCTAGAAAATAATAACAAGTTTGGCTAACAGAGAACAACCATTACACTGTGCTTTTCCTGGGGGGAAATCAAGATACCTATTCTACCGACTCTGTGAGGCTAGTTGAGTGAACTCTCATGATTCCTGATCTCTTAATGGTGCCATCATATGCTGATCACCTCAGCCAAATCTCTGTTTTCTCAATCTCACCTCCTGCATCTAATCAGCCACCAAATCCTATCCCTTTTCTGATCTGTGTTTCACATGGATCCAGTACTTTTGAAGCCCTGAGCCTCTCTGTGGCTGACCTTTATCATCTCACCTTTGAACTACACCAAGAATACCATTCGGATTCTACAGTCACAAACCTTCTCTCTCTCCTAATCTCTCTGCACGTAGTCTCTGTAAGCAGACTACTGAAAAACCTCAGGGTTTCCAAACTTTGTGCCCTGATATTTCAAAGCTTTCCTCAATGGGGACCCAGCCTGCCTTTCAAGCCCAGGTTCACAGAAAGATTTAATTTGTTTGGCTTTTGGTGGATACTTACATGCTGAGTCCCATCCTGGGATATGAGTGTAACTTGTTGACTCAGTCCAGATTGGGTTACTGTGGCTACTTGTGTAGAAACAACGTCGTCCCCTTCTACACCTGTAACATACGTAATCTGGGACCCTTTAAGAACATCTTCACCTTGACCTGTTTAAAACAAATGAATCATTTATTTGACCAACCAACCAATTTGTTTAGAAAATAGGACATTTTAAATATTAAAGAGAAAATTACATAATTAAAATGTACATGTATTATATTCTAAGTCACGAAAATGGCTTCCAGGACCTCCTTCCAATTCCTCCACCTCCACTTTTGCAAAGGCAAACTACATCAAAGCAGACCAAACAAAAAATCTTTCTGCATCAAATTTAAGTGTTCTGATTTTCAGGGACCTGTTTTATTCTCTTAGTTGGAGTAATTACTTGATACTATATGTGTATTAGGGGCGGAGAGGGGAGGAACTGTACAGGAAAACTAGCAAATAACCCTTCAAATACAGCAAGTATGCACTAAATTCTCGCATTCACTTAAGAGGCTGTTAGGCCAGGCACGGTGGCTCATGCCTGTAATCCCAGGACTTTGGGAGGCTGAGGTGGGTGGATCACGAGGTCAGGAGATCGAGACCATCCTGGCTAACACAGTGAAACCCCGTCTCTACTAAAAATACAAAAAATTAGCTGGTCATGGTGGCGGGCGCCTGTAGTCCCAGCTGCTCGGGAGGCTGAGGCAGGAGAATGGCATGAACCCGGGAGGCAGAGGTTGCAGTGAGCCGAGATCACGCCACTGCAGTCCAGCCTGGGCGACAGAGCAAGACTCCGTCTCAAAAAAAAAAAAAAAAAAAGCTGTTAAAGGCCAGGCACAGTGGCTCACACCTGTAATCCCAGTCAGTACTTTGGGAAGCCAAGGTGGGCAGATCACCTGAGGTTGGGAGTTCGCGACCAGTCTGACCAACATGGAGAAACCACGTCTCTATTAAAAATACAAAACCAAGGCCGGGTATGGTGGCTCACACCTGTAATCCCAGCACTTTGGGAGGCCAAGGCGGGCGGATCATGAGGTCAGGAGATCGAGACCATCCTGGCTAACACGGTGAAACCCATTTCTACTAAAAATACAAAAAAAAAAAAAATAGCCGGGCATGGTGGCAGGCGCCTGTAGTCCCAGCTACTCAGGGGGCTGAGGCAGGAGAATGGTGTGAACCTAGGAGGCGGAGCTTGCAGTGAGCCGAGATTGCACCACTGCACTCCAGCCTGGGCGACAGAGCAAGACTCTGTCTCAATAACAAAAACAAACAAACAAACAAAAACACAAAATTAGGCGGGCCTGGTGGAGCATGCCTGTAATACCAGCTACTCAGGAGGCTGAGGCAGGAGAAATCACTTGAACCCGGGAGGCAGGGCTTGTGGTGAGCCGAGATGGCACCATTGCACTCCAGCCTGGGCAACAAGGGCGAAACTCCGTCTCAAAAAAAAAAAAAAAAAAAAAAAAAGAAGCTGTTAAAAGTGGTTAAGACTATTTTCATTTTCATAAACATTAACCACAAAGCCAGAATGGTTTGCAAACACACCCACTGATACTAAACTTGGTCTTTAGCACAACTGATTGATTGCAAACCATCAGTACACAATGACCTCACTGTGTAAAGACAATGTATGGCATATTATCTGAGGTATGGTTAATAATTTAGTGACATAAAAGGAACCTCCATCACTTCTTTATTTCATAAAGAACCAGTAAGTAAACAGCAATTTCAACAATCCATTACTACTATAATTGTCAACCAGGAAGATTCCTGGTCCCTCTCGTCTTTCATCACTTTCTACCTCCCATGAAGTCAGAAAGAGAGCAAAAAAAAAATGTTTCCCCCTCAAAGGACATAATATGCTAATCTAAGAGTACTTCTCAATTCAGTGGTTAATCCATGCACTCATATGGCTACAGTCATCAACGTGTAATTTCCATGACAGACATTACTTCATTCCTTTTTGTTCTGTTCCACAGCTATTTATATACCATTATTCCAACAGGTTACAAAACCCAGTGGATCATGTGAGAGAAAACAGAAATCCATCCCTATTCTTGGAAAAACAATCTTAGTTTAGTTTTGTTTTTAAATAAAATGTATATTATTATATTATAGACTATTTTCTAGAATATAGGAACTTCTGGGCTGGGTACGGTGGCTCACGCCTGTAATCCCAGCACTTTGGGAGGCCGAGGTGGGCGGATCACGAGGTCAGGAGATCGAGACCATCCTGGCTAACACGGTGAAACCCCGTCTCTATTAAAAACACAAAAAATTAGCCAGGCATGGTGGCGGGCGCCTGTAGTCCCAGCTACTCAGGAAGCTGAGGCAGGAGAATGGAATGAACCCGGGAGGCGAAGCTTGCAGTGAGCCGAGATCGCACCACTGCACTCCAGCCTGGGCAACAGAGCGAGACTCCATCTCAAAAATAAAAAAAAAAAAAAAAGAATATAGGAACTTCTGATAACCTGAAATATCAACATTTAAGGAAGAGACTTGAGGAAGCTTAGAAAAAGAGTCTTGCAAACTTAAGTCTGATATCATTAAAGCCTGCTTTCTAACTAAAAAGACTCAGCAGTTGTTGTAGGATCTTCTTATTTACTTCCTTTCTCTTAGCAATTGTCAAATATACAGTACATTATTATTAACTGTAGTCACATGCTGTGCAGATCTCCAGAACTTATTCCTCCTAACTGAAACTGTACTCTTTGACCAGTATCTCCCCAATTGATGTAATATTTAACCATGCACACTTACAGTGTTCTGGCTAGAAAATAATCACCATGAAGACTGATGGAATTGCTATTAACCTACCACCACCTAACAAATACCTGAAAAGACAAATCAGGACTACAAGGAATCATCTGAGCAGATGATCTGTTCTTTCCCTTACTCTCCAACAAACCTTTTCCACCTAAATGTTTTTCAATGCTTCAATATATGTTGTTAAAAATGAAAAAAGATGTCTTCTCTTAATTTTCAAATTTACTTCATTTAGGAGGTACTCAATGAAACTGTAAGACAACTTGCTTTGTTTTGTGTTTTAGAAAAACCGACTTCCTTTTACCTACTTACCTATGCTTATTTATCTGAAATAATTCAATGTAATTCTCTAAAATATTTTTCCAAGGGTTTACTGAAACAAATAATTTTGTCTCTTACAATAACATACTTAATAGCACCTGAATCAATGAAGAGTTATTTGGGAGTACTTCTCTAGTGTTACGATTAAGACCAACATGCTTAATGGACCCAAACAGGCTGGCTGCCCCTGCCTCGCTCTCCAGCCTTGTTTCATATCACCTTCCCAGGCAGAACTGCCCTAACTGGCCAGGCTTCATTCAGTATCTCCAATTTACTTTGGTCTCTCCAACCTCCTGGCTTTCTGCATGTGCCATTCTCTCTATTTGGAACATTCTCTTGCCTTTGCTTCCTGCTTCCCTTCCCAGCAACCTCTGCTTCTTCACCCAGTTAACCCCTATTCAACCTCAAGATCTCTCCAAAAATCCCTTCCTTGACCTCCCAAACTAACATTCCCTTCTATACATCCCAGAGTACCACATACTTTTCTTCAATAGCACTTACTGCAGCTGTAAATTATGTTTATGTGATTATACGAATGACACATTAGGATTTCAGAAAATGCTATGAATCATAAATTATGTTCATAACTGTTGATTCTCAAACTCAGAAACAAAATATAGTAGACAAAACTCTCACCTGGGGGCGGCTCAAAGAAGGCTTCCTGCTCCTCCTCGATGGGCTCAGTGTCGTTGTGGGCTGTCCGTTTGTGCATGGCCAGCGTGGAGATCTGCTTGTATGTCTTCCCACAGTGGTTACAGTTGTAAGGTTTGGAATGAGTGTGGACAACATGATGTTTGTACAAACTGGAATATTCTGTAAACCTTTTGTCACACCCAGGAACTGTACAAACATATGGCTTTTCTCCTAAAGAGCAACACCAAAAAAAAGTTCAACTTTTACATATGTAGGCAAAATCATTCCATACTTCCCCCCCAGGGGGTAAAATACCTCTAAAAATAAAGAATTGCCAAACCCCTCCTCATCCCACCATGAGGCAGCACACAAGAAAAGATTCCCTAACTATGGTTTTGACTTGACTCAAAAGGTAGTATGATCCTTAGTGCTGTCTCCATGCATCAACACCAGGTTCTCCTTAATCTCAAGGAATGAGAAAAGGATGGAGATGTTGCCCAGTTTAACTCTAACTTTAATGAAACTGTAATTTGTTTCCCATAATTAGATAATCTAGATACTGTTATAGTCTATTAATAATAATAAATGCTATTATCGTAACTTATGCAGCTTCCTAAGAATTTCATAAAGATAATAAAAAAGGATTGTCTTTAAAAGTCTATTAAACCTAGTTAGATATGTCAATACAACTAAAAGGACAAACATGTTTCATTTAACTTAACCTGACTTCTTACATCCAATCAAAAGCTACTGAGTATTCACTAATAGCAAGCAGGCAATACATAGGGAAGTAAATACTTTAATTTTTGTCCCATGAAACAGCTTGAGAACATTATAGGCAGTACACATATTTTTAGAACTTTTTACTACAGAAAATTTCAAATATACACAAAAGTATAGAGAAACAGTTCCCCATGTACCAATCATCCAGCTTCAACTATCAGTTCATGACCAATATTGTTTCTTATATTTACTACCCATTTCCCCCTTCTTCCCGACCAGGATTATTCCGAAACAGTTGCAGGTAACATTCTTTTTCTTTCAGGCTGTATACCAAAAAGATGGGTCCCAGTTTAAAAAATATGTAAACAAAATTAATAATAATTACTTAATATCACAAAATATCTAGACAGTGCTAACATGTGGTGGTGTAGGGACCTAAAACTGAAAGCAAACTGGAACAAATTAACCTAATTGTTTAAATGAATACTTTTAACTACACTGAAGGGGCTGGGGTGGGGGAACAAATAAATTAATTAAAGTAGCTCATTTACACAGTATTTGACTTATGCCCTCAGTCTTGGGCTCAGTGGCGAGAGTGAGGGGAAGAATTGCAAACAAATATTCAGCTCATTTGTAGTAGGCTTGTTTACTGTAGTGGTATGGGTGAAGGGATTCTGAAACTATTTTAGATGGAATAAAAGACTGAGCAAATGAGTAAATATTTCAAATGCTGCTGGAAGGGCTCCAGCTGTGGAAAAAGGAGAATACAAATATGGAATGGGGGAAGAAAAACAAAAAGAACCCTGTGGTGAAATGGAATTGGAGGTATTGGTGTGAACTCAGATTTTTAAAATGTACATATGAAAGTGTGTATACATATGCATGTCCTGGTTTATTCTCATTCGACACATTCCTTGGGTAACTGCACCTTTCGCAGTGGTTCTAAACACAGTAAACCCCCCCAAAAATAAGATACCACACTAATGTACCGTAACATAAGTCTTACACATAAAGTAATTGGCGATTTCTTCCTGTCCTCTGCCCAGTTCCCATTCCCAAAGCAGGCAGGTTAATGTTCTTATTTTGGTGGATAGTTGCTGAGATGTGGTGAGGGCAAGAGAAAGGGCAGCCAATTTCAACTTGGAAAAATCAGCCCAATTGATATTTAGGCTAGAGCAGAAACTGCCACTAGGTGGCACCAAACCACAGCCAAGAGGCGAATGGATTTGGATTGAGCTTTTGAGCTCCCTTACTGGCTAGTTACATAGCTTCACCTGGGTCATCTGACGAGCCTTGCAAAGAAAAAAAAAGAAAAAGAAAAGAAAAAAGGACTGCATTTCACAGGTCTGAATCTTTACTCTACTGGATATTGTGACCAGTTATTGTAGCAATTACCTGATCATTAGCCAATCTTTTCTTCCAGCCCAGACCCACCTCTTAGGTCAGACCAACATTTATAACTGCATACTCTCTCTACTTCAATTATTCTCAAAACAGTCTACTAAAAGACCTGGGGAGCTTTAAATACACCCTGATGCCTGGGCCTCACCCCAGTACAATTATGTCAGAATCTTTGCAGACAGGATCTGGGCAATCAGTCTATTTTAAAGAGATACATCCAATATGCAGACTCATTTGAGAGCACTGCTCTACCTAAATGTTCCAAAGACATCAGTATGGCCAAACTTAATGTAGGCATCTCTCTTATTGAATGCTAATTTGCCCATAAAATGTGTTGAATGGCTAGCTTTCAGATAATTAGTCTGTATTCCATTGCTTTTTTCTTTTCTTTTTGAGACGGAGTCTCGCTCTGTCACCCATGCTGGAAGTGCAATGGTGTGATCTCGACTCACTGCAACCTCCACCTCCTGGATTCAAGTGATTATCCTGCCTCAGCCTCCTGAGTAGCTGGGATTACAGGCAGCTGCCACCACACCCAGCTAACTTTTGTATTTTTTGGTAGAGAATTGGTTTCGCCATGTTGGCCAGGCTGGTTTTGAACTCCTGACCTCAAGTGATCCACCCACCTTGGCCTCCCAAAGTGCTGGGATTACAGGCATGAGCTACTACTGCGCCAAGCTCTATCTATATTCCATTAATTTAAATGGGAAAAATAATGTTTTCCCAGCCCATCCAAAAAGCCCCAGCCATTTTCTCCAAATATTACAAAAAGGCACTTAAGCACATATATTTTAATAAGAAGCACTTAAAAGATGAATTGTCTTTTCCTTTTTTTTTTTTTTTTTTTGATATGGAGTCTCACTCAGTCGCCCAGGCTGGAGTGCAGTGGCATGATCTTGACTCACTACAACCTCCACCTCCCAGGTTCAAGCAACTCTCCTGCCTCAGTCTCCCAAGTAGCTGGGATTGCAGGTGCCCACCACCAGGCCTAATTTTTGTATTTTTTGGTAGAGACAGGGTTTCACCATGTTGGCCAGGCTGGTCACGAAACTCTGACCTCAAGTGATCTGCTCACCTTGACCTTCCCCAAGTGCTGGGATTACAGGTGTGAGCCACCATGCCTGGCCATAATTATTTAACAGTAAGTGAACTCATTCGTAGGTACATGTTTATGTATAGCACACAAAAATTGCATATCAGGGCTGGGCGTGGTGGCTCACCTGAGGTCAGGAGTTCAAGATCAGCTGGGCCAACATGGTGAAACCCTGTCTCTACTAAAAATACAAAACTTAGCTCAGCGTGATGACATGCGCCTGTAATCCCAGCTACTCGGGAGGCTGAGGCAGGAGAATCACTTGAACCCAGGAGGCAGAGGTCGCAGTGAGCTGAGGTCACGACACTGCACTCCAGCCTGAGCGACAGAGCGAGACTCCATCTCAAAAAAAAAGTCTTTTGGCCAGGCATGGTGGCTCACGCCTGTAATCCTAGCACTTTGGGAGGCCAAGGTGGGTGGATCACAACGTCAGGAGATGGAGACCATCCTGGCCAACATGGTGAAACCCTGTCTCTACTAAAAATACAAAAATTAGCTGGGCATGGTGGTATGCGCCTGTAGTCCCAGCTACTCAGGAGGCTGAGGCAGGAGAATCACTTGAACCCAGGAGGCGGAGGTTGCAGTGAGCCTAGATCGTGCCATTGCACTCCAGCCTGGGTGACAGGGCGTGACTCCATCTTAAAAAAAAAAAAAAAAAGAGGCTGGGCGTGGTGGCTCACACCTGTAATCCCAGCACTTTGGGAGGCCGAGGCGGGTGGATCACAAGGTCAAGAGATTGAGACTGTCATGGCCAACATGGTGAAATCCCGTCTCTATTAAAAGTATAAAAATTAGCTGGGCGTGGTGGCAGGTGCCTGTAGTCCCAGCTACTCAGGAGGCTGAGGCAGGAGAATCGCTTGAACCCAGGAGGCGGAGGTTGCAGTGAGCTGAGATCACGCCATTGCACTCCAGCCTGGGCAACAGAGCGAGACGCTGTCTCAAAAAAAAAAAAAAAAAAAGAAAAAAGAAAAAAATGTCTTTTAATTTTGAATTAACACAAGTTTACTCTTAATACCAGTAATAAAACAATATATTAAAATTTTTCTTATAAAACTAATGCATATCCTGCCTTACGCTCACATTTGCCTTTCCATTCTCACCCACCAAAAATACATCCACAAAATGGAGCATTAAAATTAAAAGCTTCTATACTGCAAATATCATTAAGAGAATTAAAAAACCAGCCACAGAATGGAAGAAAATATCTGTAACTAATATATCTAATAAGAGACTTGGATTCAAGTCTCTCGAATTAAAGTTATACAACTCAGTAATAAAGACACAACCCAATTTTAAAAACGGGCAAAGGATTTGAATAGACATTTCTCCAAAGAAGATATACACATGGCTAATAAATACATAAAAAGATGCTTTGGCCAGGTGTGGTGGCTCAAACCTGTAATCCCAGCAGTTTGGGAGGCTGAGGTGGGAGGATCACAAGGTCAGGAGTTTGAGACTAGCCTGGCCAACATGGTGAAAACCTATCTCTATTAAAAATACAAAAATTAGCTGGGTGTGGTGGCAGGTGTCTGTAATCCCAGCTACTTGTGGGGGCTGAGGCAGAAGAATTGCTTGAACGTGGGAGGTGGAGGGTGCAGCAGGCCAAGATTGCGCCACTGCACTCCAGCCTGAGTGACACAGCAAGACTCTGTCTCAAAAAAAAAAAAAAAAAAAAAAAAAAGGCAAGGCGTGGTGGCTCATGCCTGTGATCCCACCACTTTGGGAGGCCAAGGCAGGTGAATCACCTGAGGTCAGAAGTTTGAGACCGGCCTGGCCAACATGGTGAAACCCTGTCTCTACTAAAAATACAAAAATTAGCTGGGTGTGGTGGCACACACCTGTAGTCCCAGCTACTCAGGAGGCTGAAACAGGATCAATCAATCAATCGCTTGAACCCGGCAGGCGGAGGCTGCAGTGAGCTGAGATCACACCACTACACTCCAGCCTGGGCGAGACAGAGCGTGACTCCGTCTCAAAAAAAAAAAAAAAAGCTTCACATCATTAGCCATCAGAAAAATGCAAATCAAAAGTCGGAATGAGATACCAATTCACACCTACTAAGATGGCTATAATAAAAAAAGACAGATAATAACAACTGTTAGCTGGGATAATAACAACTGTTAGCTGGGATGTGGAGAAACTGGAACCCTCATCCATTGCTGATGAGACTGTAAAATGGTGCAGCCACTTGGGAGAACAGTTTGGAAGTTCCTAAAATGTTAAGCATGGAGTTACCATATGACCCAGCAAGTCCACTCCTAAGTACACATCCAAGAGAAATGAAAACATGTCCACATAAAAACTTGTACATGAATGCTCATTGCATATAAGGAATACATATGACATATGTAATCTATTATTATTCTTAATAGCCAGAAGTGAAAACAACTGGTGAATAAACAAAATGTAGTACATCCATATAATGAAATACTATTCAGTTACTGAAAAAAGAAAGAATTTAAAAGTTGCTACAACATGGTTGAACTTCAAAAACATTATGCAGGCTAGGAGCGGTGGCTCATGTCTGTAATCCCAGCACTTTGGGAGGTCGAGGCAGGTGGATCACGAGGTCAGGAGATCGAGACCGTCCTGGCTAACACAGTGAAACCCCGTCTCTACTAAAACATACAAAAAATTAGCCAGGCATGGTGGCAGGCGCCTATAGTCCCAGCTACTTGGGAGGCTGAGGCAGGAGAATGGTGTGAACCCAGGAGGCGGAGCTTGCAGTGAGCCGAGATTGCGCCACTGCACTCCATTATGCAAAGAGAACGAAGTCAGACAAAAACCCCCCACATACTGCATGATTTCATTTATATGAAAATATCCAGAATGGGCAAACCCATAGAAGAGAAAGTAGATTCGTGATTGCTTACACCTGGGGGGCGGGGTGGGGAAAGGACTGCTTCTGAGTATGGAATTTCTTTTAGGGGAAATGAAAATATTCTAAAATTGAATTGTGGTGATGGTTGCACAACCTTGTGAATATACTAAAAAACACTGAAACACATACTTTTTTTTTTTTTTTGAGATGGAGTCTCGCTCTTGCTCAGGCTGGAGTGCAGTGGTGCGATCTCAACTCACTGCAAGCTCTGCCTCCCGGGTTCATGCTGTTCTCCTGCCTCAGCCTCCGGAGTAGCTGGGACTATAGGCACCCGCCACCATGCCCGGCTAATTTTTTGTGTTTTTAGTAGACATGGGGTTTCACCATGTTAGCCAAGGATGGTCTCGATATCCTGACCTCGTGATCCGCTCACTTCGGCCTCCCAAAGTGCTGGGATTACAGGCGTGAGCCACCGCGCCCGGCCCATACACTTTAAATAGATGAATTGTATAGTATGTGAATTATATTTCAATAAAGCAGTTTCCCAAAAAAAAAAAAAAAAAAAAAAAAGAATATGGCCAGGCGCGGTGGCTCACACCTGGATTCCCAGCACTTTGAGAGGCCGAGGCGGGCAGATCACCTGAGGTTGGGAGTTTCAGACTAGCCTGACCAACATGGAGAAACCCCGTCTCTACTAAAAATACAAAATTACCCGGGCATGGTGGCACATGCCTGTAATCCCAGTTACTAGGGAGGCTGAGGTGGGAGAATCGCTTAAACCTGGGAGGCGGAGGTTGCAGTGAGCCGAGATCGCGCCATTGCACTCCAGCCTGGGCAACAACAGCGAAACTCCATCCCAAAAAAAAAAAAAAAAAAAAAAAAAAAAGAATATATCCATAGACCACCCCGCCCCCTCACAAGCTTCACAAAGTCCAGTTTAAGAAGTACCTTAACTTTGACAGCACAACACACAAGGCCTCTGGCTACCTCTCAGAACTCACCTTGTACAAATCTTCTACATGTACTTAATGCTCCTGTCATATGGAACCACTGAGTATCATGCTTTTTCATACCTTTGTGCCTTTCCCCATGACATTTCCCCTGCCAGGAATACCCTTCTCTCTTATGTGGCAAACTTCAGGATTGAGTCTGTATGCCAAATATCTCCCAGAAACCCCTCCCAAAATGCTTCTCCCATTCCTGCAGAAGTGACTGCTCCCCTCTCTGCTCCCACAGCATCTTGTCCATATAATGGGAGACACTGCAGCAACTGTATGTCTACTATCTCTTCCCAAGTAGCCTGCCCTTGACAATGTCTTATCTCTCTATGTTTGATGCCTGGCAGGAGATACTCAATAACTGTTTGTTGAATAAATGAATGTATGACTGTTAAGGTGAAACTTTTTCAAGTTGCTTAATCTCTTTCCACCATGCCAAGTGATAGAAAGGAGGGAAGAGATTAGTTGGAAATGGTTTCTGGAAAAGGCAGGAGTTAAACTGAGCCTTGAAAGATAAAAGACCAAAAGATCAGAGATTGTTACCTGTGTGTATCCTCACATGGTTTTTATAATTTGTTGCACTGGCAAATGCCCTCCCACATCCTGGCTCTGTGCAGTAATAAGGTCTTTCTCCTGTGTGTGTCCTAACGTGCACTTTTCTGATATTTGATGTTGTAAAGGACCGACCGCAGCCTTCGAAGGGACACTTAAAGGGCCTTTCTCCTGCAAATATAAAGGGTAATACATTAAATGGTGCAAAAATATATAGAGGATTAAAATGTCTTATCCTTCAATCCTGCCTAGGATTATGCTCAAGACTCTAGCCTTCTTGTGCTGAGCTTCCCTTTCAGGCATTTTTTTGGGGGGGTTGGGGAAACAGCATCTTCCACTCCAAACTTAAATCTACATAAGAAACTGGGAATGGTATTCAAAACTAATCACTGATTACATAGCTCTCCAAGATGGAATCATCCAGGTAGGCAAAAAATGAGCTGAGAAAAGCAGAGAGAAAAACATAAGAAATATAAAAGAAAAGTACAGTCAGGAATATGAATTAAATTAGAACAAACCCAGAATTCCCTAAAAGCTTGTATCCTACTTGATTTATTCTACAATATCTTGCAGGAAAATAATTTTTGCTCTTTAAAAATATGGTGTTTTGACCAGCCTGGCCAACATGGTGAAACCCTTTCTCTATTAAAAATACAAAAAATTAGCTGGGCATGGTGCCGGGCGCCTGTAATCCCAGCTACTCGAGAGGCTGAGGCGGGAGAATCGCTTGAACTCAAGAGGCGGAGGTTGCAGTGAGCCGAGATTACACCGTTGCACTCCAGCCTCGGCGACAGAGCGAGACTCCATCTCAAGAGAAAAAAAAATGGTGTTTTAACTAATGTTCAACAAGATAATGCCTAATATTAACTGTGTCAGGAAATAGTAGGTGTTCAATACATACTTGTGTTACTGAACCAAAAAAAAAAAAAAGAAAATCTAGTGCCTAGCACATATGTCAAAAATACCTGCTGGACATACTACTACTACCCTCATAATCTAAGCTTATAAAAAGTCTGGCCAGGCACAGCAGCACATGCCTGTAATCCCAGCACTTTGAGAGGCTAAGGCAGGCGGATCACTTGAGCTCAGGAGTTCAAGACCAGCCTGGGCAACATGGCGAAACCCCGTCTCTACAAAAAAAATTCAAAAAATTAGCTGGGTGTAGTGGTGCACAGTGGTAAGTCCCAGCTACTCGGGAGGGTGAGATGGGGGGATCACATGAGCACAAGAAGTCAAGGCTGTAGTGAGCTGTGACTGTGCCACTGCACACCAGCCTGGGCACTGAAGTGAGACACTGTCTCAAAAACAAAAAAATCTGCTTTACCAATTATGTTTCTTTCCTTCATATTTGCTTTATACAATCTTGGAATACGAAAGGCCTTTAAACTGTCAAGCAAGAAGTAGCCTTTGCTTTTGATTCTCATGTACCCTTTTCTAGGATGAGCTCAAATTAGGCAAACAACTTCTGGGGAAGGGGAAAAAATCTCTCTTTATATAGACAGATACAGATATTTATCTATATATAGTAAGTTTGTTAAATTTTTTAAGAGATGAGTCTCACTATGTTGCTCAGGCTGGAATGCAGTGGCTCTTCACAGGCACGATGGTTGCACACTGCAGCCTCGAACTCCTGCCCTCAAGCAATCCTCACACCTCAGCCTCCCGGGTAGCTGCGACCACAGGCACATGCTACCACGACTGGCTAGTTTGTTGTTTTTCTTTTGGTCAAATGAAATTATGATTTCTCTATTGGTGGAAACCATTCCAAAAGATTTCTCCCCTTAAGTATGAAATCATTTTAAAAGGAGCAGGAATCTTTGATCCTATCTCTAGTAAGTTTTATTCATTATGTCAGCCTAAGGAGAACAAAGAGTTTATCCTGGGCAAGTCTTTTCTCTTGGATCTAGATGACCTCTAAAGTCTTCCCAGCTCTGACATGCTATGATAGGGAATCAACTGTTCTAGGATAATTTTCACTGTATTACTACTCTGATTCTGTAACATCCTGCTTTGTTTTTGCACTGTAATCTTCTGTATTTGTTACAGAAGTCCCTATGTCCCTTACTCAATCCCACACTATACCAATGAAAATATCATGATTTTAAAGCTGTTATATGAACATGTGGTTTGACAAATGAATACTATGAAATAAATCACAATTCTGATGTTTTTTAATCAATATTTATAAAACTAGATTATTGGTTTGATATAGCTTTTATATAACAAGTTGGTTTTATTTCCAAATTCAAGTAGAATTTATGGGAGCTTGGAAATACTCGCCTCTGATACAATAAATAAAAAGTGCATGAATGAGATGGAAGTAGAGACCTACAGCTCTGTTCCTCAATGTTGTAAAGTAAAGCCAATCTGGGGTCATAGTTAAGCTGCAGGTTAAACATTAATAGCTGCAAGAATCCTACATGGAAATTAGCTAAACTATTTCAGATATTTCCATACATGGGGACACAGTTATCACACCACGTTTAAAACATCTATACTAAAATCCCAAACTAAATTATCTTAATGCTGTATTATTTAGTCAACAGCTTATAATAGCATCTCTTATCAACAGCTGCTGAACTTTTTTTTAGCTCCAATCCAAAGCAAATATTTATCTTATTAATACCAACTCCACAAGTAATCAAATATAAGGAGGAGAGGAGATGGTCGGGGAGGTAAGAATAACGTACTATTTAGGAAAAGAAGATAAAATTTAAAGAGAAGGAGAAATGATCACAAAAAGTAATGAATCTTTCTTGCTGTGGGCCTGTTGGGGTTCAGACACTTTCTTTAGCAGCTACTTAATGCAGGAGAAACAACTGGGTGCCTTAGGTTCTGTCTCAGCTCGGCTACTAATTAGATGTGTAATCCTAGGTAAATAAACTTGTTGCCCAGACAACTAAAACCTGAGAGAGCTCGTGGTCTAGGGCCACTGTTAATCTTTTCTGGGACGTGGACCCTTCTGAGAATCTAACAGAGCTATGAGCCCTCACCCTGAAAAGCAGCAGACATGCATATACAGCAAGTCATATGGAATTTCAGGGTTTCAAGAGAAGCCCTTGATATTGACTTCCTGAAACTCTTCCAGAAACTCATTCCTCAAGTACCGTCCCTGCAGATTAACTTGGCCTAGGCCGGGCGCGGTGGCTCACGCCTGTAATCGCAGCACTTTGGGAGGCAGAGGCGGGCGGATCACGAGGTCAGAAGATTGAGACCATCCTGGCTAACACAGTGAAACCCCGTCTCTACTAAAAATACAAAAAATTAGCCAGGCATGGTGGTGGGTGCCTGTAGTCCCAGCTACTTGGGAAGCTGAGGCAGGAGAATGGCGTGAACCCGGGAGGCGGAGCTTGCAGTGAGCCAAGATTGCACCACTGCACTCCAGCCTAGGCGACAGAGCGAGACTCCGTCTCAAAAAAAAAAAAAAAAAAAAGATTTTGACACTCTGTTTCCACTAGTACCTGTATGAGTTCTGATGTGTTTCTGTAGATCTCCTGAAGTTTTGAAAGATTTAGTACAATTATCTTCCGAACACCGATATGGCTTTTCTCCTGTATGAGTTCTGACGTGACTTTTTAATCCATAACCTTTAAGAAAAAATTAAAAGAAATTTAATTACACAATACTGCTCTAAACATGCACACTGAGAATAAGCTACTGAAAAATATAGTCAATACCAAGTATAAAATATCAGGCAAATACACAGAATAACTATTTAAAATGTACAAAAGGGCCGGGCACGGTGGCTCACGCCTGTACCCCCAGCACTTTGGAATGCCAAGGCGGGCGGATCACCTGAAGTCAGGAGTTCGAGCTCAGCCTGGCCAACATGGTAAAATCCCATCTCTACTAAAAATGCAAAAAATTTTCTGGGTGTGGTGATGCATGCCTGTAGTCCCAGCTACTCAGGAGGCTGAGACAGGAGAATCGCTTGAACCCTGAAGCAGAGGTTGCAGGGAGCCGAGATCACGTCACTGCACTCCAGGCTGGGCGACAGAGTGAGATTCTGTCTCAAAAACAAACAAAAAAATGTACAAAAGTATCATAGCTCGGGACTGCCATGCTGAAAATTCAATAGTTTCATTTCTGTCTAAAAGAGGTTGTGTGTTTCTTTTCTAAAGTGCCTCAGTTTTATCAGTTGTTCTCATACCCCAAGAGCTCAAAGTGGAATCAAGACATGGAATGAAGAATGGAAGTCAGCAGGCCTGGTGCCAGTCCCAGCCCTGCTGGATGCAAAGGCCTCATCCCATTGCTAAGGCCTGTCCTGATGTTAGAGTCTATGACAGCCTTTAAAGCTTGGCTTTTATTTTCCCGCTAAAATAAACAGAATGTGGAGGAGTGAAAAGTATCAAACACAGCAGGCAGGCCAGGTGCAGTGGCTCACGCCTGTAATCCCAGCATTTTGGGAGGCCGAGGCGGACGGATTACTTGAGACCAGGAGTTTGAGACCAGCCTGGCCAACATAGTGAAACCTCATCTCTACTAAAAATACAAAATATGAGCCGGGCATGATGACGAGCGCCTGTAATCCCAGCTACTCGGGAGGCTGAGGCACTAGAATTGCTTGAACCTGGGAGGCGGAGGTTGCAGTGAGCCAAGATCCTGCCACTGCACCCAAACCTGAGTGACAGAGTGAAACTGTCTCAAAAAAAAAGAAAAAGAAAAAGAAAAAGAAAACACAGCAGGCAGAGACAGGTCAGTGGAGAAAAGAACAGAGAGGGGTCTGGAGCAAGCAGGACGAAAGGCAGTTATGAGAGAGACTGAAAAACTGATCATGTGCTTCTGCAGATTCAGACACAGCCAAGGGGTCAGTTCCTTCCACTAGCCTGTCTCTACTTGACCCCTAATTGGAACCAAGAAAAAAACAAAATTCATACTTTTACCTGTTGCAAATGCCTTCCCACAGCCTGCATGCTCACACTGATAAGGCCGATCTCCTGTGTGTGACCTCTCATGGACCTGTGATTAAAATGCAGGCATGATTCTATTTCCTTTACGTATTCCTCAGGAAGATGGTTGCAACACAGAACTACTTTTTCCCACACTGCTAAATGATTTTGTTGTATGCTTTTTTCTTATAAAAAAGATAACTTCACAAAAACGATAGCCCAATAGTTCTCAATATAGACCTAAATGTTAAATATTAAGAGATAGTTACTAATGTTTTAAGTAGGGAACAGGAACGTTTGAGGTCTGAGCTTTCTCGAGTGGTCAAAGGTGTCTGCATGAAACATACACGTGATGAGAAACTAGAAGCAGGGGGCTGGGAGAGACTACACAATGTAAGGTTAAGAGTGTGGAGGCTGCTGCTAGAGGGGCCTGGATCTGAGGCAAGGATCCACCACTGCCTAGTGGTGTGGCCATGGGCACTTGCCTTCTCTGAGCCTCAAAGGCCTCTCTGAAAAGTGGGGACACAATAGTATCTACCATAGAGGGTTGCCATGACAAATGAGTAACAATGACAATGGCTAACATTTACTGAACATTTACCACATCAGGACACTCTTTTTAGTACTTTACGTGTAAGGTATTAACTTATTTAATTTTTACAACCACTCTGAGAGGGAGATAACTCTTAGGATCCAATTTTATAGATGAGGAAAATGAGGTACTAAGAGGTCAACTAACATCCCAAGGTTACTGATAAATAGTGAAGATGGGCCCCAGGGCCACTACTCCAGATATGCTAAGTGCATACTTCGTGACACATTGAAAGTTCTTTAACAAATCTTAGCTATTATTGAGTCATGGTATGTTCTGTTATGTATAGCAGCAAGTGAAATAAAAATACTTAGCCCAAATATTTATTTATTTATTTATTGAGATGGAGTTTCGCTCTGTTGCCCAGGCTGGAGTGCAGTGGTGCAATCTTGGTTTACTGCAACCTCTGCCTCCCGGGTTCAAGCAATTCTCCTGTCTCAGCCTCCCGAGTAGCTGGGATTACAGGCACCTGCCACTGCGCCCGGCTAATTTTGTATTTTTAGTAGAAAGGGTTTCACCATGTTGGTCAGGCTGTTCTTGAACTCCTGACCTCAGGTGATCCACCCGCCTCGGCCTCCCAAAGCACTGGGATTACAGGCATGAGCCACCACGCCCAGCCTTAGCCCAAATATTTAAAAGCCAAATTAACACCAACTTTTGCTAGATTTCAGTGAATTAACAGAGATGTGTGATTACACACATATCTCTCATATAATTAAATGGATTTCATACTTGACAACATATATTCAAATATGTAGAGTACCTACCATGTGCCAGGTAGTATCCTGGACATTAGGAATACAGAGATGAAAAAAACACAGTCCAAGCCCTCAAAAAATTAACAGTCTCTAAAGTCCGCATAGGTTTTTACATGTCTGTGTATGAGTGTGACCAAGTGCCAGTATCTTGATAACTGGGAGAAAACAGTGGCATTTGAATTACACAAAAATATGATCTTAGTATTTAATATCCTAGGTATTCTCATAACTAGATAGAACATTTCTTTTATATATACCTTGAGATGATGAGCTGTTGTATATAATTTTCCACATCCATCATATTCACATCGAAATGCCTTCTCTCCACTCTGTTGAGATTTAGCAGTTACTCTTGTAGCATGTCCTTGTAAAACAATCTAAATAAAACAAATAGTATTACTTAAATTACTTAAGCCAGGCACAGTGGCTCATGCCAGTAATCTTAGCACATGGGGAGGCAGAGGTAGGCGGATCATTTGAGCCCAGGAGTTCAAGAGCAGCCTGGGCAACATGACAAAACCCTGTCTCTATACAACAAAATATTACAAAGTTAGCCAGGTGTAGTGGTGCATCTGTGGTTCCCAGGTACTTGGGAAGCTGAGATGGGAGGATCACCTGAGCCCGGGGAGGTCAAGGCTGCAGTGAGCTGTGATTGTACCATTGCACTCCAGCCTGGGTGGTGGCAGAGTGAGACCTGTCTCAATCAATCAATCAATCAATAATACAGAAATAAAACAGATAAATTATGATTTTCAGAATTAAAAAGACAAAACTGTTATGTGGGTTTCCAATCTCAGGTCATCACTTTATTAGGACTCTTTCAGCCTGAGTCGGTCAGGTTAATTCCATTGCATGGTTGAAGTCAGTGACTCTGAAAGTACAGTAGTCAAAAGGACAGTCACAGAAATACACAGCTGGAGCTCACAGATCTATTCCTACTCTAGAAAAACAACCTAAGTAGCATCTTCACTGGATGCAGGTATTCCTTAATATACTCAAGTGATCCATCTACCTGCCTTTTTTTAGAACCTGTGTCCCAAAAACAATGTCAAAAGTGTTTTCAATTTCAAAAGCAATGAGAAAGGGGTAGGTCATTTCAGTCACCTAAAGGAAACATTACAATCCATATGATACTACTACTCTGTACTTATATTCACTAGAAGATCATTTTTCTGGGATGTAATAACATAAAAATCCAAATGCTGATTTTTAAAGGCTTTTTAAAATAGAAATTAAGGTATCATAAAAATGGAAGAATGACTTTCTACTCTGTGAGCCATGTGGTGACAGTGTTGCAACATCCTATCTCTGCAGACTGTCACACATGGCATATAATTCTGGGTAATGACCTACTACAATTACACACATCCCAGAACGGTAAAGGCAGAGAAAGGAGGAGTTACAGAGGCTAGAATAATGGTGGGGGAGTTGAGAAGTACCCTGCATTAGATGACAAGAATATAGAAAGACTTTGACTTTTCCTTGTAATATAAATCAACTAAAAAACAAGCAGTAGAGATCTCAGTGTAATTGTTAAATTACAAGCTATTTATTTTGTCATCCCCATACTGTATGTTCATTAAATGTTGCAGACCATAATTTTCTGAATAAAGGTAGATCTGTTGATAAAATATTTGTATAAAAGTATGCATAGGCCAGGCGCAGTGGCTCACACCTGTAATCCCAGAACTTTGTGAGGCCGAGGCGGGCGGGTCACAAGGTCAAGAGATCGAGACCATCCTGGCTAACATGGTGAAACCTCATCTCTACTAAAAATACAAAAATTAGCTGGGCATGGTGGTGCGCGTGCCTATAGTCTCAGTTACTCGGGAGGCTGAGGCAGGAGAATCGCTTGAACCTGGGAGGCGGAGGTTACAGAGAGCCGAGATCATGCCACGGCACTCCAGCCTGGAGACAGAGTGAGAATCCGTCTCAAAAAAAAAAAAAAAAAGTAGGCATAATTCCCAATGGGCAAAAAGAAAATGTTTATTATAGACTGAAAAGTGCCTATACAAAGAATAATATAATTCCACATTTTTTCTGGCTAGAAAATTCCATCTCCCTACTTCCATGAGGCCTGTTGTCATCATTCCAAACACAGATGATTCTTCAATTCCTCAGCAAACCTGTGATATATAGCTTATATCACTGGTGTGAAACTTTAATCAACTGTCTTGTTGTAAAGACATTTATGTTTCCTTTTCTTCCCTATTAGTCTATCAGCTACTTGAAGTCAAGAACTGTGTCTTATATGCCTTCATAACTCACAGTGCTAGGTTCACCCTGAAAATGTCACAAGATTTATAAAAGGATTCATACCACTAAAATATATGAACAGAATTACAAGAAATTTTTCTTTTCAGGGGTATTTTTAAAGTTCTAAAATTAAGATTGTGATAATTGTTCAATTTTTTCAATTTACTAAAAACCACTCAGCTGTACACTCTAAATGGGTAAATTTAAAGTGTGTAGGCTGTGCCAGGCGTGGTGGCTCAGACCTGTAATCTCAGCACTTTGGGAGGCCAAGGTGGGTGGATCACCTGAGGTCAAGTTCAAGACCAGCCTGACAAACACAGTGAAACCCTGTCTCTACTAAAAATACAAAATTAGGGCTGGGTGCAGTGGCTCATGACTGTAATCCCAGCACTCTGGGAGGCCAAGGTGGGTGGATCCACCTGAGGACGGAAGTTCGAGACCCGTCTTGCCAACACAGCGAAACCCTGTCTCTACTAAAAATTATAAAAATTAGCCAGGCGCTGTGGCATGTGCTTGTGATTCCAGCTACTAGGGAGGCTGCGGCAGGAGAATTGCTTGAACCCGGGAGGCAGAAGAAGCAGTGAGCCAAGATCACGCCACTGCACTCCAGCCTGGGAAACAGAGCAAGACTCCGTCTCAAAAAAAAAAAAAAAAAAAAAAATTAGCCAGGTGTGGTGGCGAATGCCTGTAATCCCAGCTACTTGGGAGGCAGGAGAATCACTTGAACACAGGAGGCAGAGGTTGCAGTGAGCCAAGATTGTGCCATTGCACTCCAGCCTGGGCAATAAGAGCAAAACTCCATTTTAAACAAACAAATAAATAAATAAATAGTATGTAGGCTGGGCACAGTGGCTCAAGCCTATAATCCCAGCACTTTTGGAGGCCAAGGAAGGCAGATCGTTTGAGATCAGGAGTTCGAGACTAGCCTGGGCAAATGGTGAAACCCCATTTCTACAAAAATGCAAAAACATCAGCTGTGCATGGTGGCACCTGCCTGTAGTTCCAGCTACTCAGAGGACTGAGGTGAGAGGATCGCGCGAGTCCAGGAGGTTAGGCTGCAGCGAGCTGTATTTGTGCCACTGCAACGCATCCTGGGTGACAGAGTGAGACACCTGTCTTTTTTTTTTTTGAGACGGAGTCTCACTCTGTTCCCCAGGCTGGAGTGAGGTGGTGCGATCTCCGCTCACTGTAGCTCCGCCTCCCAAGTTCATGCCATTCTCCTGCCTCAGCCTCCTGAGTAGCTGGGACTAGAGGCGCCCGCCACCATGCCGGGCTAATTTTTTTGTGTGTTTTTAGTAGAGACGGGGTTTCACCGTGTTAGCCAGGATGGTCTTGAACTCCTGACCTCGTGATCCGCCTGCCTCGGCCTCCCAAAGTGCAGGGATTACAGGTGTGAGCCACCGCGCCCAGCCGACACCTGTCTTAATAAACAAAAAAGTAATACAGAAATAAAATAGAAAAAATTACAGTGACAAAGCAAGACCCTGTCTCAAAAACTTAAAAAAAAAAAAGTATGTAAAATGTATCTTTTTCTTGTTTCATTTTAAGAGACTGGAGTCTTGCTATGTTGTCCACACTAGACTCAAGTTCTTGGGTTCAAGGAATCCTCCGTCTCAGCTTCCTGAATAGCTGGGACTACAGGCATGTACCACTGTGCCCAGCTAGTATGTGAAATATATCTTAATAAAACTATAAGAAATGGGAATCAAATATTATTAGAACAAAATTTTCTTAGGCCAAGTGCAGTGGTTCATGCCTACAATTCCAACACTTTAGGAGGCCAAGGTGGGAGGATCGCGTGAGCCCAGGAGTTTGAGACCAGCATGGGAAACATGGGGGGAACCCCATCTCTGCAAAAGATAAAAAAATAGCTGAGTGTGGTGGTATGTACTTGTGGTCCCAGCTACTTGGGAGGCTGAGGTGGGAGGATCACCTGAGCCTGGGAGGTCAAGGCTGCAGTAAGCTATGATCGCCCCACTGCACTCCAGCTTGGGCATCAGAATGAGATCCTGTCTCAAAAAGATCAGTTTCTGTTTATTGCTCATGAAAACAGAAGAGCCTCTATGAACCCTTTAAAAATCAACTATTATTTTAATAACTTCATTTTTTTTTCATGTATTATAACAGCAACACATGTACTCTGGAGGAGTCTGGATACCATAGTGAAGAACAAAAAGTTCTACCAGGCACGGCAGCTCACGTCTGTAATCCCAGCACTTTTGAGAGATTGAAGCAGGTGGATCACTTGAGCCCAGGAGTTGGAAACCAGCCTGGGCAACATGGCAAAACCCCATCTCTACAAAAAAAATATAAAAATTAGCTGGGCATGGTGGTACGTGCCTGTCATCCCAGGCTGTCATCAAGCAGGAGGACTGCTTGAACCCAGGAGGTTGAGGCTGCAGTGAGCCAAGATTGTGCCACTGCCACCCAGCCTGGGTAACAAATGAGACCCTGTCTCAAAAAAAAAAAAAAGCAAAAAAAAAAAAAAAAGCTTAAGTGTGTTATAATTCCACCATCCAGGGAAAATCACTGTTAACTTCTTGGTCTACTTCCATTCAGTATTTTTTATTTTTATTTAATTTAGAGACAGGGTCTCACTCTGTCACTCAGGCTATAGTACAGTCGCACAATCACAGCTCACTGCACCCTCCAACTCCTGGGCTCAAGTGATCCTCTTGCCTCAGCCTCCCACGTAGTTAGGACAACAGGTGAGTACCACCACACTCAGCTTGTTTTTAAAAAAAAAATTGTAGAAATGGAGTCTTGTCATGTTGTCTAGGCTGGTCTTGAATTCCTGGCCTCAAGCAATCCTCCTGCCTCAGCCTCCCAAAGTGTTTGGATTACAGGTGTGAGCCACCATGCCCAGCCCAGTGTTTTTTAAATACATATACAAGTGTAGAGTTTTATTTTAGTAGAATTGGCATCAAGCTTTATATGATTTGTAAAGGCAGATTTCAATTGAAGACTCCAAATTAAGAGAAAAGGACTCTTCTTCCTATTCTCTTCCCCTCCTTTCTAACAGCACTATGAAATGAAAGTGCTTACCAGCTTTCCACATCTGCCAAACTAAGCCCAGCTGCTCACACCTTCAGACTAGGTAGCGGCAGCAAATAACTCCAGAGAGACTCATATCTGAATCTTTTCTGTTATTCTATTGCTTCCTCCTAGGCCAATTTATTAGGAGCTTCGATTCTGGTATGAAACATATACCAGGAATTTGGCATCTAATTTAGTTAAGCCAACGAAACAATGTTGAATTCCTAACCAATGATGAGTATTGGACATTTTTTCCAAAAATGTACTTGTTTTTGCTCCCATTCTTAATGTCTATAGTGGAGACTTTAAGAACTTAGGGTAGTAAAATAAGGGTCAGAAAATTCAGTTTAGGGAGAACTACTGAGGTCTCTGAATGTGTGCCTGTGGGGTGGGGACATGGGTGACAACAGCAAGGTTTCTTATTTCTAAGCCAGCTGAAGTCACTAGCATTTGGCATGCTAAGAGAATTATAAGTAAGGGCAGTGTCCAACAGAATTATTTCCACTAGTATCTAATTACTCAAAACAGACCTCTCTTAAAGGCATTCTCACAAAGTACAGTAGGATGAATACCTGTACAAACACCCAACTAACAAAAGGAACCTCTGGAAAGAAAACTACAAAAATAGCAATGACCTACAGTATACAGTAGTTGGAAAAATAAAAGGCCAGGGAGACACAGTCAAAAAGCCATTCTGGCTTTTACCTCAATGCATAGAGTATTTGGGTGTGATAGGATTCCCTCCCCTTGTATTGGAAATGTTTCCTTGCAAAGATCTTTATCTCCAATCTAGGCTAACATTTACCTTCTCAATTCCCAAATAAATCTTTTTTTTTTCTATTTGGAACCTGCTTTGCACTACTACCTTCTTATTCTATTTCCAATTAACTACCCTTTATACCTATCCCTCCATCATAACTCCCTACCACTTCCTATCACAACATTCTAAAATAATAAATATTTAATAAATGATTGGCAAAATACCTACTTTCTAAAATGATAAATAAAATACTGTTCCTGCCTTTGTAGGGCTCTCAGTCTAGCTAGTAAAACTGTGCTATTAATGAAGGATTATAATAGAATATAATAATTGTTATCACAGGAGTCTATGAAAAGATCTAACAGGGCAAAATGCAAAAGTAGGGAGATGTAGGTTAGGGCAAGCTGTCTAGGGGTGAAATTTGAAGACTGAAGAAGAGGACTGGGGAGTGCTGTCTAGGCAGAAGGAATAGTATGGTCAAAGGTTTGGAGTGTTATCTAGAAGAAGTGGAAACAACATGAGAGTATTATGTTTACATAATAGAATGAGTTTCATGAAAATGAAAGTGTAGGACCAAGTTTGTGAAAAGCAATAAATACTACCCTGAACAGCAAGCCTAGACAATGAAAGCCAAAGGAAGGTATTAAAATATTTTAAGTAAGGGACAAGCCAAGATCACCTCTGTGTTTTATTCTAATTAGTTAATTAATTAATTTTTTTCAAGACAGGGTCTCGTTCTGTTGCCCACAATGGAGTGCAGTGGTGCAATCTCAGGTCACTGTAACCTCCGCCTCACAAGTTGAAGCAATTCTTGTGTCTCAGCCTCCCCAACGGCTGGGACTACAGGTATGTGCCACCATGCCTGGCTATCTGCGTTTTAGAAAGAGAACTACAGTAATAGCGGGGAACAGACTGAAAAGACAAATGAGGTAGGGAGCCCAAAAGAAGTTTGTATAATCATAAATATGCAGGAAAGAAGTCATAAAAACAAACCTAGGATAATGACTGTGGAATAGAAAGCAATAGCTGATTCTACAGATGTTTTAGGGGAAAAAATGGACAGAATCCAAAACTCAAAAGCTAAATTAAAAGACCAAAACTATAACAGGTATTTCAGGGTTATGCAGCATGAGATATGTGCAGTCTCTGTCAAAGAAACAGCAATCTGATATGTCATCACAAGTGAAAACTCTCAAGGGCAATTTTGAAGCTAACACCAGTGAAATACTAATCAGCTTCTAAAAACCATGTATAGAAAATGACTTCACTGGTATTTAAACTTAATGTATGTTCTGAGAATTAAGACATAACCTTGGCCGGGCGTGGTGGCTCACACAGTGGCTCCCAGCACTCTGGGAGGCCGAGGCAGGCGGATCATGAGGTCAGGAGATCGAGACCATCCTGGCTAACACGGTGAAACCCCATCTCTACTAAAAATACAAAAAATTAGCCAGGTGTGGTGGTGGGCGCCTGTAGTCCCAGCTACTCAGGATGCTGAGGCAGGAGAAGCATGAACCCGGGAGGCGGAGCTTGCAGTGAGCTGAGATCATGCCCCTGCACTCCAGCCTGGGCAATAGAGCGAGACTCCGTCTCAAAACAAACAAACAAACAAAAAGACATAACCTTAGCTCTGCCATAAACTCACCATGTAACGTTGTGCAAGATACATAGGGCCTATCTGCCTGTCTATAAAGGACATACTGTGGCCAGGTGCTGTGGCTCACGCCTGTAATCTCAGCACTTTGGGAGGCCAAGGCAGGCAGATCACTTGAGGTCAGGAGTTCGAGACCAGCCTGGCCAACATGGTGACACCCCATCTCTATTAAAAATACAAAAATTAGCCAGGCGTGGTAGCAGGCACCTGTATTCCCAGCTACTCGGGAGGCTGAGGCAGGAGAATTGCTTGAACCTGGGAGGTGGAGGTAGCAGTGAGCCAAGATCACGCCATTGCACTCCAGCCTGGGTGACAAGAGTGAAACTCCGTCTCAAAAAAAAAAAAAAAGGGCCAGGTGCAGTGGCTCACGCCTGTAATCCCAGCACTTTGGGAGGCTGAGGCAGGTGGATCACGAGGTCAGGAGATCAAGACCATCCTGGCTAACACAGTGAAACCCTATCTCTATTAAAAATACAAAAAATTAGCCAGGCGTGGTGGCGGGTGCCTGTAGTCCCAGCTACTCGGGAGGCTGAGGAAGGAGAATCGCTTGAACCCGGGTGGCAAAGGCTGCAGTGAGCCGAGATTACACCACTGCACTCCAGCCTGGGTGACAGAGTGAGACTCTGTCTCAGGGAAAAAAAAACAAAACAAAACACATTGTTCTAAGTCAATAATGTTTTTTCTTTTCTGAAGGAGTCAAACGTCTTTCGCAGATAAAATCTTACATGGCATTCTACTGTGTAAAACACACAGAAAAAGGAACTGGAGCTGCTGGCCTTGGCAGATGAGGGTGGATCAGAGATCTGCTAGTCCCTGACAGGATTCCTGATACCTCAAAAAACAGGGCTTTTATATATATATAATATATATAATATATTATATATATAATATATATAATATATATTATATATATAATATATTATATATATTATATATATAATATATTATATATAATATATATATAATATATATATAATATAATTAGCGCCTAGGACCATTATATTCTAAGGAGGTGCAAATTCCAGAGGTAGATACAAGACTGGAGCTAAGATTAAATTCCAAGGTGACCTCATAATAAAGAGGCTAACTGACATTTATTGAGCAGTTGCATTTATGTGATGCACTGTGGTGGCTGCTTTACGTACACTGTCTAATTGGCCCCCATGGCTATCCAATGAATTCAATATCAACTATGATTTACAAATAGAAAAAATGAGACTCAGAGGGGCTTAGTAATGTAACTTGCCCATGGTCAAAAGCTGGGAAGTGAGATTTGAAGGAGTTTGGCTCTAGAGCTCAAGCTATTAACCAACCAGGTTTCAGGATGCTGTAGTCCAGTGGAACCTAACTGGCAGAGCTTCTGTAATTATAGAGTGAGAGACTCAGTAGGGTTGAGGATAAACATTGCATTGTATTGTCTGGTTTAGTACTTATAATCCCATTTACTGTAACGGCCTAATGCACATGGCAGCTATAACTTACAATCTGGTGTTTGTTAACTTGTATGATGTAAATAATCTATATTCTTGGGGGAGGATAAAATAAAAACAACTTGAATTTTTAAAAATGTATTCTCTTTGAAGAAAGGAAACAATCCTAGAAGTGTGGCACCAGAGGAATTTTTAAAGAACCATGAGACACATCAGCACTGCCAGGAAGATTAAGAAACAAAAACAAGGCCAGGCACGGTGGCTCCTGCCTATAATCTTTGGGAGGCCAAGCCAGGTGGATCACTTGAGGGCAGGAGTTCAGACCAGCCTGGCCAACATGGCAAAACCTTGTCTCTACTAAAAATACAAAAACTAGCTGGGCATGGTGGTATAAGCCTGTAATTCCAGCTACTTGGGAGGCTGAGGCATGAGAATCACTTGAATCTGGGAGGCAGAGGTTGCAATGAGCCAAGATTGTGCCACTGTACTCCAGCCTGGGTGACATAGCGAGACTTCTCAAAAAAAAAAAAAAAAAAAAAGAGAGAGAGAAAAAAACAACAACAAAGCAGATTTCTAACAATAATTACTATCAGGCAGTAGATCCCTCACTTTTTATTTTTACTAATCTATACTATTTGGATTTTCTAAACATAAACATGATTACTTTTATATTTAAAAATATGTAAAATAGATACGTAGAGTAAGATTACGGGTCATTTTGGGTTTTCTTCTTTGTACTTTACCTGAATTAAAAAAAACACTAAAAATATTATCTTAAAAAATCTTTGGCGGCCGGGCGCGGTGGGTCACGCCTGTAATCCTAGCACTTTGGAAGGCCGAGGCAGGCAGATCACGAGGTCAGGAGATGGAGACCATCCTGGCTAACACAGTGAAACCCTGTCTCTACTAAAAATACAAAAAATTAGCCGGGCGTGGTGGCGGGCGCCTGTAGTCCCAGCTATGCAGGAGGCTGAAGCAGGAGAATGGCGTGAACCCGGGAGGTGGAGCTTGCAGTGAGCCAAGATCGCGCCACTGCACTCCAGCCTGGGCGACAGAGCTAGACTCCGTCTCAAAAAAAAAAAAAAATCTTTGGCCAGGTGCGGTGGCTCACGCCTGTAATCCTAGTGCTTTGGGAGGCTGAGGTGGGTGGATCACTGGAGGTCAGGAGTTCAACTGGGAGGTGGAGGTTACAGTGAGCCAAGATCAGGCCATTGCACTTCAGCTTGGGCGACAGAGTGAGACTCCATCTCAAAAAACAAAAAATAAACAAAAAAAAAAAAACACCAAACTTTTGCCCCTAAGATAACCATGGATCTAATTAATACCTTTCTTTTAGAGGTAGAAAAAAAGAGACTTAGAAAAGCAAGGTTCAGGCTGGGCACGGTGACTCACGCCTGAAATCCCAGCACTTTGGGAGGCCGAGGCAGGTGGATCACTTGAGGTCAGGAGTTTGTGATCAGCCTGGCCAACAAGGTGAAATATAAAAAACATTTTTTTAAATATTTCTTTAACAAAAATATAAAAAATTAGCCGGGCATGGTGGCACGCTCCTGTGATACCAGCTACTCAGGAGGCTGAGGCAGGTGAATCAGTTAAACCCAGGAGGCAGTGGCTGCAGTGAGCTGAGATCAGGCCACTGCACTCCAGCCTGGGCAACAAAGCAAGACCCTGTCTCAAAAAACAAAAACCACAAAAAACCAAGTACTAGGTTCTCAACCTTAAATACGGTAATTAATCATTTTAGAGAATGGTGAAGTCATGAACTTCTGATCCAGCACTAATGAAGAGAAATATAATAAGTCACAAGTGCAAGCCACATATGTGATTAAAAATTTACTGAGCTGGGTGTGGTGGCTCACGCCTGTAATCCCAGCACTTTGGGAGGCTGAGGCGGGCGGATCACGAGGTCAAGAGATTCAGACCATCCTAGCCAACATGGTGAAACCCCCTCTCTACTGAAAATACAAACGTCAGCTGTGCATGGTAGCATGTGCCTGTAGTCCCAGCTACTCGTGAGGCTGAAGCAGGAGAATCCGCTGAACCCAGGAGACGGAGGTCACAGTGAGCTGAGATCATGCCACTGCACTCCAGCCTGGTGACAGAGTGAGACTCCATCTCAAAAAAAAAAAAAAAAAAGAATTCCGGCCGGGCAAATTGGTTCACACCTATAATCCCAGGACTTTGGAATGTCAAGGCAGGAGGATAACTTGAACCAACACTGCACCATTGCACTCCAGCCTAAGCGACAGAGCAAGACTCAGTCTCAAAAAATAAATAAATAAATAAAATAGGGGTCAGGCATGGTGGCTCACACCTGTGGTCCCAGCACTTTGGGAGGCCAAGTGGGCGGATCACAATGTCAGGAGTTCGAGACCAGCCTGGCCAGCATGGTAAAACCCTGTCTCTACTAAAAATACAAAAAATTAGACAGGCACGGTGGCATGTGCCTGCAGTCTCAGCTACTCGGGAGGCTGAGCAGGAGAACTGCTTGAACTGAGCAGGTGGAGGTTGTAGTGAGCTGAGATCGCGCCACTGCACTCCAGTCTGGGTGACAGAGCGAGATGCCGTCTCCAAAAAAAAAAAAAAAAAAAAAAAAAAGGCATGTTGGCTCACACCTGTAATCCCAGCATTTTCAGAGGCTGAGGTGGGTTGATCACTGGAGGTCAGGAGTTCGAGACCAACCTGGTCAACATGACGAAACCTCATCTCTACTAAAAATACAAAAATTAGCTGGGTGTGGTGGTGCATGCCTGTAATCCCAGCTATTCGGGAGGCTGAGGCAAGAGAATCATTTGAACCCAGCAGGTGGAGGTTGCAGTCAGCCAAAATCACATCACTGCACTCCACCCTGGGCAAGAGAGTAAGACTCCATCTCAAAATACATAAATAAATATAATAATAAAATAAAACAAAAAATCTCTAGTAACCAATTGAAAAAAATTAAAAGAAACAGGTGAAATTAATAGTAATTATTTTGTTTAACACAATATGTCCAAAATATCATTTCAACGTTATCAATATAAGAAATTATTGATATTTTACATTATTTTTATCGTACTATGTCTTCAAAATCCACTTACAGCACATCTCAATTTGGACTAGTCATATTTCAAGTGCTTAACAGCCACATATGGCTAGTGGCAACCGTATTGGACATTGCAGATCTAGTCTGTAAGGAAGAGGTACAAAAGGCAAAGGAGAAAAAAGCTACAGTAAAAAAAAAAAAAAAAGAATCCCATTCAGTAGTCTTCTATTTGTCTACTGGTACCAATACCAAATGGTAATATGTCTACAGATAAAGAGTAATGGGATTTTTTGGCCGGGTGCGCTGGCTCACGCCTATAATCCCAGCACTATGGGAGGCCGAGGTGGGCGGATCATGAGGTCAGGAGATCGAGACCATCCTGGCTAACACAGTGAAACCCCATCTGTACTAAAAATACAAAAAATTAGCCAGGCATGGTGGCGGGCACCTGTAGTCCCAGCTACTCCAGACGCTGAGGCAGGAGAATGGCGTGAACCCGGGAGACGGAGCTTACAGTGAGCCGAGATCGAGCCACTGCACTCCAGCCTGGGCGACAGAGCGAGACACCGTCTTAAAAAAAAAAAAGAGTTGGGGCCGGGTACAGTAGCTCACGCCTGTAATCCCAGCACTTTGGGAAGCCAAGGCAGGCAGATCATGAGGTCAGGAGATCGAGACCATCCTGGCTAACATGGTGAAACCCTGCCTCTACTAAAAATACAAAAAATTAGCCGGGCGTGGTGGCGGGCGCCTGTAGTCCCAGCTACTCGGGAGGCTGAGGCAGGAGAATGGCGTGAACCCGGGAGGCAGAGCTTGCAGTGAGCCAAGATCGAGCCACTGCACTCCAGCCTGGGCGACAGAGTGAGACTCCACCTCAAAAAAAAAAAAAAGAGTAATGGGTTTTTTTAATGACATTTTGCCTCAGCAGTTCTGAATTCCTAGTTACGTTTTGAGTTCTGAAATTTTTTTTTTTTTTTTTGAGACAGTCTCACTCTGTTGCCCAGGCTGGGGTGCAGTGGCACAATCTTGGCTCATTGCAACCCCCACCTCCCAGGTTCAAGCGATTCTCCTGCCTCAGCTTCCCAAGTAGCTGGGATTATAGGCGCACACCACCACACCCAACTAATTCTTGTATTTTTAGTAGAGATGGGGTTTTGCCATGTTGGCCAGGTTGGTCTCAGACTCCTGACCTCAGGTGATCCACCTGCCTCGGCCTCCCAAAGTGCTAGGATTACAGGCGTGAGTCACTGGACCCAGCCTACAACTGCTTTTCTTTAAAATATTCTATTATTTTAAAATGTACTTGTCAGTTACCAATAAGACAGAGAACTTATTGGGCCACTCCAACACTCCAAGCCACTGACCTATAACTCCCGCACATATTTACCCTGTGTTTGCATCTTAGTAGAGGTTGACTTAGGTGGATTTGACATAGAACTGTATAAAAAATACTGAAGTCTCATTTTTTGGGAGGTGGGGGAGAACAGGGTCTTGCTCTGTTGCTTAGGCTGGAGTGCAGTGGCACAATCAGCTCACTATAACTTCAAACCACGGGCTCAAGGGATCCTCCTGCCCTCGCCTCCCAAACAGCTGTGACTACAAATGTGTGCCACCATGCCTTGCTAATTTTGTAATTTTTTGTAGAGATGGAGTCTCACTTTGTTGCCCGGGCTGGTCTCAAACTTCTGGGTTCAAGCAATCTTCCCACCTCAGCCTCTCAAAGTATTGTGATTACAGGTGTGAGCCACCACACCTGCCTTAAAGTCTCATTTCATTCACAAAATATGAATATGAATTGAGACCTGAAAATTTTGCTACGAATCACACAGCATCAAAGCTGATGGGCTTAGTGAACTGAAAACTGTGTTTATTCTATTGCCACTTTGTAGCATCACTTCAGCTGGTAAACAGAAATATTGGCTATTCAGCAACGCGTAGAAGCATAATATTTCTTTTTCTTTTTTCTTTTTTTTTTTTTTGAGACAGTTTCGTTCTTGTTGCCCAGGCTGGAGTGCAACAGCGCGATCTTGGCTCACTGCAACCTCTGCCTCCTGGGTTCAAGCGATTCTCCTGCCTCAGCCTCCTGAGTAGCTAGGATTATAGGCACTAGCCACCACACCTGGCTAATTTTTTGTATTTTTAGTAGAGGCAGGGTTTCACCATGTTGGCCAAGTTGGTCTCAAACTCCTGACCTCAAGTCATCCATCCGCCTCAGCCTCCCAAAGTGCTGGGATTACAGGCATGAGCCACCACGCCCGGCCAGAACCATATTTCTACAAGTGATTTCAGTGATTCCTGTTATTTTATCACTTACTATTAATATAAATGTAAAATCTTCTTGATAACCCCTAACAGTATCACTCAATGTCACTAAGTGGTCATGTTAATGCTCAAGGTTATAAATGTGACCCTGAGTAGTAACTTTAGGAGTTAAATATAATAAAACTCTGAAGAATGAAAAAAAAACTACTATAAAGGAACAGTCAACAAAATATTAGAGAAAATTGCTGAGAAAATAAAGAGCAGCATTAAAGCAGGAATGTACTACAATGATTATACAAGCTCCAAGCATACCCTCCACACGAACATCCCAACACAAAAACAATTCTTGAATAACATAAGTTTTGAATTTTTGATTGTAGGAGATATGCAAGAATGCACCTGGGACTACTTTGTACTTACTACAAAACTTTTAGAAGCACTGGTGCTCTGGGCTGTTACTTAGGTAAGGGGCAGCCAATGACTGGACCCAGGGTGAACATTTGAACCACGGGAAGCCAGCCCACAGGCCACCTGCAGACCAGGAAGCAGTCTGGTAGAAAAAGTATAAACAGCTTTGTCCAAGATTAACTAGGCTGGACTCTCCCTTCAGAAGTTGAAAAGGAAAATATGGAGGGAATCAGCTGGAAGAAGAAGAAATTTAAAAATACAAAAAGCAAAGCAGTGAGGATTATTTAGAAAGAGTCATGATGAAGTCCCAGAAAAAGTATCCACAAATTGCCATGCCATGGGTGGGGGCAGTCAGGAAGTCACCTGGTCTCCACAACTGCCTTGTCCAGAAAACTGCCTTGGAATCCAGCACACAAGCTTCACCTGGATTTCTGTGATACTTCCATTTCTTTAGCATCATTTTGCATCCACCAATGAACACTGGGACCTCAGGCAGTTTGAGAAAGCTGCTGCCCAATACATACATTGTTTTTCTGAACTGGTGAGATTTTCCTAGAGAGGTAGTGAGTTACCTATTCTTGCTTTCATCCACAGAAGGGCACAGAAATGCTAAGCTAGATTTTTATATTAAAAAGTAGCTTTACATACCTGCATTTTTTTCTCTTGCTCATTTTCTCCAATCATTCCAGTACCTGCTACACTTTCACTTCCATCAATGGACACCTATAGGAATAAAATAAAGCTTTAAAATGTTTTACATTTTGATAATGGTTTAGGCTGGTTAAGTACATGGTTCAGGGAGAAGCTTGCAAAAAAAAAGAAAAAGAAAAAAAAGTACATGGGGCTTCATTATCATTTATTTTTGTGTATATTTGAAAATTTCCATAATAGGCTGGGCATGGTGGCTCATGCCAGTAATCCTAGCACTTTGGGAGGCTGAGGCAGGAGGATCATCTGAGCCCAGGAGTTCAAGACCAGCCTGGACAAAAGAGCAAGACCCTGTCTCTATTTATTTTGTTTGTAAAGAAAAAAAAAAAGAAAATGTCCCTAACAAAAGTGAAATAAAACCTTTTAAGTTATATGAGAGATACATGTTCAATGCAGGGGAAAAAAAAAATCAGCTCTTTTGATATAAAACTTGAGACTTTACTTTTCCTAATCTATAGTTCCTACTTCTTAATTCATAAGCAGTTCCATTTACACTTTATTATTTCTTTTATAGCCCTTCATCCTCGTATATCTTTCGGTGAATTACCTGCCACTCATTTCTCTTCTATAAGTCTTTACTCCATTCCCTTTTTTTTTCCAATCTTTCCACACTTCACTTAAGATAAATGCTGATCTCTTTGATACTAACTGATTTTGACTTTGAGTTGCTAGTGTCTTTTTTTTTAATTTCTGAATTTGAGACAGGGATCTATGCTCAAACAATCCTCCCACTTTGGCCTCCCAAAGTGCTGGGAAGTTATAGGCGTGAGCCATCACGCCATGCCCAGCCAAAATTGGCCAGGTTTTTTTTGATGAGGTGTACTTTTTTGTTTTCTTTTCTTTTCATGAAAAATAAAGAAGCTATATCTGCAACATTCTTGACATTGTGAAATGCTATACCTTTGCTGCATACTGTTCCAAAGCACTGATGGTGTCAGGGTCAATTGTAGCATCCCCAGTGTGCAGACCTGCCACTGTCCCATCAGCCTGAATTGCCAAGATGGTGTCAGACTGCGGGACTTGCACTGCATGGTGGATATAAGCTGTGGTACCATCTTCCAGCTGAACCGCCTGTAATGCACTCTGGTCATAACTATCTGAGAGAGTGGAAGAGAATGCCATTAAATTAAAGGTAAAATCTGACAAATATTTACATATTTAAAGGAAGAGAGAAATGAGCTTTTATTGAGTAGTTACTCTGAGTACTGGACCACGCACTTGATATGTGTTATTTCATTTAATCCTCACAATAATTCTGCAAGGCAGGTACATTTACTGCCTTCATTGTATAAATGGGAACTCAGGTTTGGAGAAGTAACATCACTTTCCTTAGCAATCAGAAAATTTAAAAAACATTAACAGGCCGGGTGCAGTGGCTCAAGCCTATAATCCCAGGACTCTGGGAGGCCGAGGCGGGCGGATCACGAGGTCAGGAGATTGAGACCATCCTGGCTAACACGGTGAAACACCCTCTCTACTAAAAATACAAAAAACTTAGCAGGGCACGGTGGCACGCGCCTGTATTCCCAGCTACTGGGGAGGCTGAGGCAGGAGACTCACTTGAACCTGGGAGGCAGAGGTTGCAGTGAGCCAAGATCGTGCCACTGCACTCCAGCCTGGGCGACAGAGCCAGAGTCCCTCTCAAAAAACAAACCAAAAACAAAAACAAACAAAGAAAAAACACTAACAATTAACAGTCAAAATCAATATGTAGAGAAATCAGGATTTGAACTCATGTCAGTATGACTCCACAGTCCCTCCATGGTGGTTTTTTCCCCTCTAAATGTCCACACTAAGATATATCTATATCTATACTGGTATTGATATAAAATAGTGATTTTATATCGATATATATATAGAGATAGTGAAATAATAAATCTAGCCAGTTACAATGAACCTGTGACTAACTCTTATTGATAAAGAAAAAAGTGCGGCCTTTTGTGGTGGCTCACGCCTGTAATCCCAACACTTTGGGAGGCCAAGCCAGGCGGATCACAAGGTCAAGAGATTGAGACCATCCTAGCCAACATGGTGAAATCCCATCTCTACTAAAAATACAAAAAAAATAGCTGGGCATGGTGGCGCGCACCTGTAGTCCCAGCTACTTGGGAGGCTGAAGCAGGAGAATCGCTTGAACCCAGGATGTGGAGGTTGCAGTGAGCCGAGATTGCACCACTGCACTCCAGCCTGGTGACAGAGCAAGACTCTGCTGAAAAGAAAAGAAAGAAAAGGAAGGAAGGGAAGGAAGGGAAGGAAGGGAAGGAAGGGAAGGAAGGGAAGGGAGGGAAAGGAGGGAAAGGAGGGAAGGGAGAGGAGGAAGGAAGGAAGGAAGGAAGGAAGGAAGGAAGGAAGGAAGGAAGGAAGGAAGGAAGGGGTGCAGACTTTACTTTTTTCCAACTGTAATTAAAGAAATTTATTTATAAATTTAAGTATTTTAAATTTTTTAAAGATTCCTCCCTTTGTTTGGGAGGCTGAGGAGGGCAGATCACAAGGTCAGGAGACCGAGACCATCCTGGCTAACACGGTGAAACCCCGCCTCTACTAAAAAAAATACAAAAAATTAGCCGGGCATGGTGGTGGGTGCCTGTAGTCCCAGCTACTCCGAAGGCTGAGGCAGGAGAATGGTGTGAACCCAGGAGGCGGAGCTTGCAGTGAGCCGAGATCGCACCACTGCACTCCAGACTGGGAGAGAGAGCGAGAGTCTGTCTCAAAAAAAAAAAAAAAAAAAAAAAAAAAAAAAGATTCCTCCCTTTGGCTTCACAACAAAACAGCCTTTCTAAAACGTGTTATGTCATTCTATAATAAAATGCTCTCTAGCTGGGTGCAGTGGCTCATGCCTGTAATCCCAGCACTTTGGGAGGCTGAAGTGGGCGGATCACCTGAGGTCAGGAGTTTGAGACCAGCCTGACCAACATGGTGAAACCCCATCTTTACTAAAACACAAAAATTAGCCGGGTGTAGTGGCGGGCACCTGTAATCTCAGCTACTTGGGAGGCTGAGGCAGGAGAATCGCTTGAAACCAGGAGGCGGAGGTTGCAGTGAGCCAAGATCGTGTCCCTGCACTCCAGCCTGGCAACAGAGCGAGACTGTCTCAAAATAATAAATTAATTAATTAATTAAAATAAAATATTCTCTAAAGTAGTAACAATAGGTAACATTTATTGAGCATTTAGTATGAGACAAGCACGGTTCTAAGTGCTTTACATGTTTGTGCATTCTGTCCTCACAACAACCCTACGTATGATATGGACACCTACTATAATCCTCATTTTACAGATGATGAAACTAAAGCACAGAAAAGTAATCTGCTTAATGTCACACAGCAAAAAAAAAGTAGCTTTGAATATACATAGTCTGGTTGCAGAGCTGTACTCATCATTCCTAGACATTCCACCTCAAACCCCTGAACTTCCCTTAAACAAATGTAATAAGCATTAACATTTTGCTGTATTTGCTTCAAATATTTTTGACATTGTATACTTAGTTTCAATTAAACATAGTAGGCAAAGGACCTTGCTTTAAAAATTTTATACACACACACACACACACACACACACACACACACACACACACACATATATATTTTTTTGAGACAGGGTCTCACTCTGTTGCCCAGGCTGGAGTGCAGTGGCACGATCTCAACTACACTGCAACCTCTACCTCCTGGGTTCAAGCGATTCTCCTGCCTCAGCCTCCCTAGTAGCCAGGATTGAAGGCATGCACTACCACAACTGGCTAATTTTTGTATTTTTTTGTATTTTTAGTAGAGACAGGGTTTTGCATGGCCAGGCTGGTCTCAAACCCCTGACCTCAGGTGATCCGCCTGCATCGGCCTCCCAAAGTGCTAGGATTACAGGCATGAGCCAACATGCCCAGGCAAAAAATTGCATTTAAGAGGAAGAAATAGGTTAGGCAAAGTGGTTCATGTCTGTGACCCCACTGCTTTGGGAGGTCGGAGCAGGAGGACTGCTTGAGGCCAGGAGTTCAGGACCAGCCTGAGCAACATAGCAAGACCCTATATTTAACAAAAAAAATTAATCAGAAAATAAAAATTTAAAAATCAGCTGGCTGTGGTGACACACACGTGTAGTCCTAGCTGCTCAGGAGGCTGAGGCAGGAAAGCCCCTTGAGCCCAGGAATTCAGGGCTATAGTGAGCTATGATTGTACCACTGCACTCTAGCCTAACAAAGATCTTATCTCTAAAATACAGAAATGAATAAAATATGAAGTTAACCATTTCAATGTTACATTGTGATTTTATTTCTGAATCATTTAAAAAAGGAGCCAAGGCTGCTTTTAAAATATGAAATTAAGGCTGGGTGCAGTAGCTAACGCCTATAATCCCAGCACTTTGGGAGGCTGGCTTGAGGCCAGGAGTTTGAGATTAGCCTGGCAACAGAGTAAGACCCTGTCTCTACAAAAAATGAAAAAACTAGCTGGGAGAGGCAGCATGCACCTGTAGTCCCAGCTATTCAGGAGGCTGAGGCAGGAGGATCCCTGAGCCCAGGAGTTTGAGGCTGCAGTGAGCTGTGCTTGTGCCACCACAATCCAGCCTGGCAACAGAGTGAGACCCTGTCTCTTAGAACAAAAGCCAACCAAAAAAACAAAATGTGGCCTCTACTTTAAGTCTTCCAGGGACCAGTCATTTGGTTTGCTGTTCCAGCTTGTCACTGGACAGCTCAAATTGTAGGAAAATTTTTCCTTAAATCATGCTTAAATCTGCCACCTTGTACTTTAATGAATAAATACAATTCTTTCCCATGACAACAATTCAGAAGCTAAACACAGGTCTTCTTTCCCCCACCACTCCCACTTCTCCCTTATTTTATTCATACTTTCAAAGTTATTTTACCTTTGGAGGTGTGGTGAATAAATGCTGTGGTACCATCTTCTAACTGTACTGCTTGACCATCCTCTAGACGCAAACTGTCCCCTGCTCAAGAACAATGCTTACATTTAGATCTCATGTTTTCTAGCACATTCCAATTAACTCACTTAGCAACAAGAGTCAATAAACCATTAACACATTATAACAATCTATACTTGCTTCATGAGTCTTTGAACATTTAAGTAAGTTCAGTAAAGCTTCCCTGCGTCAGTGTTTAAAGGTAAAAAGACATTAGAATATTGGTTTTAGAAATATACACCAGTATTAAAGAGAGTTGAAAGAAGGGGAAAAATGAAGAAAATGAGAGACATGTAAGATTCAGCTCAAAAAACAGAAACATTCACTCAGGACTGTTACTCATTTATCTCCACAGTGCAGTCCAGTAACTTCTTTTCCATTATCTTTACGAGAAAGTCTTGGTTAAGATCCACTCTGTGGCATCTATAATCTCCCTTTACAGAAGGAGGACTTGAGAACAAGACCAAGTTTAGGTAGTAAGAGGGAGCTGCAGGTAGCAAATACTAAAAGCTGAGAATTAAAATGGTTTCCCGTGCTGTTATCTTAAATACTTACTACTTTTAGGTATGGGTACATGTTGAACATAGGCCGCAGAACCATCTTCCAACTGAATGACCTGGCCATCTATGAGTTTTGCATCTATAACAAAAGATTCAAGACAATAAATTGGCACAAACAAAAATTTTAAACTTTATACAATTTCAAAATGATATCAACTATAAAAACATACACAACTTAAGCTCGTGTTCATCTTGATTCTTCCCTCAATGTTCTGAGGCAATTCAATAACACATCCAGTGATCCTACAGAAAGCAGAAAATCCTCCCTCAGCCATCCTTCCTCCCCTGCAATTTTCAATTAGATGAGGTCAAGAGGAAGAGTGGCTCATCACAGCAGGCTACATGAGTTGGACTGCTTTATACCTTTCAGAGTCACTTAGAATCAGTGACCATGACCAGTGGGGAGTTGAAGCTGGGAAGACAGACAGATTATGTCAGTGTATGTGAGATCATCTGTCATTCTCATCCCTGAGGGCTATAAGACCCCTGTTTATGTATGCATGTGCTCAGTAGGTTTCCATAGAAACAAAGAGTTTTTGAGGACTTGGCTGTTTCCTGGAGCAAAGCAAACACTAATTCAGAGACAATGTCAGATAAGCAAAACCAAATGTCTTTTTTTTTTTTTTTTGAGACAGAGTTTTGCTCTAGTTGCCCAGGCCGGAGTGCAATGGCGTGATCTCGGCTCACTGCAACCTCTGCCTCCCGGGTTCAAGCGACTCTCCTGCCTCAGCCTCCTGAGTAGCTGGGATTACAGGCATGCGCCACCATGCCCAGCTAATTTTGTATTTTTATTACAGAAAACGGTTTCTCCATGTTGGTCAGGCTGGTCTCGAACTCCCGACCTCAGGTGATCTGCCCGCCTCGGCCTTCCAAAGCGTTGGGATTACAGGCGTGAACCACCATGCCCGGCCCCAAATGTCTTTACTCTTACAGGTATTTGGTAAAAATACGAAATAATGACCCAAGGTAAAGAAGCAAGAAAGGTCTTACTAGAAAATAGTAAGACATACTCCCTGCTCTCCTCTCTCCCACTAATTTTGATATCCCAGGGTATCTTCCAAATATCTCAAAGGACTATTCCAAATTATAAAAAAAAAAAAAAAAAGAATTAAACTGAAATGACTTAAAATCATCATATGCAATACAGCATCTTTAGGAGACATAGGAAAGGTGGTATAGCTTCTAGGTGCTCCAACTCACAGGTTATAAATCACTGGTATTAACCAATCAGCCATATGTGAGGCACATACCTTTAGAATTGTGTTGTATGTAAGCAGTAGAACCATCTGCAAGTGTTACTGCTTGCAAGCTTACGCCTTCCATATTTTCTAAGTTGTCACCATCTATTACAAAAAAATCAATATTTTCTTTAGACAGCTAGCATATGGACATGCTGATTAATTTTTTTTTCAAATAAAGATCAGAAAAAAGGTAAACTGCTTAACTCAGACTCAAAATGAGATTTAGCGGCCGGGTGCAGTGGCTCACGCCTGTAATCACGGCACTTTGGGAGGCCAAGGCAAGTGGATCATGAGGTCAGAAGTTCGACACCAGCCTGGCCAATGAGGTGAAACCCCGTCTCTACTAAAAATATAAAAATTAGTCGGGCGCGGTGGCATGCACCTTGTAGTCCCAGCTACTTGGGAGGCTGAGGCAGAAGAATCGCTTGAACCCAGGAGGCAGAGGTTGCAGTGAGCCGAGATTGTGCCACTGCCCTCCAGCCTGGGCGACAGAGCCAGACTCCGTCTCAAAAAAAAGAAAAAAAGTGAGATTTAGCACTTACCAAAAACAGGCTGGGAACAATGGCTCATGCCTGTAATCCCAGCACTTTTGGAGGCTGAGGTGGGTGGATGGCTTGAGCCCAGGAGTTTGAGACCAGCCTGGGCAACATGGTGAAACCCTGTCTCTACTAAAAATAAAATAATTAGCTGGGCACGCTGGTGGGTGCCTGTAGTCTCAGCTACTTGGGAGGCTGAGGTGACAGGATGTCTTAAGCCAGAAGGCTGAGGCTACAGTGAGCCGTGATCATACCACTGCACTCCAGCCTGGGCGATAAAGCAAGACCTTGTCTCAAAAAAAAAAAACAAAAGAAAAGAAAAGAAAAAGAAAAAGAAAAAAAAAATTCCCTGCCCTCCTGTACCCACACCAAGATAAAAAATACACATAGAGGCTGGGCGCAATGGCTCATGCCTGTAATCCCAGCACTTTGGGAGGCCGAAGCAGGTTGATTACCTGAGGTCAGGAGTTTGAGACCAGCCTGGCCAACGTGGTGAAACCCCGTCTCTACTAAAAATACAAAATTAGCCGGACGTGGTGGCACATGCCTGTAATCCCAGCTACTCGGGAGGCTGAGGCAGGAGAATCACTTGGACTTGGGAGGCAGAGGTTGCAGTGAGCCGAGAGCAGACCATCGCACTCCAGCCTGGGCGACAAGAGTAAAACTCCGTCCCGTTTCAAAAAAAAAAACACCAAAACACCTCATAAAAAGACCTAGGTTTATATTGTTTTCTGCTAAATCAGGAACTAGGAAGTTGTAAATTTTTTTTCTTTTAAGATAAATGATATTTTCAAACGCATCCCTTCAAACACAACTGCTCACCTGCCACGGTGACTGCCTCTGTCAAGCACAGCGTAACATGTTGCGCCTCCATCCCTCCTCCAGGAAACTCTGTCATTCCCTGAGAATCTCGATTTATTTGGGCTAACAACATCTTCTACCTTGAAGAAAAATAAAGACACTTGGGAACAAAGAATGATACATGTGAAATGAAAGTTACAAAGAATATTTATGAACCACAAAAAGCTGCTGAGGATGTAATGGTGTTGGAAATAAGATGAAATTTCACTCAATATGTAGGGTAAGAGTATTAGCCCAAAGTCCAAGGCATGCTTCTTATAATTCAACAATTCAAACTGATGGGCACAATTTGTCAGTGCGCTTAGCAACTTAGAAGTACACTGACGAATTGTGCCCATCAGTTTCATATGATCTCTAGAATTCCCATAATTAGAGTCCTTTGGGTTTAGCATTGCTGAGGATTCCCACTTACAATGTGTCAGCATATTTTGTTGACTTAATCTTCAGAAATCTACCCCGAATCTGGCTACCTCTCACAACCTTCACCAGTACTTCCCTGATCTAAGCCACAACCAGTCTCTCACCTGCATTACTATAACAGCATCCTAACTTATTTCCCTGCTTCTCCATTAGCCTCCTACACTCTTCTTTTGACACAGCGGTCAGTGTCCTTTGAAGGGAAAAGTTAGCTCATGTCCCGCTTCTGCTCAAAACCTTCTGAGGACTTTCTCAGAGTAAAATCCCCAAATCCTTACACTGATCAATGAGGCCAATGATCTTGCCCCTCATTTCCTACTACTCACCATCTCATTCACTCCACTTCAGCCACATTGGCATTTTCCTCAAGCATATTGGATGTTCTGCTGCCTTAGAACGTGTTCATTTGAGTTTCCTTCTGCCTGAAACATTGTCCCCAGTATCTTCATTATTCATTCCCTACCCTCTTCAAGTCTTTGCTCAAATGGAATGAGAGCTTCCCTGTCCATCCCATTTCAAACTGCACCTCCCAACTGCTCAATCATGGTAAACCCCATCCTTCTTTTCCCCTCCATGTTTCTGCACAGTACTTATTATTTAACAAATTACATGTATTTATGTATTTAGTTTATCTATTTCCCCTTCCATGAGAATGGACAGAGACTTCTGTTTGTTTGCTCACTGCTGACTCTAGTGCCTAGAAAGTGCTTGGCCCATAGTAGAAGTACAATAGGTACAGAATAAATGGATGAATGGGCAACTCTTCTACCAATCACCAACACAACCTCCTTCTTCCCTTCTACCTCCAGGTCTCCTTACCTCTGTGGACCATGGCTTATCTCAAACAGTAGCTGGGATAATGTAGCTGCCTTGGGACAGGGAACTGAACCAGAAGATGTCTTGAGGACCTTTCCAGGTCCAAAGATCTGACTTAGCATCAATATTTAAAAGAGCAATACACAGATAGTAGTAATAATTTGTAATTCTTTTTACGTTTAGGATTGCTTGAAGAATTTTGTCTTGGAAATACTATAAACTGTACCTTCATTAGACCAAAAGTGGGAACTACTGTTCAGATACACAAAAAGGTATCAGTGCCATGATAACTGTCAGTCAAGGCTGGGTGCAGTGGCTCACACCTGGATTCACAGCACTCTGAAAGGCCAAAGCAGGTGGATCACCTGAGGTCAGGAGTTCGAGACCAGCCTGGTCAACATGGTGAAACCCTGTCTCTACTAAAAATATTAACAAATTAGCTGGATGTGGTGGCACGCACATTTAAAGAAAAAGTCAAGGGGTGACCTTTTAGGTACAAAAGGATCCATAATCTATAACTGTTCATAGAACAAGCTGAAACGTCATTTCCTTGGCACCTCCAAAAGCTGGCAGAGAAGACTCAAAGTAACACCAGTACCCTACTGTTAAGACCTGTGGGCTGCACGCGGTGGCTCATGCCTGTAATCCCAGCACTTTGGGAGGCCAGGGTGGGTGGATCACCTGAGGTCAGGAGTTCCATATCAGCCTGACCAACAAGGTGAAACCCCGTCACTACTAAAAATACAAAAATTAGCTGGGAGTGGTGGTGCACGCCTGTAATCCCAGCTACTTGGGAGGCTGAGGCAGGAAAACTGCCTGAACCCGGGAGGTGGAGGTTGCAGTGAGCCGAGATCACAACATTGCACTCCAAGCTGGGCAACAAGAGCGAAACTCCGTATGGGGGGGTGGTAAAAAAAAAAAAAAAAAAAAAAAGACCCCTGCTGAGAATAAAATTAGCATAGGCTAATTTTCAGTTACAAAAAGACAAATACTGCATTACTCTACTTTTTTTTTTTTGAGATGGCATCTCACTGTAGCCGAGGCTAGAGTGCAATGGCGTGATCTCAGATCACTGCAACCTCCACCTCCCAGGTTCAAGTGATTCTCATGCCTCAGCCTCCCGAGTAACTGGGATTACAGGTACGTGCCACCACACCTGGCTCATTTTTGTATTTTTAGTAGAGGTGGGGTTTCACCATGTTGGCCAGGCTGGTCTCGAACTTCTGACCTCAAGTGATCTGCATGCCTCAGCCTCCCAAAGTACTGGGATTACAGGTGTGAGCCACCGTGCCCAGAAAATATATGATATATGAAAGTCGAGTCTCACTCTGTCACCCAGGCTGGACTGCAGTGGCAGGACCCTGCAACCTCAAATTCTTGGGCTCATGTGATCCTCCTGCCTCAGCCTCCTGAGTAGCTGGGATTATAGGCATAAGCCACACCCAGCCTTGAGTTATATTTAAATATAGCCAGAGTGTAAGCATGTTCCATTAATTAAATATAATTCAGTGAAGTAAAAAGTAATTAGAACGTGCTAGCAAATGAGATAGAGTTCTCGCAGACTCCATATGATGCTAAGGGTTAAAGTATGGGCAAAGAGTTCATACTGCCAATTCTAATTGGGGCAGAATATCCTATTGGATAGGTGAAATGTTGAAACTTGAAGGCTTTGTGCAGTTCCAGGACTATTCAAAAACTGAATATATGAAACTGACTGGCAGGTAGGTAGAGCCTGATACCTTTGAAGTGACAACAGAGATAGGACCTACTAGGCTTAAAGCTAAAAATACCTGTCAGGAAAGAGCTGAGAGCAGAGACAAGAATTTAGAAATGAACATCTAGGTCTAGTCATTAGGTATCCCCATTTTGGTGATGGTTTGATCTCAACTGAACTATTGATGTGAAAAAGAACAAAAAACACCTCTCTTAAACTTCAATAAAGTAGCACTAATGGACATGGTTTAATAAGGGCACTCCATGCACAGAGCAGTTTGGTAAGCATGCCCTGGATTGCTTTCAGCAAAACTAGGGAATATGAGGAACAGATGCAGCAGAGAAAAGAAAGAGATTCTGACATATTCCAAACACCATTTCTGATGCTGCTCTGTTAAAAAGCATGTTATTTCAAAATTACAATGCCAGACTGTACGTTATTACCCCCAAGAGGAACACTGTATATGCTACTATTTTATCACCCAAATTGCTCATCGTGACATAGGTAAGGAAAGCAAAGCATCATTAGATAATTGTGAAAATTATAGAAGGAATTCCTGACAGACAACTTTTTTTTTTTTTTTTTTTTTGGAGATGGAGTCTCACTCTTGTCGCCCAGGCCAGAGTGCAGTGGCGCCATCTCAGCTCACTGTAACTTCCACCTCCCAAGTTCAAGCAGTTCTGTCTCAGCCTCCTGAGTAACTGGGATTACAGGCGCACACCACCATGCCCAGGTAATTTTTTGTATTTTTAGTAGAGAAGGGTTTTCACCATGCTGGCCAGGCGGGTCTTGAACTCCTGACCTCATGATCCACCCGCCTCAGCTTCCCAAAGTGCTGGGATTAAAGGCACGAGCCATTGCGCCAGCCAGCCATGATTTTCACCCTTTAAAATTTTTCTTGTTGGGCATGGTGGCTCACACCTATAATCCCAGCACTTTGAAAGGCTGAGGCGGGTGGATCACCTGAAGTCAGGAGTTTGAGAACAGCCCGGACAACATGACAAAACCCTGTCTCTACTAAAAATATAAGAAAATCAGCCGGGTATGGTGGCGGGTGCCTATAATCCCAGCTACTCCCAGCTGAGGCAGGAGAATCACTTGAACCCGGAGGGTGGAGGCAGCAGTGAGCCAAGATGGTGCCACTGCACTCCAGCCTGAGCTACAGAGTAAAACTCTATCTCAAAAAAAAAAAAAAAACACTTTCCTTTTTCATCCCCTCACTTAAGAGTATTACACATAGTTGGCCAGGGCGCAGTGGCTCACTCCTGTAATCCCAGCACTTTGGGAGGCCAAGGCGGGTGGATCACGAGGTCAGGAGATTGAGAGCATCCTGGCTAACACGGTGAAACCCCGTCTCTACTAAAAAATACAAAAAATTAACCAGGCGGTGGCATGCACCTGTAGTCCCAGCTACTCCGGAGGCTGAGGCAGGAGAATGGCGTGAACCCGGGAGGCAGAGCTTGCAGTGAGCCGAGATCGCGCCACTGCACTCCAGCCTGGGTGACACAGAGAGACTCTGTGTCAAAAAAACACACACACACACACAAAAAAAAACCAGAGTATTACTCTATTGTAATATTTAAAAGTATTACAATAATATCTTTACTGCTCTCTGCACCATATTCTCATCGTTTCAGTCTAAAAACAGTCAGCTATTTTATTGTGTTTTGTAGACCATTAAAATTTTCCTTGCAGGCTGGGCATGATGGCTCACACCTGTAACTGCAGCACTTGGGGAGGCCAAGGAGGGAAGACGGCTTGAGGCCAGGAGTTCAAGACCAGCCTGGGCAACACAGTGAAACCCTGTCTCTACGGAAAATAAAAAAAAGGAAAAAATTATGCCGGGAGTGGTGGCTCACATCTGTAATCCCAGCACTTTGGGAGGCTGAGGTGGGTGGATCACCTGAGGTCAGGAGTTCGAGACCACCCTGGCCAACATGGTGAAACCCAGTCACTACTAAAAATACAAAAATTAGCCAGGCGTGGTGGCAGACGCCTGTAATCCCAGCTACTAGGGAGGCTGAAGCAGGAGAATCGCTTGAATCCGGGAGACGTAGGTTGCAGTGAGCCGAGATCACATCATTGCACTCCAGCCTGGGCAACAAGAGCAAGACTCCATCTCAAAAAAAAAGAAAAGAAAAGAAAAAAATTAGGCTGCGCATGGTGGCTCACGTCTGTAATCCCAGCACTCTGGGAGGCTGAGATGGGTGGATCACCTAAGGTCAGGAGTTCAAGACCAGCCTGGCCAACATGGTGAAACCCTGTCTCTACTAAAAATACAAAAATTAGCCAGATGTGGTGGCAGGTGCCTGTAATCCCAGATACTCAGGATGCTGAGGAAGGAGAATCACTTGAGCCTGGGAGCTGGAGGTTGCAGTGAGCCGAGATCTAGCCACTGCACTCCAGCCTGGGTGAACTCCCTCTCAAAAAAAAAAAAAATTAGCCAGACATGGTAGCTTGGACCTGTAATACCAAGCCACTTGGGAGGCTGAGGAGAAGGGAGGATCACTTGGGCCTGGGAGGTAGAGGCTGCAGTGAGCTGTGATTGTGCCACTGTACTCCTGCCTGGGAAACAGAGAGAAATCCTCCCAAAAGCAAAAAAAGAAAACAAACAAACAAACAAAAAACAAAAAACTTTTCCTTGCATACAATATTGTAATATAAATTTAAAACTTATAATAATAAGTCCTTTGGGAGGCCAAGACGGGCAGATTATGAGGTCAGGTGAAACCCCGTCTCTACCAAAAATACAAAAAAAAAAAAAAAAATTAGCCAGGCGTGGTGGCGGGCGCCTATAGTCCCAGCTACTAGGGAGGCTGAGGCAGGAGAATGGTGTGAACCTGGGAGGCAGAGCTTGCAGAGAGCCGAGATCACGCCACTGCACTCCAGCCTGGGCGACAGAGTGAGACTCCATTTCAGAAAAAATAAATAAATAAATAAATAAAAGTACCAGCCAGGCACGGTGGCTTGCACCTGTAATCCCAGCACTCTGGGAGCCAAGGCAGGCGGATCACAAGGTCAGGAGTTCAAGACCAGCCTGGCCAACATGGTGAAACCCCGTCTCTACTAAAAATAAAAAAATTAGCTGGGCATGGTGGCGTGCTTCTGTAATCCCAGCTACTTGGGAGGCTGAGGCAGGGGAATCACTTGAACCCGGGAGGCGGAGGTTGCAGTGAGCTGAGATCGCACCACTGCACTCCAGCCTGGGTGACAGAGTAAGACTCCGTCTCAAAACAAATAAAATAAATAAAAAAAATAGTAAGTCCCAATAGCTTAACAAATCAAACATTTTCAGTTTTCCTGGTTTTATTCTCTAGCCCTTGCTATCCACATACATACAAAATTTTTACAGCATTGTAATTATCATATACATAACATTTTGTATTCAGCTTTTTTTATTCCTATAAATTTTCCTAAGTTGTCAAAAATTCTTCACAATGATCACTTTTAATTCACATTTAACAAATTAATTACCCTTATAGGCCATTTAGCATTATTATTATTTTTTTTTTGAGACAGAGTCTCCCTCTGTCGCCCAGGCTGGAATACAGTGACGCGATCTCGTCTCACTGCAACCTCTGCCTCCTGGGTTCAAGCAATTCCCCTGCCTCAGCCTCCTGAGTAGCTGGGATTACAGGTGCCCGCCACCATGCCCAGCTAATTTTTTGTATTTTTTTAGTAGAGACGGGATTTCACCATGTTGGTCGGGCTCATCTTGAACTCCTGACCTCGTGATCCACCCACCTCGGCCTCCCAAAGTGCTGGGATTACAGGCGTGAGCATTATTCTTATTATGTAATTAACACACACCATTGATTGATTGATTGATTGATTGAGACAGGGTCTTGTTCTGTCCCCCAGGCTGGAGTGCAGTGGTGCAATCTCAGCTCACTGCAACCTCCACCTCCCAGGTTCAAGAGATTCTCCTGCCTCAGCCTCCCGAGTAGCTGGGATTAAAGGCATGGGCCACCCCACCTGGCTAATTTTTGTATTTTTAGTAGAGACAGGGTTTCACCATGTTGGCCAGGCTGGTCTCAAATTCCTGACCTCAGGAGATCCACCTGCCTCAGCCTCCCAAAGTACTGGGATTATAGGCGTGAGCCACCACGCCTGGCCTACAAACGTTTTTCTAAAAATTAGCTGGGCATTGTGGCGTGCACCTGTAGTCCTAGCTACTCTGGAGTCTGAGGTGGGAGGATCACTTGTGCCAGGGAGGTTGAGGCTGCAGTGAGCTGAGATCATGCCACTGCACTCCAGTCTGGGTGAGAGTGAGACCCTGTCTCTTAAAAAAAATGGATTTTTAATATCTATACACAAATACACACACACACACACACACACACACACAAACACACACACACGACATCCCTAAATGAAACATGTAGGCATTTAAAAGAATGAGATCTATCTATCTGAAACAGTGAGAAACATGTCCAAGATATATGGTAAGTGGGAAAAAGCAAGTTGCAGAAAAGTAGATACCATATGATTGCATTCATTTATTTAAAAATGTATATAGTTATCTGTATATGCTTGTATGAACATTTAAAAATTCAGTGCTTACCTTCCAGAAATGGAACTATGCTATGAGGGTGGAGTGGTTTTTTATTTTAAAAATAAAACCATGTAGTAGAGGCACAGTTCAATGCAGCCATGCCACGTTTCTGTGAAGAACACAACCAGTCCTTACTTCACAGCAACATTCCAACACACAGCAAAGGACTATGGACATTTTGCAAACCATGTATCTGATAAGGGACTTCTATCTAGAACATATAAAGTACTCTCACAACCAAATCATAATAAGACGAATAATCCAACTTTAAAATGGGTAAAGAATTCAAACAGACATTTCTCCAATGATTATAAATGATCGTTAGGCACAGAAAAAATGCTCAACATTATTAACCATCAGAGACAGGCAAACCAAACCTACAAGAGACACCATTTCATCCACACTAGAAAAACTATAATCAAAAAGACTGATGATAACAAGTGTTGGTAAGGATATGGAGAAACTGGAACCTTTACACATTGCTGGTAGGAATGTAAACGTGGTGCAGCCACACTGAAAAAGTTTTAGAGTACCTCAAAAGGTTGAACATAGTTACTATATGACTCAGCAATTCTATTCCTAGGTATTCTACTCCCAAGAGAAATGAAAACCTATGTCCACACAAAAACTTTCGTACAAATGTTCATAGCATTATGTGTAATAGCCAAAGGGTGGAAACAACCCAAATGTCCATCAACAGATGAATGGATAAGTAAAATGTACTATGTTCATACAATGAAATATCATTTGGCAATAAAAATAAAGTATTGACACATGTTATAACATAAATGACCCTGGACAAGGCTACATACTTTGTGATTCCATTTATGTGAAATATCTAGAATAGCAAACATGCAAACTAGTAGTGGGGTGGAGGGGACAACTGAGAGGAAATGGGGAGTAATTGCTAACGGGTATAGTTTCTTTTGGGGGTGATATGTTGCTAAATTGATTGTAGTGATGGCTGCGCAACTCTGAATATATTAAAATTCAACTTTTTTTTTGAGACGGAGTTTCGCTCTTGTTGCCCAGACTGGAGTGCAATGGTGCAATCTCGGCTCACTGCAACCTCCGCCTCCTGGGTTCAAGCGATTCTCCTGCCTCAGCTTCCAGAGTAACTGGGATTACAGGCGCCTGCCACCACACCCGGCTAATTTTTGTATTTTTCGCAGAGACGGGGGTTTCACCACGTTGACCAGACTGGTCTCGAACTCCTGACCTCAGGTGATCCGCTGGCCTCGGCCTCCCAAAGTGCTGAGATTACAGGTGTGAGCCACCACACCCAGGCTAAAATTCAACTAATTATCACTTTTTTTTTTTTCGAGACCGGTCTCTGTCACCCAGACGGGAGTACAGTGGCACAATCACGGCTCACTGCAGCCTGGAACTCCTGGGCTCAAGTGATCCTCTCACCTCTGCCTCCAAGTACCTGGGACTACAGGCACACGCTGATTTCACTTAAAAAAAATTTTTTTTGTAGAAACATGGGAGGGCCGTCTCCCTATGCTGCCCAGGCCTAATTACACATTTTAAATGGGTGAACTGTAAGGTATGTGAATTACATCACTAAAGCTATTTTAAAAAATAAAGGCGGGCATCTGTAAAGCAAAAAAAAAAAAGGCACTCAAGTATCTGTAGACAGCTGACTGCTCATAGAATTTCCAAATAGTGGACACTGACAATTAAAAAAAAAAAATTTCCAAACAGTCAAAATACGCCAGGACAAAATTAGCTATGCATCTTATGGGTGTTTTTGAGTGATCTCCTTATCACGTTATTTTCTTACTAAACGTAAACTTGATCTACATACTCAGCAAGAAAAAACATTAAATACTGCACCGTTTTTTGTCAACTACAGGAAAACACAAGTATCTTCTGGTAAGATTCAGGACAAAGCCGACCACAATCTCGAACCTACAATTTCTCCCCACATTCTCACTTGATTATATCAGCTGATTTAGACACTTCCAAAGCAAAGGCTGACGCTGATTTTAAACAAATAATGGGCTGGCAATGGTATTCTTCTTTCCTCTTTTTAACTTCGTTATTATGTGGAAAAAACAAATGTCCAAAGCAAAAGGGGAAGGAATAAAAACTAGTTCGCGTTCCACAATAATACGTTTCAAAGAGACTTATAAGAATTTGTTCACTCTTTTGGCCAAAACTGGAGAAAAGGGAGGATAAAATTGTAAATTTCTAATATCCGATGTTAGACCTCAGTAACCTTTTTTTTTTTTTAATAGAAGAAAGGGTGAGGGGGAAACAATCTGCCCACGATACGCATGGGAAGCAAGCGCTAGGTGAGACCGGCAGGTCCTGGGAGGGCCTGGGCCAGCCCTGTCCCCGGCGCCCCCGCTGCGGCCTGGTGTGGCCCGTGGGCCCGGCGTCCCAGGCGGCGGAACTCTGCCTCGGCGGCGCCTGGGGACTCGCTCTGCGCGGAGGTCAGGCCGAGAAACGCGGCCAAGGCTCCCGAGGGCTCCACCCTCCCCTCTTTCACTCCCTCCCCTTGGCGGTCCCCTGAGGGAAACAGGCGGGGCGCATCGCTCAGAGACAAGCTGGGGGGAGTTGAGTCCTCAACGAAAAAAGCTCCGCCGCCTAGAGTGGCGGCCGCGGGTTATTAATAAACTCCGCTTCTGCCCAGACGCCGCTACCGCGGCCGGCCCATAAAATCGGCAAGGCCTGCGGCGGAGGCTGAGCAGCGGGAGCCGGAGCCCGGGCCCAAGCGGGCCCGCGCCGCCGCGCTGAGGGCGGCGGCCAGGCGGAGAATAATGCACACTGGGTAAAAACACATTTATATACGAACCTCCGAGAAAATTTTCCAACAATTCCTTCGTCCGACCACCATGCACCAGGACAGGAAACAGCCGTCCGGCCCCCAGGCCCCGCAACCCGCATAGTGTGTCTGAGGCCCGCCCCCAGCTTCCATTGGGCTGTCATTACATCACTCACAGGACGCTTCCGGTTTTCCATTGGCCCACGTTTGGTCGACGCGAAAGAAAACCGCCCTAGCCGCGCCCACTCAACTGACGTCAGCCAAGCCTGACTTTACAGCCCGCCCCTGAGTGGCTCGCGCAAAGTGCAGAATCAAAGCTCCTGTGTCTGACTGGTTGACATAACCGCTTATCCCAGACGGACCCCGCCTCACTGACTAGCGAGTCATACCGATTCTGGGGCCCCAGCGGGAGGCGCCATTTTGTAGCGAGGGAGGGAGGCTGGTCCTTGTGATTACCCGGGAGGGAGCCGGGGTGACGAGCGCCATTTTCCCCACAGGGGCGAGGAGGCGGCTTTGGTTCTCCCGGTGGGCTTGCCGGAGTGCGTTCTGCAGACCAGAAGGGCTTTGTCTGGCGATTGCTGAATGCTCAATAGCAGCCTGCTGGGAGGGAAGTCGAAGGGAGAAATAGGACAGAAAGAGAGACCTGACCTCTCCCTGGAGGCTCTCAGTGTCGGCCGAGGCCCTTGGTCTTGCTCTAGGGCTCTGCATTCCCGAGAGCTGCTGTATGCCGGGGATTGGCTTCCAAGCCTGCCTGAGCTTCTCCAGTCTCCCGGGCATCGCCATGCGGTGGGAGGGTGAGCCTTCCTCTCCTGCTGAAATTCCGGCGGCTTGGCAACCGGCCGGGGGGTCTTGGATTCCTCGGGGAGACACCACTGATGCTTTGTGGTTTCACGTAATTTGGATTTAAAAGTTGAAGGCGTCAGAAATGGTTGTCGCTACGGTCTTTTGTATGTTCTTGTGTTGCGAACTAATAAAGGAAAGTCAAAAGGGTGGGAGAAGCATTCAGTCTGGTTCCCTAAAGTTACTAAGAATGGATACAAATTAGTTGTGGCCGTTGCGGTTAATGCTTCTTGTAGCTCTTAACCCAGCCCTTTCTAAACCTTTGGATATACTTACTAGTCAGTTCCGAAGGTACTCAGTACAAATTTGCGTTGGCGCACCAGGCCGACTAAAGATGAGGTGGGTGTATTAGACTCAAAATTTCTTAAGTCGGCCAGGGGGTAGAATTGAGCTACCAAGAGAATGAGAGACTACCCTGTTGTAACAGATTTGGATCGCGCTTAGAAAAACAGGGAGAAAGCTGGATGATGTTCAACTTAATGTCTTGCATTTCAGACGATTATCGAATGGACGGGGATAAATAAAAACGATGTTACAGATAGCCCTCTAAGTGTGGATAGTAAATATTTTGATTTACAATTAAGCCTACCTTGAGGTGCAGGCCCTAACCAACGGATAGTTGAGTAATAGGGGCCTAGACGCCAATGGAAAGAAAATGGGACTTTAAGCTTTGTTTGAACATATATTCTGTTAATAAAGAAGTTTAAATCAGTTCGGATTACTGTTTTTTGTTTGTTTGTTTGTTTTTTGAGACGGAGTCTCGCCCTGTAGCCCAGACTGCAATGCAGTGGCACGATCTCAGCTCACTGCAACCTCCGCCTCCCAGGTTCAAGCGATTTCTCCTGCCTCAACCTCCTGAGTAGCTGGGACTACAGGCGCCCACCATCACGCCCGGCTAATTTTTCTGTTTTTAGTAGAGACGGGGTTTCACCATGTTGGCCAGGCTGGTCTGAAACTCCTGACCGCGTAATCCGCCCACCTCAGCCTACCAAAGTACTGGGATTACAGGCGTGAGCCACCGCGCCCGGCCCGGATTACTTTTTAAGCCCTTAAAATAAAAGTGTCACATATAAAAAATGGATTAGGTGGCCGGGCGCGGAGGCTCACGCCTGTAATCCCAGCACTTTGGGAGGCCAAGGCGGGCAGATCATGAGGTCAGGAGATCGAGACCATCCTGGCTAACGCGGTGAAACCCCGTCTCTACTAAAAATACAAAAAATTTAGCAGGCGTGGTGGCGGGCGCCTGTAGTCCCAGCTACTCGGGAGAATGAGGCAGGAAAATGGCGTGAACCCGGGAGGCGGAGCTTGCAGTGAGCTGAGATTGCGCCACTGCACTCCAGGCTGGGCAACAGAGCAAGATTCCGTCTCAAAAAAAAAAAAAAAAAAAAAAAAAAAAGGATTAGGTTACTTTTAACTGGAGGATTTTGCTCAGTTAAAATCAGTCTCCTACCCAATGGATACATTCTCTGTTACAAAGAAGTAGCCCAGCTGAAAAACAAATGGTTTTAATTTATAATTTCTGTTCCCTCCACATGTATCTGTGTTTTGTAATTGGAGGTGTTTTTTAACCCATCAGAATATTTTTATGCAGTTCCACTAAGTCCCATGCCTGTAGGCTACTCATTAAAACACTATAATACAGAATCTCAAGAATTTTTAAATCGCCCTCTTATTGTAGATAACAATTACAGGACATCTTTGTATCCCCAGAAGCTACTGAGTTGTTCTAAAAATTGAATGGCGATGATGGTGGCGGTGGATAGGATGCTATAATTGTAACTGGATTCAGAGAGAAACCTAATTCTGATTTGTCACAGGTAATGGAACGTTGTGTTAACAGTATTTACCAGTGACTATAGAACAGAGTTCAAATGTACATATATTCAGAGCCATTCATAAGCTTAAAATGTTATCCCATTCATCTCCCTTCCCTTATATCGTGTTATATCCGGTCAAATTAATGGCTTGAAAATGTTTCCCTGTCAATCAGTACTAGTCCAGGCTCTTAAATGCAGAAATTAAATAATTTCCCCAACTTCCTAAACAAGAGGTAACTTATTTGTAGCCCCCTTCAAAAACTGTTAAGATAATATTTTCTAAAACACTTCTTTCAGTAACTTAAAACTTACTGGAGAATTGGTTGGTTTTGGCATATTTATACCATGCTATAAGCATTAAAGTAGTATATATGTATACTATATATATATAGAAATTATATATGATATATATGTATACTATATATATAGAAATTATATATGATATATATAGAAAAAAGATAAACGATGAGTTAAGCTTAAAAGCAATTATTTCAGGCCGGGCGCGGTGGCTCACACCTGCAATCCTAGCACTTTGGGAAGCCGAGGCAGGCGGATCACGAGGTCAGGAGTTCGAGCCATGGTGAAACCCCGTCTCTACTAAAAATACAAAAATTAGCCCGGCGTGGTGGTGGGCGCCTGTAATCCCAGCTACTCAGCAGGCTGAGGCAGGAGAATGGCTTGAACCCCGGAGGCGGAGGTTGCAGTGAGCCAGGGTCACACCACTCCACTCCAGCCTGGGTGACAGAGTGAGAATCCATCTAAAAAAAAAAAAAGGCCGGGTGCGGTGGTTCACACCTGTAATCCCAGCACTTTGGGAGGCCGAGGAGGGTGGACCACCTGAAGTCAGGAGTTCGAGACCAACCAGGCCAACATGGCGAAATCGCATCTCTACTAAAAGTACAAAAATTAGGCTGGGCACGGTGGCTCACACTTGTAATCCCACCACTTTGGGAGGACGAGGCGGGCGGATCACAAGGTCAGGAGATCAAGACTATCCTGGCTAACACGGTGAAAACCCGTCTCTACTAAAAATACAAAAAATTGGCCGGGCACAGTGGCTCACGCCTGTAATCCCAGCACTTTGGGAGGCGGAAGTGGGCAGATCGCCTGAGGTCGGGAGTTTGAGACCAGCCTAGCCAGCATGGTGAAACGCCGTCTCTACTAAAAATGCAAAAATTAGCCGGGCATGGTGGCAGGTGCCTGTAATCCCAGCTACTTGGGAAGCTGAGGCAGGAGAATCGCTTGAACCCGGGAGGCGGAGGTTGCAGTGAGCCGAGATCGTGCCGTTGCACTCCAGCCTGGGCAACAGAGCAAGACTTTGTCCCAAAAAAGCAAACAAAAAGATAAATAAATAATAAAAATACAAAAAATTATCTGGGCGTGGTGGCATGCGCCTACAGTCCCAGCTACTCAGGAGGCTGAGGCAGGAGAATCCCTTGAACCTGGAAGGCAGAGGTTGCAGTGAGCCGAGATCGCACCACTGCACTCCCGCCTGGGTGACAGAGCGAGCCTCCATCTCAAAAAAGCAAAAAACAAAAATTAGCCGGCCATAGTGGTGGGTGCCTGTAATCCCAACTGCTCGGGAGGCTGAGTCAGGATAATAGCTTGATCCTGCGGGGCGGAGGTTGCCATGAGCCAAAATCGTGCCACTTCACTCCAGGTTGGGCGCAAGAGCGAGACTCTGTCTCAAAAAAAAAAAAAAAGTTTCATGCCGGGCGCCGTGGCCCACGCCTGTAATCCCAGCACTTTGGGAGGCAGAGGCGGGCGGATCACGAGGTCAAGAGATCCAGACCATCCTGGCTAACGCGGTGAAACCCCGTCTTTACTAAAAATTAAAAAAAAAAGTTAGCCGGGCGTGGTGGCGGGCGCCTATACTCCCAGCTACCCGGGAGGCTGAGGCAGGAGAATGACGTGAACCCGGGAGGAGCTTGCAGTGAGCCAAGATCGCGCCACTGCACTCCAGCCTGGGCGACAGAGGGAGACTCTGTCTCAAAAATAAATAAATAAATAAATAAATAAATAAATAAATAAATAAATAAATAAAATAAAAAAGAAACCTGTGAAAATAATTTTTTGAGATATAATTTGTTTATCATAAAATTCACCATTTTATACACTTGAGTATATATCTATATATATATACTCAGGTTGTGCAGACATCACCACTATCTAATCCAAAATATTTTATCACCCCTGTAAGAAACCCCATACTCATTAGCAGTCACTTCCATTCCTTCTTTCCCCCAGCTTCTGGCAACCATGACTAACTTTCTGCCCTTTTGGACTTATCTATTCTGGACATTACATTTTAATGGAATCTTTTTTGTCTGACTTCATTATAGCACAATGTTTTCAAGCCTCATCCAGGTTGTAGGGTGTTAACAGTACTTAATTCCCTTTTATTGCCAAATATTTGGTTGTGTATATACCCGATTTGTTTATCGATTTATAGATATTTGGGTTGTTTCCACCTTTTGGCTATTATCAATAATACTACTATGAACATTTGTGTGTAAGTATTTTTTGCCGACCTTGTGTTTCATTTCTTTTGGTATATATACCTAGGAGTGGAATTGCTGGGTCATGTCTACGTAAAACAATATTTTCAACCTTTTGAGAAACTGCCAAACTTCCACAACAAATAAGCATTTTACATCCCATCAGCAATGTATGAGGGTTTCAATTTTTTTTTTTTTTTTTTTAGACGGAGTCTTGCTCTGTTGCCCAGGCTGAGTGCAGTGGCACGATCTCGGCTCACTGCAAGCTCCGCCTCCCGGGTTCACACCATTTTCCTGCCTCAGCCTCCCGAGTACCTGGGACTACAGGCGCCCACCACCACACCCGGCTAATTTTTTGTATTTTTAGTAGAGACGGTTTCACTGTGTTAGCCAGGATGGTCTTGATCTCCTGACCTCGTGATCTGCCCACCTCGGCCTCCCAAAGTGCTGGGATTACAGGCGAATTTCTCCATATTCTTACCAATACTTCCAGTTGTCCATCTTTTTTGAGATGGAGTCTCACGCTGTCACCCAGGCTGAAGTGGGGTGGCGTGATCTCGGCTCCTCCACTTCCGCACTTGAAGTGATTCACCTGCCTCAGCCTCCCGAGTAGCTGGGATTACAGGCTTGTACCACCATGCTCAGCTAATTTTTTTGTATTTTTAGTAGAGACAGGTTTCACTACGTTGGCCAGGGTGGTCTCAAACTGTTGACCTCAAGTGATCCACCTGCCTGGGCCTGGGAAAGTGCTGGGATAACAGGCGTGAGCCACTATGCCCAGCCCATCTTTTCTTTATTATAGTCATACTAGTAGGTGTGAAGTGGCATCTCATTGTTTCTGATTTGCAGTTCCCTAATGACTGATGATGTCGATCATCTTTTTCTGTGATACTGGCCATTTGTATATATTCATCAGATAAATGTCTACTGATTCCTTGCCCATTTTTTAACTGAGTTGTCTCTGTTGCATTGCAAAAGTTGGTCACATATTCTGGATATTAGCCTGTTATATACTTTGCGAATATTTTCTCCCTTTCTCTGGCTTGTCTTCACTTTCTTGAAAGTGCCTTTTGGGCACAGTGGCTCATGCCTGTAATCCCAGCACTTTGGGAGGCTGAGGCAGGTGGATCACCTGAGGTCAGGAGATTGAGACCAGCCAGGTCAACATGGTGAAACCCCGTCTTTATTAAAAATACAAAAAATTGGCCGGGCTAGTGGCTCACACCTGTAATCCCAGCACTTTGGGAGGCCGAGGTGGGGAGATCATCTGAAGTCAGGAGTTGGAGACCAGCCTGGTCAACATGGAAAAACCCTGTCTCTACTAAAAATGTAAAAATTAGCCGGGCATAATGGTGGGCGCCTGTAATCCCAGCTACTTGGGAGGCTGCAGCAGGAGAATCACTTGAACCTGGGAGGCGGAGGTTGCAGTGAGCCGAGACTGCGCCATTGCGTTCCAGCCTGGGCGACAGAGTGAAACACCGTCTAAAAAAAAAATACAAAAAGTTAACTGGGCATGGTTGTATGTGCCTGTAGTTCCAGCTACTTGGGAGGCTGAGGCAACAGAATTGCTTGAACCCAGGAGGCGAAGGCTGCAGTGAGCCGAGATTGCGCCACTGCATTTTAGCCTGGGCAGCAGAGTGAAACTCTGTCTCAGAAAAAAAAAAAAAAAAAGCCAGGCGCAGTGGCTCACACTTGTAATCCCAGCACTGTGGGAGGCCCAGGTGGGTGGATCATGAGGTCAGGAGATTGAGACCATCCTGGCCAACGTGGTGAAACCCCGTCGCTACTAAAAATACAAAAATTAAGGCTGGGCACAGTGGCTCACACCTTTAATCCCAGCACTTTGGGAGGCCGAGGTGGGAGGATCACCTGAGGTCGGGAGTTCAAGACCACCCTGACCAACATGGAGAAACCCTGTCTCTACTAAAATTACAAAATTAGCCAGGTGTGGTGGCACATGCCTGTAATCCCAGCTACTCGGGAGGCTAAGGTGGGAGAATCGTTTGAACCCG